>NC_000002.12:231429011-231732042 GCF_000001405.40 Homo sapiens | reverse complement strand
CATGAACCTAACTGGAGAATGATGGGAAGGCGTCTGGGCTGGGAGGAGGCTGGGAGGCCTTTAAGACTGTCGTCATTGGAAGCCAGCGTGGGAGAGAAGGGATTACAACTGGCAGTGCTTTCAGGTCCGACATAAGAGAGAACACCAAAAAGTGTTCTTACCTCTGAGCTACTAGTAGCCTTCAGTGTCTTTTTTTGTTGTTTTGTTTTGAGACAGAGTCTCACTCTTGTTGCCCAGGTTGGAGTCCAATGGCGGGATCTCAGCTCACTGCAACCTCTGCCTCCTGGGTTCAAGCAATTATCCTGCCTCAGCCTCCCGAGTAGCCCGTCACCACACCTGGCTAATTTTTTTGTAATTTTAGTAGAGACAGAGTTTCACCATGTTGGCCAGGCTGGTCTCGAACTCCTGACCTCAGGTGATCCGCCTGGCTCGGCCTCCCAAAGTGCTGGGATTACAGGCATGAGCCACCGCTCCCAGCATGCCTTCACTGTCTTTTATAAAATACCAACAATTACATGTTTTCAAGTTACCAAAGCAGTAAGGTCTGAGGCCAGAGGACAGAACACATCAAAGGTATGGCTCTCTTTGGTGTAGCTCTTGCTCTCAGATTCCTCTTTTCCTTTTCTCTCTATTACCTGAGTCTGTTTGCATCTGCGGGTGGGGAGGAGAAACCGTATATTTTTAGTGTACTACCATCTTTCAATGATGATTCAATTCCTCATATTAGATCTGTTGTCTTCAAAAGCTGTTTTTTATTAATTTTATTTATTTATTTATTTATTTAGAGACAGAATCTTGCTCTGTCACCCAGGCTGGAGTGCAGTGGCATGATCTCGGCTCACTGCAACCTCCACCTCCTGGGTTCAAGCAATTCTCCTGTCTCAGCCTCCCAAGTAGCTGGGATTACAGGCACACACCACCACGCCGGTTAATTTTTTTTTTTTTTGTATTTTTAGCAGAGACAGGGTTTCACCATATTGGTCAGGCTGGTCTCAAACTCCTGACCTCAGGTGATCCACCCCCCTCGGCCCCCCAAAGTGCTGGGATTACAGGCATGAGCCACCATGCCCGGCCCAAAAGCTATTTTTTAAATACCAAAGTTTGGATGGAAAAACAAGTTGGGGTAACCCCAGCAATTTAGGAGACCAAGGCGGAAGGATCGCTTGAGCCTGGGGGTTCGAGACGAGCCTGGGCAACAATGGTAAAACCCAGTCTCTACAAATGATAATACATAAATTATCCAGGCATGGAGGTGTGTGCCTGTAGTCCTGACTACTCGGGAGGATGAGGCAGGAGGATTGCTTGAGCCCAGGAGGCAGAGGTTGCAGTGGGTTGAGATCGTGCCACTGCACTCTGGCGTGGGTGACAAAGCAAGACCCTGTCTCAAAAAAAAAAAAGAAAGAAAGAAAAGAAACGAAAAGAAAAGAAAAGAAAAAACACAGCCGGGCATGGTGGCGGGCGCCTGTAGTCCCATCTACTCAGGAGGCTGAGGCGGAGGTTGCAGTGAGCCAAGATCATGCCACTGCACTCCAGCCTGGGCAACAGAGCGAGACTCCGCCTTGGAAAAAAAAAAAGAAAGAAAAAAACAAGGTGAAAATGAATTGCTTTATTGTTTATTTATCTATTTATTTATTCTTTTTAGAGACAGAGTCTCTCTGTGTCACCCAGGCCAGAGTGCAGTGGCATACTAGCTTCACAAGAGCCTCAAACTCCTGGACTCAAGAGATCCTCTAACCTTAGCCTCCCGAGTAGCTGGGACTACACATGTGTGCCACCATGCCCAGCTAATTTTTAAAAATCTTTTTTTTTTTTTCTGAGACAGAGTTTCACTCTGTCGCCCAGGCTGGAGTGCAGTGATGCGACCTCAGCTCACTGCAACCTCTGCCTCCCAGGTTCAAGCAATTCTCCTGCCTCAGCCTCCTGAGTAGCTAGGATTACAGGCGCACACCACCACATCCAGCTAATTTTTGTATTTTTAGTAGAGACGGGGTTTTACCATGTTGGTCAGGCTGGTCTTGAACTCCTGACCTCGTGATCCACCCACCTCAGCCTCCCAAAGTGTTGGGATTACAGGCGTGAGCCACCGCGCCCAGCCTGAATTACCTTCTTAAAATGCCATCTCTTTTTCTCAGAGTGAACCCATCTCCTCTTTGCTAAACCATATCTGCTCCCCATAATTCCATCAAGGAATGTTCTCATGGTACTCTACACACTGTAGTGGAGAAAGGACTTCCCAGAGAATGCTTCTCCACTCACTCATCTGTCCAAAACAGTCAGACACGCTTCTTGCTAGCTGCTCTGAGAAAAATAGAAAGTGTGTGCTTCAGGGACAGTACTGACTAGGGGCTCCAAGTAGTGTGGGTGGGATTTGAACTGGTGGGGAGGAAGGCTGAATGCTAGGAGAAGGAGGGAATTGGCGCAGGCCTAAGTAAACACAAGCAAAAGGAGAGGACAGGAGAACTGTAGGGACTAGGACCCTTGTGAAGTCAAAGTCAGCTCTTGCATGGTGGGCCTTAATGCAGGCCCAGATGCCTGGAGATGCAGCTTTTTCTGGATACACTGAAGGCTGCAGAATGTTCCTGGAAAGAGACTCATATAGACCAGGCCTGGCACAGTCTATGGCCACTGATTTTCAAATCAATGATGGGCATCTCCCTGCCCCACCCGGCTCCCAGAGAGTCTGATCAGTAGGTGTGAGGCCCAGAAATCTGCACCCTAAAGCCGCCAGGTGACTCCGATGCAGGTGGTCTATGGACCATGCTTTGAGAAATACTGGTAGAGGCATTTAATATGTGTTAGAGACATAGATGTGTACATGAGGATGGCTGCAGGACAGACTGAGGTCTCCAAGCAGCTTGCTTAAGGAACAGAGTCCCATCTCTGACCTGTACAAGCTGAGAGGGATTGTTCACCTGCTCAGGGCAATCAAGAGGAGCTTAAGAGTCTGTGTTGGGGAGGAGAAAGGGGGAAGAATCCCAGGCCGCACAGCCTTGGAGAAGGAAACTTGCAAGAAAGAATATAGATTTCTATTTAGAGAATTTTGGTTAAACTTTGCTGTGTAATATGCAATACACCCTCGCATCAGTACCCCCATTATGTTTCTTGCCAGTGTTTTGAGTATTGGGCTTTTGTGATGGGGAATGTGATGAAGTACCGAGTCTGGCCCTCGTTAGGCAGGAAAGTCTTCCAAAGGGGATATAGCCACATTCAGGCCACACTGATAGGCCTATTATACCCACTAATAAGATGCTGTGCTAGGCACAAGCTTACCTTTATTGAGTTTGTCTGTAGTAGGAGGATACAACAAATAATTACCAGAAATGCCATAAGAGGCTTGGGGCGGTGGCTCATGCCTGCAATCCCAGCACTTTGGGAGGCTGAGGCGGGTGGATCACGTGAGGTCAGGAGTTTGAGACCAGCCTGGCCAGTATGGTGAAACCCCGTCTCTACGGGAAAAAAAAAAATATCTGGGCGTGGTGGCAGGCACCTATAATCCCAGCTGTTCAAGAGGCTGAGGCAGGAGAATCGCTTGAACCCGGGAGGTGGAGGTTGCAGTGAGCCAAGATTGTACCACTGCACTCTAGCCTGGGTGACAAGAGCAAAACTGCATCTCAAAAAAAATAAAATAAAATAAAAAGCTGGGCACGGTGACTCATGCCTGTAATCCCAGCACTTTGGGAGGCCAAGGCGGGCGGATCACGAGGTCAGGAGTTCGAGACCAGCCTGGCCAACACAATGAAACCCCGTCTCTACTAAAAATACAAAAAATTAGCTGGGCATGGTGGCAGGTGCCTATAATCCCAGCTACTCAGGAGGCTGAGACAGGAGAATAGCTTGAACCCAGGAGGCGGAGGTTACAGTGAGCTGAGATTGTGCCACTATACTCCAGCCTGGGCGACAGAACTAGACTCCTTCTCACAAAAAAAAAAAAAAAAAATGCCATAAGAGAAATACCAGTTAGAAATTTAAAGGAAGAGGAGATTATGCTCAAGACAAAATCGGAAAAGCCTTTTCTCCAGATCCTTCAACCCTCAGCCCACAAAACATGTTCAAATCACCTTAAAAAATAAATTTCTAAAAATAAGACTTCTCTTCAATCCTGCATGGCCTTCAGCTCCTGCCCTAGTCCTTCTCTTTCTCTGCAGATCCAAACTTGGAATTGTCTTCACTCACGCTTCCCACTCCTCTCATCCATTCCTCAAACACTGCCATCTGGCTCTGGCCCCACCCCTTTGTCGGGCCCCTTCAAGTCCTTGCTTTCTCTGCTGCATCTGATTCTTCTGACGTCTGCTGGGTTTCCCTTCTCCTTAGATTCTGGGAGCCCCTCTTCTGGGTGTTCTGCTCCTTCCTCATCTGTAGGCTCTTCATTTTTCTTCCAGCTGCCTCGTCCCAAAAATGTTTTAGATTTTCTTTTTTAGTTGTAGTGTATTGAGAAGATGCTATGTGCCAATTCTTTAAGCATTACGCATTTACTCCACACACATTTACTGACCACTTTTTATACTCCAGACACTGTTCTAAGCGGTGGAGATAACTTACTAGACGAGATGAATGAGGGCCCTATTTTACCATTAGATTTTTTTGTTTGTTATAGATGGAGTTTCGCTCTTGTTGTCCAGGCTGGAGTGCAGTGGCGTGGTCTCAGCTTACTGCAAATTCGTCCTCCCGGGTTCAAGCAATTCTTCTGCCTCAGCCTCCCAAGTAGCTGGGATTACAGGCGCCTGCCACCACGCCTGCCTAATTTTTGTATTTTTAGTAGGGACGGGGTTTTACCATGTTGGCCAGGCTGGTCTTGAACTCCTGACCTCCTGATCCACCCACCTCAGCCTCCCAAAGTGCTGGGATTACAGGCGTGAGCCACCATGCCCAGCCAATCTCCCATTAGATTTTAATGGGAGGAGACAGAAGGCAAATAAATAATTTCGATAGTGATCAGTGTTCTGAAGAAAACAAGACAGTGCAATGACAGCATCAGTCTGGAGTGAGGGGGTATAGAAACTGAAAGAAGTCAAGGCCAGGCATGGGTGGCTCACAACTATAATCCCAACACTTTGGGAGGCCAAGGGGGAGGATCACTTGAGGCCAGGAGTTCGAAACCAGCCTGGGCAACATAGCAAGACCCTGTCTGTATTTTTTTTTTTAATAAACAAATGAAAGAAGTCAACATTCAGCAATTGACTTCCAAAACAGGATTTTTGAGTCTCCAGCACAAAACAGGATTTTTGAGTTTCCAGATTTTCTTCTGGAAAGCCAGGCTTTACTCAGAAAGAAAAGAGTTTTTAAATCTCTTAAACTGACATCAACATGGCAAGAACCAGGGGTACCATACTTGATTACCTGTTGAATACAGAGAACTCAGGCTACAACGTGAGGGAAATCCCTGCGTTATAGGAGGAGGTGAAAGCCCTCCCCTTGCAGCCTAGAGTAGGATGGAGAAGAGAAATGAGGAAGAAGTCGGGCAAAGAGGTCAAGTGTCCTTGCTTTCCTTCACTCCCAGTCACGGGTGAGAGGGGTGGCTGGATACATCCACCCAGGTGGGCATGGGCTGTCTCCATTCTCCTTGCCCTACTGCCCCACAGCCCAGTAGACCCTAGCCCGTTGACCTCACTTCATAAACATCTTGTTCGGGTCCTCGCCATCCCCACGGGCCCCACCTCAGGTCCTGTAACCATCTCAGGACTGCAGCACGGGCCTCCCTTCCTGACTTACCCTCCACATCACAGCCAGAAAGAACAAGCTAAGGTGCAATCTGATCACCAGCCCTGCTAGCTACAATACTGTCCTATACCTGTGGGACAGTACTTTAAGCCTGTATTGTCAAGTTTATTTTTAGAACTTCTTGCTAGTGACCTGGTAATTGTTGCACAGCTTTCAAAACACACTGTTAAAATGGTCCTCAAAGTGAAGACATAATCAGGCTTAGCAATTCTCTTTGGTGATTTTATTTGATCTGTAACCAAGCAGCTTCAGCTGTAGCTTTAAATAAACTGAGGGGTGGAGCCGGGTGAGAATCGGGGATTTGGTGAAGATGTTTCGTTCCCAGGGCACTTCCACAAACTCACAGGGAGGCCGCAGGATTTTTTTAATTTTCAAAGAAAATACAGTGGCACTGAACATCTGTCCTATTAATGCTTAACTATTAGCTAAGATTGTTAAGTTTCAAATTAGGCTGTGCTGCATTCTCTTTGATGAAATATCTGGGAAGCTGAGCTTGCGGAGGTTTGGGTGATAAGAAGCAAGAACCCAGAGAAAATCAACTTGAACAGGAGATGAGGGTGGTGGCGTCCGTTCGGATTCCAAGGTACAAAAAGCTGTGCAGTGCCTAACAGGCACACACACCCCATTAGTAAGTCATTCGTTGTAATCAAAAATGAAATTAGGCCGGACGCGGTGGCTCATGCCTGTAATCCCCACACTTTGGGAGGCGGGTGGATCACTTGAGGCCAGGAGTTCAAGACCAGCCTGGCACAGTGAAACCCCGTCTCTACCAAAAAATACAAAAATTAGCTGGGTGTGGTGAGGCATGTGCCTCTAGCCCCAGCTACTTGGGAGGCTGAGGCAGGAGAATCGATTGAACCTGGGAGGTGGAGGTTACAGTGAGCTGAGATCACACCACTGCACTTTAGCCTGAGCAACAGAGTGAGCCCGTCTCAAAAAAAAAAAAAAAAAAAAATTTCTCAATTTATGTGGCTTCTTTTCTCCAAAATAATATGACAAGCTACTAAGGGCAGAAATGCTTCATAAGTTGTTTGAACCTAACTAACTAAAGAGGAGTTGGATATTTATTTTGGCATAAAAGTTACTGAAACACTAAGATTGCTGTGAACAGAGAAAGTTGGGGGACCTCTGTTAAGCTCTTAGTTTAAAGACATATTTGTCTTGAAGGACGAGGCACCAGGGCTTACACCTGCAATCCCAGCACTTTGAGAGGCCGAGGCAGGAGGATTGCTTGAGCCCAAGAATACAAGACCAGCCTGGGGAACAAAGCAAGATCCCGTCTCTGCAAAAAAAAATTTGTTTTAAATTAGCTGGGCATGGTGACACACACCTGTGGTCCCAGCTATTTGCAAAGCTGAGACAGGAGGATCACTTGAACTCAGGAAGTTGAAGCTGCAGTGAGCCATGTTCATGCCACTGCACACCACCCTAGGCAACAGAGTGAGATTCCCGTCTCAAAAAAACAAAATGTCTTTCAGAGGGTTAAAAACATATACTCAGCTGGGCACGGTGGCTCCCTGCTGTAATCCCAGCACTTTGGGAGACGGAGACGGGATTGCTTGAGATCAGGAGTTCGAGATGAGCCTGGGCAACATGGTGAAACCCCCTCTCTACAAAAAATACAAAAATTAGCTGGGCGTGGTGGTGCACACCTGTAGTCCCAGCTACTCAGGAGTCTGAGGCGAGAGGATCGCTTAAGCCTGGGAGGCAGAGGTTGCGGTGAGCCGAGATCACTCCACTGCACCCCAGCCTGGGTGACAAAGTGAGACCCTGTCTCAAGAAAGAAACATACACTCATCACCATCACTGGCAGCTGTAGCAACAAATGGGTATTGACCACTCACTTCTGAGCTCTGAAGCAGCTCTTGGTTCAATGGAATGCTTTTGAATTCTTGCACTTATTAAAGGAAATGCATTCAACGGAAAAGGCATCTAGTCAGATATCTTAGAATGGCTTCTTAAGTGAACTGACTTACTCAAATCATCCCCTAAATAACTCTTCTCTGTTATAAGAGGATAAGCAAAGTTATTGTCACTTGAATGCTTTATATATATTATATTATTTCATTTTGAGCTAAATTATGTGCATTTGAGATATAATATGCTATCTGAATATTTTATGGGTCACAAGGTGCCCTGGCATAATCCAGTGGAGATGATTGGTCTACTTGTTTACAGAACTTAAAATTACATTTTATTGTTTTATGTTATTAAACAGTTCAATCATGATCATTTCTTTTCTTTATGATACACTGTTGGCCATGCATATTGTTTACTTGAGGTCTAGCCCTCAGTCAGGTTTAGAATCTAAATAATCTCCTCTGGCAGGTATATACTAACTTTTAATTGGCTTATATTCAGCAACAAGCTGAATATAATTTAACAGATATTGAAAAATTTGAATAATATTCATTTGGTAAAATTAGGCTAAGATTATAACGTTTTTCTTGGAGGATTCCAAGAAAGTAAAAGCAGACTTACTTAAAAATAGACATTTTCAGCCAGGCACAGTGGCTCATGCCTGTAATCCCAGCACTTTGGGAGGCCGAGGCAGGCGGATCATGAGGTCAGGAGTTCAAGACCAGCCTCACCAACATAGTCAAGCCCTGTCTCTACTAAAAATACAAAAACTAGCCGGGCATGGTTGCACACGCCTGTAATCCCAGCTACTACTCAGGAGGCTGAGGCAGGAGAATCGCTTGAACCTGGGAAGGGGAGGCTGCAGTGAGCCAAGATTGCGCCATTGTACTCCAGCCTGGGCGACAGAGGGAGACTCCATCTCAAAAAAAAAAAAGTAGACGTTTTATGATACTAAAATAATTTGACAACCAGAGTGATCCTCAAACATTTGTAGGCTACAAATGATGTTATAGCACCAAATTCTAGAACCTCAATTGTGGATTTAATGGTATTTCTGGAGGAGATACACAGTGATATTCTAAGGAAAACCATGCCTCTGCACACAGGCATCTCCTTGGCCTCTTACCTGAGAAGGCAAAAAGCCACTGGGACGGCCACATCAAAAACATGTCATTGCACAAGAGGCTACCGGTAAAAGTTAAGTTGCTGTTTTTGATTTCTCTTTAATTTTTTAAATGTTTGTAAGAGTCGGGTTGCACTATGTTGCCCAGACTGGTCTCAAACTCCTGGGCTCAAGCAGTGCCCCCACCTTGGCCTCCCAAGGTGCTGGGATTACAGGCATGAGCCCACCGTGCCCAACCAGTTTGTTATTTTGGTAGGCCCTGGGCAGTCCTACCTCAGTCTCTCCTCCCAGTCCCCCCTCCAGTCCCCTCAGTCCCTTCTCTGTATCCCCCTGCTATAGTCTGAATGTTGGTGTCCCCGCCCAAAATTCCTATGTCTCCCCAAGGAGACAGTGTTAGGAGGTGGGGCCTTTGGGAGGTGATTAGGCCATGGAGGTGGAGGCTTCATGAATGGGATTAGTGCCCTTATAAAAAGAGACACCAGAGAGCACCCTCCCCCTTTCCACCATGTGAGGACGCAGCAAAGAGGCATCATCCATGGGCCAGTAAGCAGCCTTCACCCAACGGCAAGTGTGCCAGCACGCTTTTGTTTTGTTTTTGTTTTCGTAGACAGCCAGCACCTTTGATCATGGATTTCCCAAACTCCAAAACTGTGAGAAATAAATATTTGCTGGGTTGTTGTTGTTGTTGTTGTTGTTGTTTTGAGATGGAGTTTCGCTCATTGCCCAGGCTGGAGTCCAATGGTGCAATCTCGGCTTGCTGCAACCTCAGCCTCCTGGGTTCAAGTGATTCTCCTGCCTCAGCCTTCCGAGTAGCTGGGATTCCAGGCATCTGCCACCATGCCCAACTAATTTTTGTATTTTTAGTAGAGACAGGGTTTCACCATGTTGGCCAGGCTGATCTCGAACTCCTGACCTCAGGTGATCTGCCTGCCTCGGCCTCCCAAAGTGCTGGGATTACAGGTGTGAGCCACCGTGCCCAGCCAATATTTACTGTTTATAAGCCACCCAGTTGAAGGTATTTTGTTACAGCAGCCTGAGCTGACTGAGTCACCCCTTAGTCTCACCCCGCAGTCCCCCTCACATTCCCCCCCTCCTACCTCCTGAGTCCCCCCACAGACCCCTCAGCTCTTCCAGTGGCTGAGTCCTCTGCTATATGAGCCTCCTATGCCATAAACAGCTGGAGCTGCACCGGTCCCTGTCACACTGTGTCACCTGAGAACCCTGACCCATCCTGCCTGTAGAAGGGTTGCCAAAATCCCTGTAACCTGCAGTCACTAATCATAATGAACAGTGACAGTTGGGGGGGGCCTGTGTTTGTCCTCACCTGGAGAGGAGCAGAGCTGGTGAGCTCCGTTCCAGTCATGAGGAACCCAAAGCCTCATAGGGGAAGTTTCTTGCCTAAAGCCTCCCTCAAGTAGGGTCAGAGCCGGGCCTGTCCTGCTCCCAGCATCTTCAGGACAAGGCTGGGCATGACAGCTGTGGAGGATACGCCATCCTCTGCTGCTGCCTGTTCCCTTAGAAGTCCTTGGCTGGGATGTCATCTGATCCCTTCCATGCACCACTTTGACCTGGAGAGCAGATGGCCATTTTTTGGCTGGAGTGACCTTGAGAGCACCAGAAAGGAGGAGTGGTGAGTAAGACTGGTGGCCAGCTATGTGACAAGGTCTCAAGCAGCCACACCCCTCAGACAGCACCGTCTTTCCTCTGCTTGGAAAGGACCCAGAGAGCAGGGATGAGCGTATAGTTCCTCAGATGCTGGTGGCTTGGCACCCCAAGACACAGGCATTCTATGTTGGCATCCACTGAAGGACCTGTGTGGTCTTTGGGGCACTGTGTGGCACTAGCTGCCAGCCCATGAGGTCACTTATGTCTAAATCGTCTCTCTCTCTCCTGATCCAAGCCCCACTCCAGTCAGCCCTGAAGGGCTTGACGCCTCCCTGTGTAGTCAGCAGGGCCCTTTCTCACTGTTCTCTCCCACTGTGGTCACGTCTCTGAACTTTGGTCCATGATACATAAAAACACATTAGCCCTTTTCTACTCTTGAGAGCTTGATTTCTCATCTTGCTATGAGTAAAGAGAGTCACTTTGAAACTCAAGCTGAGCAGTGTCTTCTTGGCCCAGGCTGCGTCCTTCCCTCAGAGAATGAGACTCAAGCTCCCTGCCTAGCCCTAGTGGTGGAAGAGCTATGAGGGGAAGTGAAAGAAGTACTCAGGGGCAATAACAAGGGCAATATTGACATGTGGTTCCACTACCACTGGGTGCAGTCATACTCCAGGTCCACCTGCCCAAGAGCAGGCCCAGGTCACCCTGATTCCATTTTGAATTGTATTGAAATTCCTCAAGTACCCACTGACTGGATGTGGCAGACATCAGTTGCTTTCTCCTGCCCAGCCTCCCTCCTATTCATAACACTGACTTTTCATAATGGAAGATCTCCTACCCCATTCTCACCCTCTGTCCAAGTGCCTCTGTGGGTCTGACTTGTGGGTGGGGCCACATGACCAGATCTCACCAGTGACAGCCTTCTGCAGGACTTAGGCTGGAACCATGGGGAAAAAGACTGGTTCCCCCTCAGAGATGGCGGGTCCCAGCAGGCCCCATGAGGAGAACCTGCAGAGCACAGCCCAATCCCAACTGAACTAGGAATGGGGAATGAGGGGCTGCTGGCTTCCCACAGGGCTCATGATGTCTGTCACACTGCTTTCTCAAGAGTTTCATTAGAAAACTAACAGTCCTGTTAACATACTACCTTTTCAGCCCTCCCACTCCCACCACCAAGCTAGGTGAAGAAGCTGCGAACAGTAGTCACCATATTCAATAGTATTATAGCTGTGAAACGGCCAGAAAACAAAACCAATGCCAAAGAAAACAGAGCTGACGGAGGGCGGGAGGGAGACGGGTTCCTGATGACATGGTTTAAGGACCTGAATCCTGCTGTACCTGAAGCCATGCTATCTCAGAACATCCTAGTGACAACAAACTTCCTTTTTTCATAAACCAGTTTGTGTTAGGTTTCTGTCACTTGCAACTGAAAGAGACCTAACGGATGTGCAGATTGCTGTTTTGCCTTTTTTTCTTTGTTTTCTTTCTTTCTTTTTATTGATTGTTAATTTATTTCCCTGCTGAAATCTATGTGTGGAAAATTTACAAAACAACCTTAAAGAAAAAATAATTCCACCACCAAGAAGTGACATTTTGGTGAACTTCATTCGTGACTTTTTTTTTCTTGATCATTAGATTATACTGTAGACACAATTCTGTATCAACTTTTTTTCTCTTGACATTTTAAAACAGGCTCTTCTCTACATTATTCAAAACTACTTGTAGTTCTGGAGGGAAGGGCACATGCTTCACATTAACAGTTAACAGAGGGCTACTGGACCAGACAAGGGGTTGAGCGGGGGTCTCACTGTATTCCTCACATAGTATTTTTGTCTAGCGTGAAGGTCATGCAGTGGGCCTGGAATGCTTTTATAAATTTAAAAACAATTTTGAAAATTTCTCGTAAACATTGTGATATCTACCAAGTGGTTATACTGTAAGTGACTTGCCTGCTTCCTGATGATCGAGCATTTGGCTTGTCTCTAATTTTTTACTCTTATCAATCAATAATGTCAGGCCAGGCACAGTGGCTCACACCTGTAATCCCAGCTACTCTGGAGGCTGAGGGGGGAGGATGGCTGAGCCCAAGAGGTCAAGGCTACAGTGGGCCCAGATCATGCCACTGCACTCCAGCCTGGCAACAGAGCCAGACCCTATCTCAATAAAATAATAATAATAATAATAATAATAATAATAATAATGCTGTTATGGACACCTTCAGGTCTAGTGCCTCCCTCAGCAGTTCTTTTTTTTTTTTTTTTTTTTTGAGACGGAGTCTACTCTGTCTCCCAGGCTGAAGTGCAGTGGCCCAATCTCGGTTCACTGCAACCTCCACCTCCCAGATTCAAGCGATTCTCCTGCCTCAGCCTCCAGAGTAGCTGAGATTACAGGCGCGCGCCATGCCCAGCTAATGTTTGTATTTTTAGTAGAGATGGGGTTTCACCATGTTGGCCAGGCTGGTCTTGAACTCCTGACCTCAAGTGATCTGCCCGCTTCAGCCTCCCAAAGTGCTGGGATTACAGGCGTGAGCCACCTTGCCCGGCCTTTCCTCAGCAGATTTCCTGGCAGTGGAACTTCTAGGTCAAAAGTATGTGCGCATATTTTTTGGATCTTGATATACAGGATCAAAATGTTTTCCAGAAAGGTTTATGCCAGTTTCCACGTTTTACTGTCCCCCCACCTAGAAATGCCAGTTACCTCCTCAGCCAAGGGCATGCCTGTCTCCCGTGCTGGGCTGACACTGACACGGAGCGCTGTCAGCACAGGGCCCAGGCTGCCTGCAGCCATAGGAGGATGAGGCCCATGTGGGGTTCCAAGAGCCAGACTGTGGAACAAATTCTCAAAGGAATCCTTCTCCATCATCTGCTTAGTTCAGCAAACATTTCCCGAGCCCTGGTGAGGGTCCTTGTGCAAGATCAGCTTTTACTGGACACTAATGTCCTTCAATATATTAATAGCGCTCTGTGAAAAAATCCAGGTCAAATAAATTGAGAGCGAACTGCATGCTAAACTTTCCTCTCGGAAACTCAGTACCCTTTGTATATTAGAATTCCCTGGGCACTGCCCAGTGCCCAGTGAGTTCTACAGAAAGAGAACCTTTCTCTTTTGTTTTTTTGTTTTGTTTTGTTTTAAGACAGAGTTTTGCTTTATCACCCAGGCCAGAATGCAGTGGTGCAGTGGTTCACTGCAGCTTCGACCTGCCAAGCTCAAGCTATCCTCCCACCTCAGCTTTCCATGTAGCTGGGACTATAGGTGCGTGCACCACCACTCCTGACTAATTTTTAATTTTTTGTAGAGACAGGGTTTCACTGTGTTTTCCAGGCTGGGGCTGGTCTCAAACTCTATATCTCAAGTGATCCTCCCACCTCAGCCTCCCAAAGTGCTGGGATTACAGGCACGAGCCACAATGTCCTGCCAGAAAACCCTTTTAGCATTGCTTAACCTAGCGTTTCTCCAGATGGGATGGAGTCACCTCCCCTTTCTCAGGTACACCTTGGGGCAGAGAGACAACTGGGAGGTTCCAGGCTGCATGAAGACGGGATCTCACACCTTATCCAGAAGCCTCCCAGGGCCATCGAGTCACTTCAATGAGTGTGTCTGCCTGTAAGGCCCGATGGGAGCACTGGGAGGTCAGCGGGCCAGAGATCACTGTGGGCTGGAGAAGAGGGGATTAGAAGCTTCACACAGAGGACGCCAGGTGGGCAGCTCAGATGACTCGAGCCATCCCCCCACCTGGCTGGAATGGTTCAGGCAGGACTCAGATCCTGCTGAGAGACTGACCATGAGATCACAGCCTCTTCTGAGGCTGACTCACCTCTCTGTATTCCTCCCAATCTGGAAACCACACCAGAAAAGGCATCCCCACACCTCTGTCCCCCACCAGCAAGCTGTCTTTGTTCATGGAGGCCTAGTTGGCCCTGGAGACTGAAGCCTGAAGCCCTGCATTCTCCCTGTTTATTAGTTGGGAGTCTTTCAGTTACGGATGACAGAAAACCCATCCTGAACTAGCCTAAACCGGGAGGAAATTTACTGGCTTGTGTAACTGAATACTCCGCGTGGCTGGACTGAAGCACTCAAGCAATGTCATCAGAATTGAGGTTCCTCTGCCTCTTGGCTCAGTTCTGCTTCTCACTGAGTAGTCTGCAGCCTCATCTTCTCAGCCTCTTAAGTTCAAATCCCTGAGGGACAAAACCAAATGTTTCTTCCCTTTCCGGCAACCCCCGCAAAAAAAAAAAAAAAAAAAAAAAAAATCCCAGAACTCCTTCTGATTGGATGACTTAGGTCATGTGCCAACTGTGAACCAACCAATGCAGCCAGGGCACCTCAGGCCACTGATTGGCCAGGACCAAGTCACATGTTCTGCCTTGGGGCTTGTCTGAGTGTGGGAGGGGGGAAGTTCAGAAGGAAAGCTATGGCCTGGTGGCTCACGCCTGTAATCCCAGCTACTCGGGAGGCTGAAGCAGGTGAATGGCTTGAACCCCGGAGGCGGAGGTTGCAGTGAGCCGAGATCACGCCACTGCCCTCCAGCCCGGGCGACAGAGCTAGACTCTGTCTAAAAGAAAAAAAAGCTGGACATTGCTTCAGGGCATTACTGCCAAGAAAAGGGTGAAGGAATGGCTGCTGGTGGCAAAAACAATAGATGTCCCCTGGGACCTTATGGAATCCACCAGCAGCTCCTTTCAGTAAGGGATCTGCTCCCTGCCCAGAGTCTCACAGTGGGGTCCCCACATGGGTGCATGTAAAATGAGGTTGCTTCAAGTGACCACCTGGTACTTCTTGTTGCTGTGGGTGACAGCCTTGACAGAGAGCCCATGGAGGCATACCATCGATCCTTGGCTATGCTCAGGACTTCATGGAATCCACATCAGTCACTGGCTGCTAGGCCTTCTCTGCAAACAATGCATGTGTCATTCACCCAGTATATAAATAGGGTCAGTGTGCCGGACGGCCTTAAAATGTTTCAGCCATGTTTCCTAATCTGTGCTTCCTCCACCTCTCTGAGCTCAGGCCAGACCCATGAGCGTAGGCTGAGGTATCCCGAGAGGAACAGCTCAGAGCACAGCTCTGCCCCATTCCCTGGCTGGTTCTGCCCATGCCTCCATGGGCCTGGGGTACAGGGAGGACAAGCAGCGACACAGCAAAACTGAGCACACTTGCATCAAGGAGATGGGCTGCTGAGCAGACAGGTTGGGCATAGCGGGGGGCCAGGCCTGTGAGGCCCAGCCAGACTGAAGCAGGCCCCAAATAACACGGGGCCCAGGGATTCCACCCTCATGAAGCAGCTCCCACCAGGAGGGGACCACGCAGCAGCCAGCGCCCTGAGGCAGGCAGGGCTGGCCTGTATCTAGGACACAGGCATCCAACCCGCAGGCTTGGTAGAGGCAGGGTAGGCAGCAGGGCCCTGGAGGGACTGAGATCTGGGAGGAGTTAGGAAGGGCCAGAGGCTGAGGATCCTGACCCCAGGGCTTGTGATAGCAGTAGAGGAGAAGCAGTACTGATTCCTGGGGCTGTGTAGCCAACAGCCAAGATAAAGCCAGGAAGTAGAGCTGGGAGCCCCTGACTCCCCGCCCCCCATTCTAGTGACTGAGTCATTCTAGTCATTCTAGTGAACACCCCCCATTCAAACTCTCCTAGTTTGTACTCAGGGCAGCAGTCCCAGTGAGGGTGTGTGGAGTCCAGTGAAGGAGTGTGGAGTCCAGTGAGGGAGCGTGGAGTCCAGTGAGGGTCTGTAGAGTCCAGTGAGAATGTGTGGAGTCCACTGAGGATGTGTGGAGTCCAGTGAAGATGTGTGGAGTCCAGTGAGTAAGGGTGCGTGGAGTCCAGTGAGGGTGCGTGGAGTCCAGTGAGTGAGGGTGCGTGGAGTCCAGTGAGTGAGGGAGCAGGGAGTCCAGTGAGAGAGTGTGGAGTCTGCTGAGGCAGTATGGAGTCCAGTGAGTGAGGGTGCATGGAGTCCAGTGAGGGTGCATGGAGTCCAGTGAGGGTGCATGGAGTCCAGTGAGGGTGCGTGGAGTCCAGTGAGGGTGTGTGTGGCCACAGGGAAGCCCAAGACCGTGGAAGAGTGGACCCCTGCTTCCAGCTTTGGTTCCACGTAAAGGACTCAGTCCTTGGGAGAGGGCATCAGTTGCCCAGAAGGAAGGTCTGGGAAATGACCACTGACTGTCACATCTGACTGGGGTTCCAGCAACAGAGAGGGAGAAAGGTCTTGTTGCGGGAGTCAGGTGGAGGGTGACTGGCGTTGCCTACCTTGGGACCAGGGCCCACTGAAGGGTCTTTCCTGGACAGAATTCAGCGGCACGCTTTACAGTTCCTCTGTGTCCACCAGGGGGCGCCCATTCCTTGATAATCTTTTAACCTGGGCTCCAGTGGGAGGTCATTCGGGGACTTTGGGAGTGGTATCAAGGTGACTCTGGGCCCTGAGGTATATCCTCAGGCAGTGGTTAATTGTGTGCTAGGCTCAGGACTAGGGGTAAGTGTGTTCTGCTAGAACCAGCAAATGCTGTTCCAGGCCAAACCTTTGGTGGGATGAGGCAGCTCAGACAGCAGAGGCAGTAAGCTCTGCTGATATGGGTGTCTCAGGGGGACCCTAGCAAGGCAGCCCTGGGCCCTGGCTCATGCCTCATCCTATTGTTCCCATTTTGCAGAGGAGGGGATTGAAGCCCACAAGGTTCAGTTACTTGCCTCATGCTAACATGCCTGCCGTGTCTGTGTGCGGACCAGGGCACAGCTTCTCCCCTTTCAGGGGCCTTGCGGTAGTGGTCCCGAGCAGGACTGCAGCCTGAGGGAGCTGGGTTAGATCTGCTCTCAGCTCCAAGCGCTACCTGCCCTGTGTGGCCTTCCTTCACGGCCTTCGCCTGCACTCCTGCCTTAGAGACACCCTCCTGGGCGCCGAGCTTGGGAACACTGCAGTACTGAGTCGCCTTGGGCGGCAGAACAGAGAGGAGCCAGCGTTTTGGCTCCAGACCCTCCCTTTCTTCCCTGGATGAGCCAGGATGCAGATACCCAGGCTGTGCAGGGGGTGTGGGGTAGATACAGGTCAGAGGGTCCCTCCTACCAAGGCCTCAACCTGCCCCCGATCCTGGTGGCAGCTGCCTGGGGACATGCTGAACAAGCGGCCTGAGCAGCCCCATGAGAGTGACTAAGCTCCAGCCAGAGAAGGGAAAGGTCCCCCCAGAACTCTGGTGCCTGGTGTGAAACACAAAGGTCGGGGGGGCATGGAATGGGGTGGACACGGTGTCAAGGGGCAGGTAGAGGGAACTGGTCTCTCTTGCTCTCTTCAATGCACACATTTCCCTCCTTCCCAGCATCTCCCCTTAACCCAGGCCAGGCCTCTGCAGACACTTCAGTCTGCTCCTGGGAGTTTTCCTGCAGATACCACTGGATGGCTTCCTCAGGTCCTACCTGGGCAACAGGCCCACTAGCAGTGCCTATACCGGCCCCTGCCCCTGCAGCTCTCATTGGAGGATCCCAGAAGGTTCTAGGTGAGCTCTAATCCTTACCTCCACCTCTGAGGGCACGAGCTGGTGGCACTTCCTCCAGTTGGCTATCCTGACCCACTGCTCACAGCCCGTGTATGAATATCCAAACGGCACAGTAACTTCTCCAACTGTGTTCAAGGGGCAGGGTGGGCCTGCCCAACTAACCTAAGGGACCTGGAGACCAAAGGTTGGATGACTGCCAGGCTGCACCAGTGCCAAACCAAAACCCCGGCATTCTAAGAGGCCGGGGGGTACCACGTGCCACCAGCAGGGGGAGCCACGTCATGGAGCTAAACCTGTGAGGCCTGCAGAGGCAGCCACCACTTGGACGCTCATCCTGGGAGGCTTGGCAAGTTCCCTCTTGGCCTATACCACCAGCACCCTGCGCTCCACATAATGGCAGTCCCGTGTGGCCCGTTTCCAGTGTCTAGGACTGCAAACCCCCACCCCCAGGGCACCAGGGTCCCCATGTGGCACCCAGTGATGAAGTCCTCCTCCCCAGTTAAGGCTTCTTGGGGCAATCACTGACTGCCCCAGTGAGCAGCCCCCCCAGCCAACTGCAGCTCAGTCCCTGCCCACCCACCAGACTCTGCTGCCCATCACAGGACACATCCAACTGCCTCCCAAAATGTCAACCCACTGTCCCCAGGATCCTCCCCCTCCTATCCTTGTGCCCTGGAAGGTCTGAAGAAACTGAAACAGAAAAACCAGGCTTGAGACAGCTTTGTTAGAACAACTCAGCAAAATAAAATTCCTGTTTATTGTTGGACAACATTGTTTCACACATACATCAAACAGGCCAAAAAAAATAAACAGCAACTTCATAGACAAAAAAGGAAAAAAAAAGAAACCTTTTATCTTTGGCCTTTTTAACCATCTCATACAAACCAACTACTTATAGTACAGCTAAGTACATACACAAAAAAGTTACTGGAATGCTCGGAATAAGATTGTTTTTCTGTTGTCATTTTTGCTTTTTTTACAAGGTTTTTTTTCTCCTTTGAGATTATAATGAACATGGTCACACCACAAGTAAAGTCAGAAGTAGGACAGAGAACGCTCCGAAGGCTGGTTTGGTCATCCGAGATCATTAAAAATGGCTGACCCTAACAATATGTACAAAAATATAAAATGTAAATAAAAAATACAAACAAATTTCCTTTTTAAAGTACTTTTAAGAAAAAAAGCAGGGCCTTGGAAGTTTTGGTTCTTTTTTCCTCCCCTGTTGCAAATTCTCATGGTTTGGGTTGGGTGGTGGAGAGCGCGTGTCATCTGCGGGTGGCACTGCCCACGGTGGGCGGGCGGGCCTCTCTACTCGAAGGTGACCACGTTTAGATTCTGAGACGGGAAGTGGAGGGTGAATAGGTCACGGCGGCCTTTTTTTTTTTAGTTTAACTTTTCCTTTTTTGCTGTCTAGTCATCCTCGTCGGTCTTCTGCTTCTTGGTATCGACATCGTCATCCTAAGCAGAGAAAGACTGTCAAAGGCCCCTCCAACCCCAGGAGCCCTATCCAGCCCACTGCCTCAGCTCCTGCTGGCAGAGCAAGAACCAGGGACCCCCAGCTCCACAGCCCAAGGCCTCTGGGAAGTTGAGCCCAGCCCTGTTTCCTTCCTGTTCTTAAGATTCAGGACCACACAGTGGCCACCTACAAAGTCAGAAACAGTCCCTCCGCAGCTTGAGCACCTCAGCTAAAGGCAGGTGGGGAGACCCAGATGCCAAACCCCCCTTCTTCTCAAGCCAGAACCCACCTCATCATCTTCAGCTGCCCGCTTGCCCGTAGCTGACTCAGCTTCCTCATCTTCATCTCCATCCTCTTCCTCACCTGGAGAGAATCAAAGGCCAGGTAAACCACACTTCCCTCCTACTGTGGCTCCTGGGGAAATCCCGAGGAACATGTAGTGGACTGCAAGGTCCCTGCCCTGCCTCTACTGCCTGCAACTGGGCCCAATCAGGGCACCCACGCCCACTACACAGGTGGGACTCTCCAGAGGAGAGAGGCCCAAGCAGCTGCACCCCAAAAGGCCAGCCCAATAGATCAGTGGCTTTCAGAGCTGCACGAAAGAAACTTTCAGGTGTGCGAGTGAGTGTGAGTGGGCATGGGCACAACTCCATGTCAGGGAGACCTTCCCTGACTCTACAGGTGGGTGCCCAGGGCCATGTGGTCCACTGGCCCCAAGTACCATTGTCCCACTCCCAGGAGCCCCAATTCCTTCCTTCCCCTTCTGCCAGACAAGGCCAGGAAAAAGTACCTGAAAAGGGGAAGATAGACAAGGCTACTCACCATCACCTTCTTCTTCCTCCTCCTCTTCCTCCCCACCTTCTTCCTCTTCTTCGTCTACCTCATTGTCAGCCTCCTGCTCCCCATTTTCCTCATTCTCCTCGACAGAAAACAGGCCATGTCATTACCAGCTGGCCCCAGGCTGGACAGAGCGTTGCTCCTGATGCCCGGCCTCCCACCAGAGGCTGGCGGCTGCATCTACAGCCCAGCCAAGCCAAGCCCACCCCAGAGACCCTTCTCCAGTCAACACCCTCCAGGCTCCATCATGAAACCTGCACATTAACTGCCCCAGGACAAGGGCTTTTCCCCACCCTGGGCCAAGCCCAAACTCAGACTACCGGAGTCTCCTCTGAACCTATTCTTGTTCAGGCGCTGCTCGAAAGGTTTTTATAAATATTTAACTAGCAATAATCGCGCCTCGGGTAAAGCTCATTGGCTACGATACTGCCACTGTGCAAAGCTATACATATACACATACACACACATATATAGGTATGTTTAAAGTAGAACAGGAAAAATTTTGTGGGGCGGTAGCTGCCAGGGCTCAGGAGCAAAGCAGACACTCACAGCATTCCCGTTAGCAGGGGCGTCTCTTCCATTTTCTGCCTCTTCCACAACTTCCTTCTTCTCCTTTAAGTCCTTCAAAAGGGAAGAAGGAACCAGTAACCAGTAAGTCTTCTGAGCAACCCAGGGTAAGCAAAGGCGCTGAGAACTACTGGTCTGTACGGCTGTTCTGTCCGTCCCAAATTAAGAGTCGCATGTTGAGAAAGGCCTGATGCCCCTGCGGTCCCTCTCCCACTGGTCTGGTGGAAGGAAGGCCGGCGGGGGGCATCTGTGATCAAGGTTTCCCATCCTTTAAGGCCCGCTACAGCGGCCCCGGTGGCGGTTCCCACTGCCCCCTGGCGCTTCCCAGGAAAAAGGAGCCATGTGGCGCCACAGCCCCCAGCCCGTCCGGCCGGGTGGACGAGCCCCGGACACTCACGCCCATCAGCCTGCTTCCAAGTGCAAAGAGCCCGCCCCTCGAGCCGTCTAGAAAGGCGGCAGGTTATGTTCCAAAAATAAATAAGGCAAAGAGAGAGGGGCCTGCGCTCGGGGAGAGCCCCACAGGCGCGCCAGCCTGGAAGGCCCGCGAGGCCGCACCGCCCCGGCCAGGACAGGTATCTAAAAAAGCCAAAGCACACCGACCCCCCAAATCCGACCGCTGTTCCTAGAGGCCGCAAACCGCTGCTTGGCGGTGCCCCAGGCCGGGGCCTGCCGCCGGAGCCACCAACTCCCGGCCTCCCCGCGGCGGCTAGGGATCCCGACAGCACCTCGGGGGTGGGACTCCGCCCGGGATCCAAAAGGCAGCGCGGCCCCGGGCGCCCGGTAACTTTTTCCACACGACACGGCCACCAATACCAACAGAGGTCCGGCGTCCGGGCCTGCGGGAACCCCTCGGCCGCTGTCCGGCGAGCGGCTCCGGGCCACCTGTCGGCCCTCTCAGTCCGGCCCGCCCCGCTCCGCTCCGCGGACCCCGGCTCCGCCCGCTCTCGCCCCCTGGCGGCCGAAGCCCCGGGGAGCAGTGGGGGCAGGGAGGTCGCGGCGCGCAGGCGCGCATCCCCCGCCCGGCGGGCTTTGCGCGCGGGCCTCGGCACGCACCGCGCGCAGGGAGCACGTGGCCCGGGGCCGCCGAGTGCGTCCCTTGCCTTGGAGACTCCCGGCCGGCAGGCAGAGCTTGCAGTGGCACGCGCGCGGGTCGCGCGTCGGTCGGCCGGGCTCTCGACTCGACGCCCCACTGCCGCCACCCCGGCAGGCCCGAATGTCTGCATTCGGCGGGCCAAGTCCCACGGGAGGTCGCCCCAAAGTCCACCGGGCTGCGTAGGTCCGAGACTGTCGGGGATGCGCCTCTCGGGCTACTACTCATCGCCCTCGCGGGAAGTCACCTTTTGGTGCTTCGGAGAAAATCGAACAGCCAGGCCCCGCACTGGGGACGGTGTTCTCACCCCACAAACTCATTCCCGGACTGAGTCCAGAAGGGGTCACTGAGAGCCCCTGTGGAGATCCGGGCCCCGAGCTCCGCTCTGCCAAGAAGTCGCCCCTGGGAGAGTCAGAGATGACGCCAGGGACACAAGGGTTAAGGAGACGCCAAGGTGACTCGCGCCAATCCCTGCAGGGGCACGACGGGCGCGGAC
Organism: Homo sapiens; assembly: GCF_000001405.40. NCBI lineage: Eukaryota > Metazoa > Chordata > Mammalia > Primates > Hominidae > Homo > Homo sapiens. The sequence goes on along the minus strand of NC_000002.12, from coordinate 231,709,815 downwards.
GAGGGCCGAAATATTAAGAAAGAGCCAGTCAGTCTGAGAGCGCCCCGCTCCCGCCAAGGGCGGAGACGCTACCCAGGGCGGGCAGTGGGACCGAGGCGGCGCCGACAACAGGAGCGGAGCCGCACCAGCCGCGCAGGACCTCATAGCCGAGGGCAGTGAACCCGCCACGGGGCCCGGGCGCCCCCCCAGTTCGACCCTACCATTGGCCTGTCGCGGCCGCCGTGTTGGCCCGCGTCGCCCCGAGCTGCGGCGCACACGGTGCTCCCGGGCAGCCGCGGGGGGCGCCCATCGTCGCCCCAGCGCCGCGCTTCACTTTCTCTTTCCTCCCTGCGGCGCGTGGGCTCTCGCCTCCTCAGCCAAGCCCGGCACCGCGGGTGCATGACTGAAGCTGGGCGGCCGCTCCCGGCGCACTCACCTCGAAGGGCGCCCACCCCCGCCTCCCAGAGCGCCCAAAGCGGATAAGCCCGTCACACCTCCGCCGGGACGGCCGACGTCGCGGCCAGCCAGCCCGTCGCCCCATCCGCCTTATCGGGACTTAGTCTAGACAAACCACCTCAGGTCCGCTGCAGGGCGCGAAACCGCCGGCCTGGCGCCGAACAAAGAGCAGCGCGGCCGGCGGGCGCTCGCCGCCACTTCCCGCGGCCGGCCCGCGCCCCAACACGCGCCCCCCAGCACTTCCGATTCCCAACGCGCTTGAGTTTCAAAGTTATTTCCGTGCGCCCGGCGGGCCGACGACCCCCAGCCAGGCTCTTCTCCTCCCGCCGCCACTCATACCGGCCACAGACGAGTTTCGAGGGCCGTGAGCCGGCCTCCGCGCCTAGCCCTCGGCCCCCGAGGGCGCCCGGCCCACTCCCCGACGGGCATCACGTCTGCCCGCGGCGGTTCCCGCCCCCTCCCCCGCACCACACAAAGAGTGGGCTGCCTGAGGGCACCGCGCCGGGGGCGGGCCGTTTCCCCGCGAGAGGGAGCAACAGCGGGCTTGAGACAGTCCAGCTGCTGCGCGCCAAACACCGCCCGAGCGGCGGCGCGCGGACCCCGAGGGGGCGGGCGGCGTCCAGCCTCACCTTGGTGGTGATTTCGGAGCTGGTGTCTACGGCTGCGTCTGACATGGTGGGGCACGCCGGTGATCCGATGCAGGGGATTAAAAAGAAAGCGAGAGTTCAGGGACTCTGGCGATAAAGCTGCCGGAGTCCGCGGCGGCGGAGGAGGCGCGCGGCGGAGGCGGCTGCGGCGAGCAAGGAGGCGGATGAGGAACAATGCAAAGATGGCTTTTCAGAGCAGCCAGTGGGGGACTCACGCGGCGCCAGAAGCTTTAATATAGATTAGTGGGCGGCGCTCGGCTTCCCATGCCCGGCCGCTATTGGCTGAGCGCAGGGAGCGGGCGCTCGCTCATTGGCTCGATTCCGAACAATGGACAAGCGTGCTTAAAGCGGCAGTGCCCCGGCGCGTCCCGCGCTGCGCAGTCGCCGATCGCACTGTCATTCAAGGCCGGAGTTTGCCGGGTCTCAGCAGGGCCGAGGGCGCGGGGGAGGGGTGCGCGAGCGCGTTCCGGACGCGCGCTCCCGCAGCTGTTTTGCTGGGGCTGCTGACGCAGAAAGCCAAAGCGCGGCAAAGCTGCCCGCCCAACCCCCTTCCCTCCCTCTCCCGCCCTCCCCGCGGCTGCTCGGAAGGAGGGGGAGGGAAGAGGGGGCGGCGGGCACACGACGGCTGCCAGCGCGGGGGAGGGGAAGGCGGGGTGCTGGGCCGCGCTCGCCCCGGGCGGTGCCCAGCGCAGTGCCCGCGGAGGTGCCCGCCCCCCGCGCCTGGGCGCCTTGGACCAAGGATTGTCCCAGTGCAAGTGGACGGCAGCCCCACGACGAGCAACGAGGTCACGAGGCCGAGACCCGGGCACCTGGGCCGCCCCGTCCCTCTGCCATGCCCTCGCGCCCTCCCAGGGCAGGGCACCCCTAGTCCTGTGGGCAGGCGACCTCGATTGCCCACCATCAGGTCCGGCGTCCGTCGGCCAAGTCAGTCGACAAGCGGGCACCGTCCCAAGCACACACGGATTCATGTATCAAGCGGACTCGATGCGCGATGCCGGCTCCAGCCCTCGAGTGGGACAGCCCGCGGGCCCCGCACGGCATAGCGGTCCCCTCATTCTAGGTTTCTAGTTAGGGTCTGTCCCGAGCGGTCACTGCCGTCGCGACAGCCTCAGGGCAGCCTCCTCCAGGGGCCTGCCGGGCCATCGAGTCTACCCTTCTCCCACCCCACTGCTGGACTGCGATGGGCACATGAACATTACAGAGTTCCTCGGGAAAAATCATCGTCTCTGGAGCCAGTTGGGCTAATCTTTGGGGACTACCTGAAATTTGGGGGACCATTTAGAGAACCATGCGGAGCCCCGAGAAAGGGGAGCATCAAAACGCCACACTCAAGATGGCGCCGGGCTCGGCAAGCGTGGCGTGACGTAGCGATCTAGCTCACGTGGGCGATCCGAGAACAACAGGCTACGCTGGCCTTATCGCCACCGCACTTAGCTGTCGAACTAAGAAATCGGTTGTGTGGGAAAAAGGACCAGAATAGGTGGAAAGATAGTCCAGAAATTTACCTGTGCCACACACAAGATGGCGAGACGTAGGGTTCGTCCCTGTGCTGCCAAAAGGGGGCGCCCGACACGGAAGGCGGGACTCCGGAGACACGAGCGCACATTGGCCGAGAGTGGCGGGCGAACACAAAGTTGACGCTTTGCGTCCTTCCATTGGCAGTTTCTTCCGTCTGTCTCTCGGTTGCAGCCGAGCTGGGAATGGGGAAAACCCGGAGTGTGGGATCGTGGAGGGCGGACGATGCCAAGTCCAGCAGAGCTTGCGCTCGGGGCTAGAAGAGAGACTGAGTCTCCCTTCTCAGTTTCATTAGGTAATGGGCGACATGGCTCCGTCTCCACAGCGGGGCTTTGCTGAGCTTAGCACGCAGTCTCCCGGCGGGGAGGAGGCGCGCAGTGCCGGGCGCCACTCCGTCTCCAGTACGCGTTAGGCCCGCGTTCCCAGGTGCCCGTCTGGCCGCTGGACTGTTGGCCTTTCCGGAGCGAGTTTTACTTTAGGAAGAAGCCCGGGATCCCGGTAGTTTAGCCTGAAGAAACGTGGGGCAGATGCTGGGCAGGGCGGGGATACCGCGCCAACACCCGCTGCCCAGCGGTCGCCCTCCTATGCAGCGGCGAAGGGACGCCCGCTGTGTCTCCGCCCTGCCCCCAGGCGCCCCAGTGGCTGGAGGTGGCATTCTCCACTGGACGGGCGCGCCTCAATCCGGGGGACTTCCACAGTGCTGTTCCCGAGGACTACGCGTCTCAACTCTTTGTCGGGTTCCCTCCCTCCCACTGCCAGTCTGTCTTCACCGCCGCGCAGACCTGGGGCCGCCCTTCACAGAGGAAGGGCTCCTTGACCTCAGCCACCGTGACCCCCTCCTTTGTGTCACATTCTCAGAGAGTTGGAGGGATTATGCGTCATCGTAAACAGGGGGACAGAGCGCCTTCCACCTGCGGCGCATCCATTAAGTTCCAGTTACCCTCGAGAGGATTGTTTTTTCCACGAAACCCAGATGCAATGAGAGCCTGGCTTGTACCATCTCTAAGCATCGAGGCTTCCCCCTCGTCTGGGTGGTGGCCTTCGGGCAGTGGCTCCGGAAAGGCCATCAAGGCTTCCCCGTCGTCTGGATGGTGGCCTTCGGGCAGTGGACTGTGTCCATAGCTGAAAACCAGACTTGACAGTTCTGGATTCAGGCTGTTGTGGGAGCGGGAAGGTCAAACACCCAGAAGGAACTGATGAATGTGAATTTCCCTCTAAGAACTGCTTTGCCTGGCCGGGCGCGGTGGCTCACGCTTGTAATTCCAGCACTTTGGGAGGCTGAGGTGGGTGGATGCCGAGGTGAGTGGATCACGAGGTCAGGAGTTCGAGACCAGCCTGACCAACATAGTGAAACCCCCGTCTCTACTAAAAATACAAAAATTAGCCGGGCCTGGTGGCGTGCGCCTGTAATCCCAGCTACTCGGGAGGCTGAGACAGGAGAATCGCTTGAATCCGGGAGGCAGAGGTTGCAGGAGCTGAGATCACGCCATTGCACTCCAGCCTGGGCAACAGAGTGAGACTCCATCTCAAAAAAAAAAACAAAAAAAGAACTGTTTTCTGACGTTATTCCCATGCAGGTGCCTTTGCTAGAAGTGGGTGAGGAAGGCTCATGCCCATCTGGTTCCAGAACCACCACTTAAATTTCCCAAACACTCACTGAATGCCCGCTGTGTACATGGCAGTGAGCCTTTGACTCATGCTTCATTTTCATGTACAAGGTGGGTAGGACAGTTATGGAGTTGAACCATATGAAACTGATGTCTATGTAGGTGAAAACGAACTGAAAATCAACACATTTACAGGTTCAACTTCTGATATAACCCTCCTTTTAACAAATCAAAAAAGCAAACCTAGAGATTATAGCAAGGGACTTGGAGTTACCCACTGGATCAATGATGGAGCCGAGGCTAAGTCCTAAAACAGAGGAATCTGCATTTTTAGATGAGCCCTGGGGCAGAAGTTGCCCCCATGGACCTCCCTCTCATCCCAGGAGTGTGGTATCTGACAGCTCATAGTGGGGGAGTTATTTAGGCTATGAAGAACCGTGTTCCTTCAGCAACAGGTAGCTCCCTACCTCTTTTGCTGTTTCTTTTTTTTTTTTTTTTTTTTGAGACAGAGTCTCACTCTGTTCAGCCCAGGCTGGAGTGCAGTGGCGTGATCTCAGCTCACCACAACCTCCGCCTCCCGGGTTCAAGGGATTCTTCTGCCTCAGCCTCCCGAGTAGCTGGGACTACAGGCGTGCACCACCATGCCTGGCCAATTTTTGTATTTTTAGTACAGATGGGGTTTACTATTTTTGTATTTTTAGTACAGACGGGGTTTCACCATATTGTCCAGGCTGGTCTCAAACTCCTGACCTCATGATCCGCCCACCTCGGCCTCCCAAAGTGCTGGGATGACAGGCGTGAGCCACCGTGCCAGGCTTTTTTTTTTTTGAGACGAAGTTTCACTCTGTTGCCCAGGCTGGGGTGCATTGGCATGATCTTGGCTCACTGCAACCTCCGCCTCGTGGGTTCAAGTGATTCTCCTGCCTCCCTCAGCCTCCTGAGAAGCCAGGATTACAGGTACCTGCTACCATGCCCAGCTAATTTTTGTATTTTTAGTAGAGACGGGGTTTCACCATGTTGGCCAGGGTGGTCTCAAACTCCTGACCTCAAGTGATCCGCCCGCCTCAGCCTCCCAAAGTGCTGGGATTACAGGCATGAGCCACCACACCGGCCCTCTTTTGCTGTTTCTGAACAGACTATTCTTCCTGTCCTCTGTCACTTCCACTCATTGATACATCTCATGCCCTTTGTTATTACAGAGGAAGTCAGGCACTTTGGTGACCTTGCCCTTCAAACCCCCCAAGACAAGCTGGTGTGCCCTGGTAAGCCTGCTTTCCTGACCCCAGCCTGAGATACAGTGGGCTTCGGCTAGAGCTGCTGTGAGCAAGGGACCCAATATGTCCTCCAGGCATGTTTTGTTTTGTTTTGAGATGGGGTCTTGCTATGTTGCCCAAGCTGAACTCCAACTCCTGAGCTCAAGCTATCCTCGCACCTCAGCCTCCTGAGTAGCTGGGACAACAGATGCTTGCTACTGTGCCTGGCTTGTTTTGGGGGAATTTTCACAGGGACACCTCTGGGTGGTCTACACACTGTCCACATGGCCCACAGGCCTCTCCCCGCCCAGCCTGAGTAACACATTGATTTCATCTGCCTGGCCCTGTGGGCACTTCAGTTTGCAACTAAGCCTGCTCCTAAAGCCATTTACAACATATTTCTAATTGGTTATCTCACAAATCTGCTTGATCCCCAAAAGATCAGGCAGAATGAATTTTTAAGCTGCCTGGGTTCAAATGGCAGCCCTGACATACACTAGCTTTGTGAATTGGGCAAGTTACTTTCTCTCCTCTAAGAAACAGAGAGGACGGCCAGGTGTGGTGGCTCACACCTCTATCCCCAGCACTTTGGGAGGCCTAAGCAGGAGGATTGCTTGAGCTCCGGAGTTGGAGACCAGTCTCGGCAACATGACGAAACATCGACTCTAAAAATTTTTTAAAAATTAGCCGGGCATGGTGGCATGTGCCTGTAGTCCCAGCTACTCAGAAGGCTGAGGTGAGTGGATTGTTTGAGTCCAGGAGGTTGAGGCTGCAGTGAGCCATGATGGTGTCACTGTACTCCAGCCTGGGCAACACAGCAAGACTCTGTCTTAAAAAATAAAAAATAGGCCAGGCGCTGTGGCTCACGCCTGTAATCCCAGCACTTTGGGAGGCTGAGGCGGGCGGATCACGAGATCAGGAGTTCAAGACCAGCCTGGCCAACATAGTAAAACCCCATCTCTACTAAAAATACAAAAAATTAGCTGGGTATGGTGGTGCACGCCTATAATCCAGCTATTCTGGAAGCTGAGGCAGGAGAATCACTTGAACCCAGGAGGTGGAGGTTGCAGAGCCAAGATTGCTCCATTGCACTCCAGCCTGGGCAACAGAGCAAGACTCCGTCTCGAGAAAAATAAAAAATAATAATAAATTTAAAAATAAGCTGGGTGTGATGGCTCACACCTGTAATCCCCGCACTTTGGGAGGCCAAGGCGGGCAATCACCTGAGGTCAGGAGTTCGAGACCACCCTGGCCAATGTGGTGAAACCCCGTCTCTACTAAAAATACAAAAATTAGCTGGGCGCGGTGGTGGGCACCTGTAATCCCAGCTACTCGGGAGGCTGAGGCAGGAGAATCGCTTGAACTCGGCAGGCGGAGGTTGCAGTGAGCCAAGATGGCACCACTGCACTCCAGCCTGGGTGACAAGAGTGAAACTTCTTCTCAAAAAATAAAAAATAAAAATAAAAATTAAAAATAAAAAAGAGAGGCCGGGCATGGTGGCTCACGCCTATAATCTCAGCACTTTGGGAGGCCGAGGCAGACTGATCACGAGGTCAGGAGTTAGAGAACAGCATGGCCAACATAGTGAAACCCCATCTCTACTAAAAATACAAAAATTAGCCAGGCATGGTGGCGCGTGCCTGTAGTCCCAGCTACTCAGGAGGCTGAGGCAGGAGAATCACTTGAACCCGGGAGGTGGAGGTTGTAGTGAGTTGATATAGCGCCACTGCACTCCAGCTTGGACAACAGAGTGAGACTTCATATTAAAAAAATAATAAAAACAAATAAAAAAGAGAAGACAATAATAGTTCCTACTTTGCAGGATTATTGTGAGAATTGAATAAGTTAATATTCAGAAAGTGCTTAAAATAGTGTCCGACACATTTGGGAAACCACTGCACCCCATTTTCCAGCTGCTATCTGTACCTAAGTGGGTTGGCTTTACAGAGCTTGTAGGACTCTGGACAAAGGAACAATGTCTTCAGCAAGTTCTTTCCGTATTCAGTGGGAAATGAGGGCACTGGCCTCTCTAGTTTCTGGAAGCCTGTGATTTGGTGCCCGACATGCTTGGCAGCCCCTCTGGCCTCAAAGGCATGACAGAGTCTGGGAGGCAGGTGGAGTGGAGCAGGTCTCAAAAAATCCCGCCTTCCAGCCCTTCAGAAACCCAGGAGTTTCAGACTGTGGTTTCCTTATCCAGGCATAAGGGCCTGGGGAGCTGCCAGGAGCCTTTCTACCCTCCCGCCTTGCGAGCCTGGCTGGGATTGTGTAAGAGCCCCCAACGCCTGCTCCCTCAGCACGCCCAGGCCTGCCCATTCTCCTGGGGAGCTGTGCCAGAGACCTGGCTCCTGGTACTCACACAGGTCTGGCCACCCTGGGAGGTTCCTACAGGGAGAGGGTGGGAAATGTCTCTTAATGTTCCAGGCCTGTCCCCAAACCGATGCCAAGGCCTGTGGGGCCCGGGCATGAGCATAGGTAAGGAGGCTGGGAGAGGTGAGTGTGCAGTGTGCACAGACGCCACTGCCCCCGGACAGCAAAAGGCCATCGTGCCAGTCCTTGACTCCCTGTACACATGCTCCTTCAGATCCCTCCAGGAATCCTCTGCCTGCCTGTGTCACTTCCTGGCTCTCTTCCCTGGATCCCTCCGTGTGTGTGCACCTATTTGCATAGCTCGAGTTCCGTGGGTGTTTTGCTGAAGTTCCGGTTACAGTTCGTGAGTGGGTGGGCCCAGCAGCACGGCAGCAGGGAAAGGTGCTAGTTGGGGGAGCACATGAGCAGGCACACACCTGGGCACCCTACCTGTGAATGCCCACAAGAGCATTGCACCCGAGGAAAGGTTGGACACCACTATGTGACTTCCTGCTGCGCGGCCCCACATGGGAGCCCGAAGACCAGGAGGCCCAAGTAGGCCCTGAGGAGCGTCTGTGTGCCCGTGCCAAGCAGGAGGCCAAGCCCTGATAATCGTGAGGGTGAGGAGGGCAGGCTCTGCGACATCCTGACACTTACTCTTTCCCCTTCTCTGTTAATTTTTTTTTTTTTAAGAAGGAGTTTCACCCTTGTTGCCCAGGCTGGAGTGCAATGGGGCAAACCAAACTCAGCTCACCGCAACCTCTGCCTCCTGGGTTCAAGCAATTCTCCTGCCTCAGCCTCCTGAGTAGCTGAGATTGCAGGCATGCGTCACCATGCCTGGCTAATTTTGTATTTGTAGTAGAGACAGGGTTTCCCCATCTCAGTCAGGCTGGTCGTGAACTCCCGACCTCAGGTGATCCACCTGCCTTGGCCTCCCAAAGTGCTGGGATTACAGGCGTGTGAGCCACCGTGTCCAGCTCTTTTTTTTTTTTTTTAGACAGGGTCCCACTATGTCACTGAGGCTGGAGTGCAGCAGCACGATCTCAGCTCACTGCATCTTCTCTGTTCATCTTAAACAGGTCTTTTCTACCTTCCCTTCTCTGGCAGAGAATCTCCCCACCTTGTTTGGGGAGAAAGGTGTAAGGAGCAGAGGGCAGAGGCGAGGGGAGGACACACCACCAACTCGGACTGGCTCACCCTCCTCCTACCACAGGGAGCTACGGACGACGGGTGACCGACAGTCCCTGTTTGACTGAGGGATTCCCAGGATGCAGGACTCTCAGTGCCACAACTAGAAAAACTCCTGGGCAAACTGGGACATGTTGCTCATACTAGTTCACTAGTTCACTCCTTATCACATACTGGGAACATTTCTTTTCTTTTTTCTTTTTTTTTTTTTTTTTGAGACAGGGTCTCTCTCTGCTGCCCAGGCTGGAGTGTAGTGGCGGCGCAATCTCTGCTCACTGCAGCCTCAACCTCTTGGGCTCACGTGATCTTCCCACGTCAGCCTCCAAGTAGCTGGAACTACAGGTGCGCACCACCACACCCAGCTAATTTTTTAATTTTTCATAGAAACCGGGTTTCCCTATGTTATGCAGGCTGGTCTCGCACTCCTGCCCTTAAGTGATCTTCCTGCCTCAGCCTCCCAGAGTGCTGGATTACAGGCGTGAGCCACTGTGCCCGGCCAAAGAATGACATTTCTCAAGAAATCTGTAACCACCACCAAGACCATGAGTCCCTGTGGCCCTCCATCCAAAACCAGCCTCCCACTGAGATCCATCTCTCTTTGCCACAAGAATCCAGGGTGACAGAGCTACAAGGACACCGGGAGCATTTGGATTTCACATTGCAGAGTCGGGGGATTGAAGGGCTTAGGTAGATCACAGAGCGAGCTGGTGCCCAGGATCAGGACCCCTCGGGAGGGCTCTCAGCTGCCTCCAAGGTAAGGTTCGCTAATGAGGTCCAGAGCATGGAGATCCGTTCCTTTCTAGCTCCCGGCAGAGCAAGCGTCTCTAGAAGGGGAAGAGATTTCTCAGGCTCCTTTCAGAAACATTCTTTCCTCCAAGACATTTTCTGAGAATCTCACAGGAGGAATCTCACTTGAACAATTCTATAGGAAAACCTCAAAATAGGATGCAGCATCACCCAGAAGTGAAGCCTCATCAGGGAGGGGAAGGCAAGGTGGGCGCCTTTCCAGGAAAGCTCGAGTCCCATGCACATGTGAAGTCCGAGGGGAAAGCTGCCAGTCAGCACCTGGACCGAGAGCTTCCCAAGCTGTCCTCAGCCTCAGTGAGTTCTCCCGAGCCTGGCAAGTTGTGGCCCGACCTTGAATTGTGGTCATTTACGGCCCCTTCCAGCATCTTTCTCCTGGTTATGCCATCCTCTTGCTGTTAGATGCTGTAACAGTGTTATCTCACTGGGCACGGTGGCTCATGCCTGTAATCCCAGCACTTTGGGAGCCTGAGGAGGGTGGATCACCTGAGGTCAGGAGTTCGAGACCAGCCTGGCCAACATGGTGAAACCCCGTCTCTACTAAAAATACAAAAATTATCCAGGCGTGGTGGCAGATGCCTGTAATCCCAGCTACTTGGGAGGCTGAGGCAGGAGAATCGCCCGAACCTGGGAGATGGAGGTTGCAGTGAGCCAAGATTGCACCATTGCACTCCAGCCTGGGCGACACAGTGAGACTCTGTCTCAAAAAAAAAAAGCACTGGGCAGACACCTCTCATCCATTTCGCTGCTGGCACGGTCTCAGCATTCCCACTTAACTAAACGGAACGAAGAATATGGCCCAGCTCCCAGAGAGAGAGCAGTGTGGCTGTTTGTCCCCACTTTGACCTGACTCTTCACAGGGCCGTGGTGCTGAGGCACAAAGGCCCTGGTTAAGACATATTTTTGAGACCCTGAAGTATGAATCACCTTGGTATGAATCAGTCTCCTTTTGGGCCTTATGTGATACATTGGAAGTTTCCTTAATTAAGATTTTCAGGGGCTCGGCCCAGCATGGTGGCTCACATCTGTAATCCCAACACTTTGGGAGGCCGAGGTGGGCAGATCACCTGAGGTCAGAAGTTAGAGACCAGCCTGGCCAACATGGTGAAACCCCGTCTCTACTAAAAATACAAAAATGAGCCAGGCATGGTGGCGCGCACCTGTAATCCCAACTACTCAGAAGGCTGAGGCAGGAGAATTGCTTGAACCCGGGAGGCGGAGGTTGCAGTGAGCCGAGATCACGCCATTGCACTCCAGCCTGGGGGTCAAGAGCGAGACTTCATCTCAAAAAATAAATAAATAAATAAGTAAGTAAATAAATAAGAATAAATAAAGATTTTCAGGGGCTGGGCACAGTGGCTCACACCTGTAATCCCAGCAATTTGGGAGGCTGAGGCAGGAGGATCACTTAAGCCTAGGAGTTTGAGACCAGCCTAGGCAACATAAGGAGACCCCATCTCTACGAAAAAAAAAAAAAATTTATTTTGAGACAGAGTCGCTGTGTCACCCAGGCTGGAGTGCAGTGGTGAGATCTCAACTCACTGCAACCTCCAACTCCCGGGTTCAAGCATTTCTCCTGCCTCAGCCTCCCAAGTAGCTGGGACTACAGGCGCTCGCCACCATGCCCGGCTAATTTTTGTATTTTTAGTAGAGACGGGGTTTCACTATGTTGGTCAGGCTGGTCTGGAACTCCTGACCTCAGGTGATCCACCCACCTTGGCTTCCCAAAGTGCTGGGATTACAGGCATGAGCCACCGCGCCCAGCTGAAAAAAATTTTTAAATAGCCATATATAGCGGCACATGCCGGTACTCCCACCTACTCTGGAGGCTGAGATGGGAGGATTGCTTGAGCCCAGGAGGTCAAGGTTACAGTGAGCTGTGATCGAGCCACTGCACTGCAGCCTGGGTGAGAACAAGACTGCCTTAAAAAAAAAAAAAAAACTTTTAGGATTGTATGATGTGTTCTGGAATGCTCTTCAGAAGTGTCTGCTTCTCGGCTGGGCGCGGCGGCTCACGCCTGTAATTGCAACACTTTGGGAGACTGAGGCCGGTGGATCATCTGAGGTCAGGAGTTCAAAATCAGCCTGGCCACCATGGTGAAACCCCATCTCTACTAAAAATACCAAAAAAATAGCTGGGCGTGGTGGCGGGCGCCTGAATCCCAGCTACTTGGGAGGCTGAGGCAGGAGAATTGTTTGAACCCGGGAGGCGGAGGTTGCAGTGAGCCAAGATCGCACCATTGCACTCCAGCCTGGGCAACAAGAGTGAAACTCCATCTCAAAAAAAAGAAAAAGAAAAAGAAAAAAAAGACATGTCTGCTTCTCTTAAGGCTGAATTTGGATGCAAGGGCATTCATGAGGGAAAGTAAAATGTGTTCTGAATACCTGCAGAAACAGATGAAAGAGAAATTAGAAATTTGTGATTCTATATGAAATGAAACAGCTCTCAAAGCAACGGCTCTCAAAGCAGGGAGAGATGGGTGTCAAGAAACATTCTGGCTGGGCGCGGTGGCTCACGCCTGTAATCCCAGCACTTTGGGAGGCTGAGGCAGGTGAATCACCTTGGTCTCAAAAGAAAAAAAGAGTCCGGGTGCGGTAGCTCATGCCTGTAATCCCAGCACTTTGGGAGGCAGAGGCAGGCAGATCATGAGGTCAGGAGTTCGAGTGAAACCCTGCCTCTACTAAAGATACAAAAAATTAGCCAGGCATGGTGGTGTGTGCCTGTAACCCCAGCTACTCGGGAGGCTGAGGCAGAGAATTCTTGAACCTGAGAGGCAGAGGTTGCAGTGAGCCGAGATCGCGCCATTGCATACTGGCCTGGGTGTGGAAAAAAGAAAGATCCTTAGCTGAGAACCCTAGCTTTCAAAGCTTTCAGCTTCATGGAGAACTGTCACCTGGCAGTAGTAGGGTTTCGCCATGCTTTGTCTCCATTGCAGCCGCTCCCCTCTCAGGTCCCTCTGCCCCAGCCACAGTGGGACAGGGAGCTCGCTGCCTGCAGGATTCATGCCTAGGCTTGATTGACACTGGTCCTAAACAGGTCTCTTTACTTCCCCCACCTCATTCCCCTCATGCAGGGCTGACAGGAGTGCAGATTTCTGAGCATGGACGGCCGTGTTGGCACCCGCCTCCCTGAGGACCCTGTGAGCTGGGCGTGGGCGGGGAAGGCATGGTTGTGTCCTCCACTCAGCGTGAGTGAGCAGACATTGCCCAAAGCCCTACAGTTATTCAGTGGCAGAGCTGGGATCTGAACCCCAGCTGACTCCAGAGCCCCATGCTACCTGCAGTTGCAGCCTCAGCTTCAAGGGGAAAAGTCACAAGCAGTACTGCCACCATCCACGTGCCAGTCCCCTTGACCACCCTGTCCCCTCACGCACCACAGAGGGGATCTGGGGGTGTCCTCTGTTGATTGATAAGCAGTTTTACTTTATTTCATTTTATGTATTTGAGATGGGGTCTCACTTTGTTGCCCAGGCTGGTCTTGAACTCCTGGGCTCAAGCAGTCTTCTCATCTGGGCCCCACAAAGTGCTGAGATTACAGGTGTGAGCCACCATGCCTGGCCAGGAGTTTTATTTTCACAAACTGAGGCCCTCATTCTCCAGCAGTTGCCTCAAAGGTGGTATGAGGGTAGGGAGGGTGTCCCAGATGAGTGATTTCTAGTTGTGGGCAAGATTTTTCTAGTAGGACCTGGTGACCTGGGGGCAGGACATTTTGCAACTGTTTGTTGCCAGAGGCTCACCAGAAGGCTTACTAAAAATGTGCTCCCGGGGTGTTCTTTTGAAATTTTTCATGGCATCAGTAGATAATTGGTAACATCTGCCTTGAACATGTTTCCAGGCTAACCTATCCCATGGCCTTGCTCCAGAGTTGGGCCTGGAAGTACTGCATTGCACAATGTTCCTTTTAAGGGGACCCACAGGACAAATTTCTTTCGGGCCTCAGCACCAGCAGGACAGTGTGGCTCAGTGTTTAGGAGCACAGGCTCCAGGTGGCCCCTTCTGTGAGTGGGGCAAGAGCCCCCCAGAACTGGGCTCCTTGCCTGCTTCTGTGTCATGAAGCTGAGTCCTCGGACAAGAGTGTGACCCCTGTGAGCCGCTTCTCGTATGTAAAACACATGAATATAACAACCTCCTGGCCAGCCCGGTGGTGCATGCCTGTAACCCCAACACTTTGGGAGGCCAAGGCGGGAGGATCACTTGAGCCTAGGAGTTCAAGACCAGCCTGGGCAACATAGTGGGACACCCCCTCTGTCTCTACAAAAAAAATTAAAAATTAGCCGGGCTTCGTGGTGCATGCCTGTAATCCCAGCTACTTAGGAGGCTGATGGGAGAATCGCTTAAGCCCAAGAGATCAAAGTAGCAGTGAGCCAAGATTGCACCACTGCACTCCAGCCTGGATAACAAAGCAAGACTCTGTCTCAAAAAACAAAAACAAACAAACAAAAAAACTTGGCCAGGCTCTGTGGCTCATACCGGTAATCATAGCACTTTGGGAGGCCAAGAAGGGAGTATCACCTGAGGTCAGAAGTTCAAGACCAACCTGGCCAACATAGTCAAACCCTGTGTCAACTAAAAATACAAAAATTAGCTGGGCATGATGGTGGGTGCCTGTAATCCAGCTACTTGGGAGGCTAAGACTTGGGAGGCTAAGGCAGGAGAATCGTTCGAACCCAGGAGGCGGAGGTTGCAGTGAGCCGAGATCATGCCATTGCACTCCAGCCTGGGCAACAAGAACAAAACTCCATCTAAAAAAAAAAAAAAACACTTGATAATCACCAGCCACTTATTATTACCAGGAAAAGCTAGGCTTTTGAATAACTTGTTTCCCTTTTTTCTTTATAGGGCCTCCAGGTCTTGTAACTGGTCCCCTTCCTTCTCTCTTGGCTAGGAAGCTCGGTGCCAGCTGTGAGTTGCAGCTCTTGGTTCCGTGGCCTCCTGGAGGCCAACAGGACTCACCCTGTCTCTGTCTTCTTCTTTCCTACCCTATTTTCCTCGACCCAACAACTTCAGTTATTTTTTCCCTGTTGTCCTTTTTTTTTTTTTTTTTTTTGAGACAGAGCCTCACCCTGTTGCCCAGGCTGGAGTGCAGTGGTGCGAGCTCAGCTCACTGCCACCTCCTGGGTTCAAGCGATTTTCCTGCCTCGGGCTCCCAGGTAGCTGGGATTACAGGTGCACGCCACCACGCCCAGCTAATTTTTATATTTTTAGTAGAGACCGGGTTTCACCATGTTGGTCAGACTAATCTCGAACTCCTGACCTCAGGTGATTCGCCCGCCTCAGCCTCCCAAAGTGCTGGGATTACAGGCATGAGCCACTGTGCCCAGCGTCCTTTAGGTATTTCTACAAACTTTAGAACTGAGGCCTAAATTAATTAAAATGGTAATTAATTAAACAAACTAGAGCCTTTTATACCCAGGGCAGTTTCCCATAGGTTATGTCATTTGAGCCTCACGCCAATCAAGGCAGGTGTCCCCATTTCACACAAGTGGAGATCAAGGCTGCCAGAAGGAACTGGTGGAGGTGGGGACCAACCTGGCTTTGCCCCCGTCCCAGCTTTGTCCCCTGGCTTTGACCCTGTCCCGGCTCCGTGAGTGGCTGCCCCCACTCATGAAGCCCTTCCCACTGTCCCCCGCCTGGACATAAGCCCTTCCCACTGTCCCCTGCCTGGACATAAGCCCTTCCCACTGTCCCCCGCCTGGACATAAGCCCTTCCCACTGTCCCCCGCCTGGACATAGCTTTGTGACTATGTGGTCACATCCATGTCACCTTCCATTTCCCCAGTGTCATTGTCTGGCCCTTTGAGGGAACTTTCCAAGAGATTATGGCATTCCCTCCCTTACTGAAGGATGAGTAAGAAACCAGCCACGCCTCTGCACGGCCCCTCCATGGCATTTACACCAAATGGTTCCGATTTGGCTTTCCCTCATGGGACAGACAGGAACATCCCTGGGATTGGCATCGTGCTGCTCAGCCTTAAGGAAATGTGGTCCCACACTCTGAGGAACAGGCCGCAGGAGCTCAGAACACCAGGCCCAGGCCAGTGCCTCAGAGACCCCACAGGCAGGCTGGCGGGAGCGCACCACCTCGCCCAGCAACCCCTTGCTCCCAGAGGGAGTTCTTTAGGGAAGGCCCTGACCCTGGGGGGTCACAGATCGCCAGTGAGATGCAGAAGGGAGACCCCCTTTAAGACCCCACCTCCCCTGGGGGCTTACAGCCTTGGTATCCAGCTGAGCACCTGAAACTACAGACGTGCCAGGCGGGCAAGAGCTGAGTTGGGGCCAAGGTGGGAGAGAGCTGCGCTGCCCTTCAGGATGAAAGGGGAACAGCGGTGCCTTTCCACTGGCATGACATGTCAATAACAAAGCAACCTGCCATTTATAATGTGTTCATAATGCCCGTTCTTGGTATTCAAAGCTTATGGTTGTTGCTTTTCAAGAATGTGTGGCAGCGCAGTTGGTGGTGTTACCTCCGAAGTCAGATCTGCTCCCAAGTTTCCAACCCCTGCCCTGGAGTCCCCTTCCCAGGGGGCCCTCAGTCATCCCAAGGCCTCAGGCCAGGGCCTTGCTGGCCCCTGCTGCATAGACACACTGAGCTCTGTGCTATCACCCCAAACTCCCACCAGAAACACACTTCCTTGGGCCCCACAGCCCAGGAACAACGTGAGTGAATTTGAGTGTTTCCTGTGTGTCCACACGGGTGTCAGCCAACTTCCCCTCTCCACAGAAGCATGTCCATCCTCATCTGTTCTTAGGCAGCCATGCCCATGTACTGCCTCAGGCTGCTGGAGCTCAGGGGACCAGTCTGGCCAGAGGGGCCAGTGGGAAAGGCCAGGAAAGAGCCAAGCCTGAAAACCTAGGAAACAGTGCTGTGGGGCCCGAGCCCCAGCTGCTCGCTGGTGGGTATTTGAGGGGGCCTGCCTTGCCTACCTGGATGGAAGCACAGCATGGAGCCGCCACTGGGGGCAGGCCTGGTGCGGGCATAGAACGCAGGGCAAGAGGCACCTGCAGGCGCGCGGCCACACCCAGGCCTTGGCCCAGCCTGTCCTCTCTTCCCTGTAGCAGGCCCGTTCCACACTCCCACGCCCAGTCTCTCGGTGTGCATGTACATGTCTGTACAACCATGAACACGGATCCCATGTCCTGAATGTGGCCACAGATGTGTGCATGCGTGTGCAGATGCGAGCATGTGCCCATGATACCACCAACCGTTCAACCACCCTTTCCCCTCCTAGGGGCCGGGGCACCAAGCAGGTCCCTGCAGATCTGTGGGTGTTGGTTTTATTCTCCCTTGTATGTTTCTGTATTAAAAAAAAAAAAAAAAAAAAAAACTTTTGGCAGGGCACAGCGGCTCATGCCTGTAATTCCAGTACCTTGGGAGGCCGGAGCAGGAGGATCACTTGAGCCCAGGAATTTGAGATCAGCCTGGGCAACATAGGGCGACTTTGTCTCGCAAAAAAATTAAAAAATTAAGCCGGGCATGGTGGCTCACGCCTGTAATCCCAGCACTTTGGGAGGCCCAGGCGGGCAGATCCCTTGAGGCCAGGAGTTCAAGACCAGCCTGGCCAACATGGCAAAACCCTGTCTCTACCAAAAATACAAAAAATTAGCCAGGTGTGGTGGCGCATGCCTGTAATCCCAGCTACTTTGGAGGCTGAGGCAGGGTAATCACTTGAACCCGGGAGATGGAGGTTGCAGTGAGCCGAGATCGCGCCACTGCATTCCAGCCTGGGTGACAGAGCGAAACTGTCTCAAAAAAAAAAAGAAGAAGTCATTTTGGCCAGGCATGGTGGCTCATGCCGGTAATCCCAGCACTTTGGGAGGCTGAGGCGGGTGGATCATCTGAAGTCAAGAGTTCGAGACCAGCCTGGCCAACATGGTGAAACCACCGTCTCTACTAAAAATACAAAAATAGCTGGGTGTGGTAGCAGATGCCTTGATCCAAGCTACTCGGGAGGCTGAGGCACGAGAATTGCTTGAACTCGGGAGGCGGAGGTTGCAGTGAGCTGAGATCGTGCCACTGCACTCCAGCCTGGGCAACAGAGTGAGCTTCCATCTCAAAGAAAGAAAGAAAGAAAGAAAGAAAAATTAGCGGCCAGGCGCAGTGGTTTACGTCTATAATCCCAGCATTTTGGGAGACTGAGGCGGGCAGATCACAAGGTCAGGAGTTCAAGACCAGTCTGGCCAACGTAGTGAAACCCCGTCTCTACTAAAAATACAAAAAATTAGCCGAGTGTCGTGGTGTGCACCTGTAATCCCAGCTACTCTAAAGGCTGAGGCAGGAGAATCACGTGAACCCAGGAGGCAGAGGTTGCAGTGAGCCAAGATCATGCCGTTGCACTCCAGCTGGGGCAACAGTGTGAAACTCCGTCTCAAAAAAAGAGAAAAAAAAATTAGCCAAGTGTGGTGTTGCACCTGAGGTCCTAACTACTTGGGAGGTTGAGGTGGGAGGTTTGCCTGAGCCCAGGAGGTCGAGGCTGCAGCAGCTGTGAGTGTGCCACTGCACTCCAGACTGGGCTTTAGGACTCCAGGGTGGACAATTCTAGGTAGATTCCCGGGGCCTCCCCTGCTGATCGCTGCCCCCACCAGCTTTCCTCTGGCAGAGCCCGCCCTCCCAGTACTCGGATTTGCTGTTTTCATCCCCCATTCTCACATTACTGCGCCTCTGGGACAAGTCACTGTACCTCCCTGGTGCCTCAGTTTTCTGACCAAAACAGCAACAAAATAAGCAAATCAATCAAACAGCTAATAATGCCACTTATCTGGGTGATGGAAACTCAGGGCCAGGCGCAGTGGCTCACGTCTGTAATCTCAGCACTTTGGGAGGCTGAGGCAGGCGGATCACCTGAGGTCAGTTCAAGACAAGCCTGGTCAACATGGCAAAACCCCGTCTCTACCAAAAATACAAAAAATTAGCAGGGCATAGTGGCGCATGCCTGTAATCTCAGCTACCAGGGAGACAGGCAGGAGAATCACTTGAACCCAGGAGGCAGAGATGGCAGTGAGCTGAGATCGTCCCATTGCACTCCAGCCTGGGTGACAAGAGCAAAACTCTATCTCAAAAGAAGGCCAGGTGTGGTGGCTCACGCCTGTAATCCCAGCACTTTGGGAGGCTGAGGCAGGTGAATCACGATGTCAGGAGTTCGAGACCAGTCTGGCCAACATAGTGAAACCCCGTCTCTACTAAAAATACAAAAAAAAAAAAAAAATTAGCTGAGTGTGGTGGTGTGTGCCTGTAATCCCAGCTACTCGGGAGGCTGAAGCAGGAGAATTGTGTGAACCCGGGAGGCGGAGGTTGCAGTGAGCGGAGATAGCACCATTGCACTCCAGCCCAGGGGACAGTGCGAGACTCCCTCTCAAAAAAAAAAAAAAAAAAGAAAAGAAACTCAGTTCCACTAGAGGCATTTCATGTGGTCCAATCCCTTTCCCCACACTAGAAAGGGATTGTGGAGCTAACCCAGTCCCACAGCCCACCATGGCAGGCATGACTCCTCCATAAGCCCCCTTCGGGGCTCACCTGCTCTCAGCCTGGACACCTGCACACCCAGGTGAGCAGTCATGCACCCACACCTGGGACGTCAAAGCACAGCCTGCTCATGAGAAAACCCTGCCTCCTAATGAGTGCAACGCTGGCCTCTCCCATGAACCATCAGATCCCGGGGGTCAGGGGAGGCCCCAGCTTAACTTCTCTGAGCCTCTGCTTCTTTTCTTCTTTTTTTTTTTTTGAGACAAAGTCTCCTTCTGTTGCCCAAACTGGAGTGCAATGGCATGATCTCGGCTCACTGCAACCTCCACCTCCCGGGTTCAAGAGATTCTCCCGCCTCAGCTTCCTGAGTAGCTGGGATTACAGGTGCGCACCACCACGCCTGGCTAATTTTTGTATTTTTAGTAGAGACGGGGTTTCACTATGTTGGTCAGACTCGTCTTGAACTCCTGACCTCAGGTGATCCACCCGCCTTGGTCTCCCAAAGTGCTGGGATTGCAGGCGTGAGCCACCGTGGCCCGCCACTCTATTTCTTTTTGTAAAGGTGGGAATAGAATGAGAAAAAAGGTACTTTGCAGACTCTGAACAGCTCTGTAGATATTATTTATTATGGTGAAACCATTTGAGACCAATTACAGAGCAACACATCAAGGATCATAGAACAATACCAGGAAAATTGCACACATATGTGCTAAGGAGACCCCCAGGACAAACACTTTGAGCCAAGTTCTGCTGTGGTGGCAGTGCATTTGGGTGGCATCTCTATGCCCTGCATTCCCTGCACAAGATCAATGCCTCAGAGCCAGCAGGGGGGCGGGGGGTTGGCCTCACATGACCTTGAGGACGTTTTGGCTCAGAGACAGGATCACACAGCTCACAGACAAGGCCAGGTTTGGAATTCAGGTCTTTTGGCCTCAGAATATGGGCGTTTTTCACTCTGTGGCCGCAGTAGGCCAGTTTTCAAGCCAGAGACATGGAGACATGGGAGCAGATGTGAGCCACGCAAGTGGATGAAGCACGAGCCACTTGCCGTGGGGAAGGGTAGCTATGCGTCCGTGCACCCGTCAGCACATGCGCATTGAGCACCTGCCTCCACTGGAGGAAGTGAACATTCTGGGGGCCATGGAAGGGAGAGGGATGGGTTCCTCAGGGCTTTTGTGGCTGGGACCAAGGGGCTGACTCCCTCAACCTTGTTAGAGGCTGCCAAGGGCCTGCTTTTTGGCACAAGCTGACCTCTGCTATTCATCAACGCCAGTTAGTGGATCCTGGGGCTCCAGTTGAGGGGGGCAGAAAGACACAGAGGTGGGGGAAGGAGGACAAAGGGGCCTCCCTTGGGTCACCCAAGGTGCCAGGGGACTCGGAGTAGGAGACGGAGCCTGGCAGGGTGGGTCAGGCCTGCGTGTGGGTGGGCCTGGTGGATGAAGGCAGCGGAACAGTGGGAGGGAGCAGGGATGTCCTGATGAATAGACCGATGAGTAGCAGGTGGACGGGCAGCCAGGGCAGCTCTGGGCACCAGCCTCCTGCTCCCGGCCGCCGGCCAGGCCAGTAGGCTGGGGGCAGGGATGCCACCGGCCTCTGCTGTGGGTGAGGTTGTGGTAATAAATCACTGGCCAGGGCCAGGAGCCTGCAGCCTTCAGCACTTGCTCCCTGAGGACCAGCTAATTCACTTGCAGTGAGGCCGGCACTAACGACGGCCCATGTACCTAAGTACACCGCAGCCCTGCCGAGCGGCGTGTACCGCTAACCTCCTAGCAAGGGGCCCTACGATGGTGGACAGAATCCCCACCCCTGCCACAGGTTTGGCCAGCTCCCTGCCTGCCCTCGGGAGGGCCAGAAACACCCCTGAGGGAGGGGAGACCCCCCACCCTTGGCCTGATGAAGCTGGGGGAGGAGAGGCAGTGCAGACACCCCCTCTTGAACTGCACAGGGCCTAATTATGGGAGCAACTGGGAAGGAGACTGGGGGTTGCTGGTGGGTGGGGAGGGTCAGTCTCGTCCTTCCTTGGTGGAAGGGGGAGGAGGAGGAACCTCATTCAGCCAAGGCCCATCACCAGGTCCAGAGCGTGGTCCTACCAAATAGAAACTCAAGTCCCAAGAAACAAACCACTTAGAAAACAAGGCCCGGCATCTTGCCAGGCTCTCCCTGATGCTGGCTGTTGGCTGATGGCACAAGTGTGGCATTCCTGGGCTGCCCCATCCCTTTCTGGTTCATGTACCAGGGTTTAGTGAGCACATACTATGTGACTCCCTGCTGGGGTCCACACATTGTCCCAAAGGCTCAGCCAGGAAAGCACTCAGCACACAGTGATCACCACAGCGAAAGCAGCCAATATCCACCCACCATGGCCTGGCACCAAACCAGGGCTCTGCATGCACTGCCTTGTTTGCCCCCAGCTCCACCTGCAAGGCAGGGACTGCTAAAGATGCCCATTTTACAGATGAGAAAACTGAGGTTGTGGAGGTTAAATCACTCGCCCAAGACTCTTAACTTGTAAGTAGCAGACGTGGTGTCTTGAATGATTCCCACGCATAACCTCCAAGACTCCAAGTTGGGGTGAAGGGGTACTGAAAGGTGAGGTCAGAAGAGCCGGGCACTGAGAGAAGGGGAACACTGAGGGGCTTGCCATTGGGGTTCTCAGCTCCCATTTCAGCATTCTGGAAGCCCCTCCCCACCTCCCGCCCAGGGGACAGTACATTAACAAGCTCTCAGAGGGACAATGGGGAGGCCACAGGGTAAGCACCCTTGGCCCCTTGGGCTGCACTGTGAGGGGCAGAGGATCGCAGGGCTCTGGGGGCTGCACGGTCCTGCCTGGAACAGGCATGGGTGATGGGCGGGCTCTCCATCCTTGTGGTGGCTGCTGTCCTAGTGCTGGGCACCTGCCTGGAGCCTGGGTCCTCTCACTGCTCCACAGCCCCCCAGGCTCATCTCTGGGGCTCAGATGAGCACAACCTCAACCAGGCAGGTCCTGCAGGACTCTCGGTCGCCAGGCATAGTCACAGGAGGTCCCCAGGCACAGCCGCCTCCCGGGAGTTGGCGGGGTGGTGAAACAAAAGGGACCTGGCTTGGGAGGGCAGGAGGTGACCACGTGCTCCCTCCCAACCCCTAACCCTCCAGTGGCTGGGCCTGGAGGGATGGGGCCTAGAGTGCCCTCTGCCGGCCTGGGGGGCTCCTCGAGGGAGGAGGTAGCAGCTCCAGGTCCCTGATCAGCAGTTCCTCTTCCAGCATCTAAGGCCTGGCCGGGTGTGTGCTGGTGGGTGCCTGTGGGTTCTGTGTGAGTATGTGCTGTATGTGAGCAGGTCTATGTGTGTCTGTGTCTGCTGATGTGTCCCAGGAATGCCTGTGTCTGATGTGCGCAGGGTGTGCCCGTGAGTGTGTGTGTGAATCTGTGAGCATGCATCTGTGTGTGTCTGTCTGCACATCTGTGTCTGTTTTTGTCCATGTATACATGCCCGTGTGTCAGCATGTGCAGGTGTGTTATGAATGCATGTCTGCATCTGTGCTTGTAGGAGTGTGCCCGTGCCTGAGTCCTTTTTTCACTGTGTGTTTATGCGGGTGCATGTCTGTATGAATGTGGGTGTCCACCTGGGCTTGGCCCTGTGGGATGTGATGGAGCCAGGCTGAGGCCAGGGGAGGTTGCAGGGCCTCACTTACCTGAGCCTGACTTTGGGGACAACCTGCCTGAAAATTGGAGGGAAACTGGGAAGCGGGCAGAGTGGTCTGCCGGCCACTGTGACATTTATTCAGTGCCTACAAGGAGAAAGGGAGGACAATGTAGGTCTCAGCTCCATCCCCTAAGGAGCTTTGCATGCGGGGAGGCTGAATCTAGCATGAGAATTAGCTCCCCTGGAGGTGCCTGCAAAACACAGGGCATACTTGGTGACCTAGATGGCCTGGAGCAATCCTAGGAGGCTCCATGGAGGAGACAGTCCTGCCTGGAGGCTTGAGGGGGAGGTAAAGCCTTGGTCAGATAAGTTGGCTGAGAAAAAAGGGGGGCACTCAAAGGGCTCAAGGCACAGAAGAGCAGAGAATCAGGGGGAGAGGTGGGAGTACAGGGGCTCACTGGGAGTCCAGGGGTGAGGAGCAAGGCCAGACCCTCACGGTGGGCCGGGCACAGAGGCCCAGGTGCTGCCCAGCGGGGAAGGGTCACAGAAGTCTGAGCGGGGGTGAGGGTGGACTGGGGGTCCTTGACCTCCTGCCAACACCCACAGATGGGTGTGTGGGCACTGACTCAGGTACCCCTGCCTGCCCAGGAGCACTGGAGACCAGGATGCCCAGGGCACAGGCTGACCATAGGCACTCTCGCCTTTGGGTTCAGGGGCCTGTTTGGCAGCAGCTCAGGCTGCAGGCTCATCCCGACTCCCCCTTCCAAGACCCAGCAGTGCCCATGCTGCGCCAGCTGCGGTGCTCTTGTGCCATCAATGCCTCCTCTGTGGCCTGGGAGGGTGGGCCGGGTAAGGCCTGGGGCCCCAGCCAGCTCAGTCCCCTCTCCGGGTGGCACTGGGCTGGCCTCTTTGGCACTGGCCTTGGCATCTTAAATAGGCATGCTCCATCCCTAGGGCCCGGTGCCCTGGAAGCCCCCCAGTGAGGTGGGCCCTGTGGTGGCTTGTGAAATCCAGCTCAGAGAAAGCATCCCGAACACACACTCATCCAGGTGCACCAGGGCGGGCACGTGGGCACACGCTCAGGCATAGGAGGAAAACGTCTACACTCCAGCATCCCTTTCATATCAAGTCCCATTCACCCTCTAGAACCTGGTGTGCTGCTGGCTCCTTGTCCCCGGCTGCCTCTTCCCTGGTGGTACCCAGGCCTCTCTTAGGGCTCTGGAGCCCCTCACGCTGGTTACTGGTCTGCCTCTGTGGGCCGTTGCTCAAACCCCCCGCATTCCTGCCTATTCACGTGCCCACTCAGACCAAGCTCCTCCCCTCACCACCTCGTGCCACATTTGGGCTCAAGGACACATACTGCTTGTGGCCCCAGCTGCATGACCAGTGCCAAGCAGGGCCCCTCAGGAGCCCACCAGCGCTCACTGTGGACACCACTGCCCCCAGAGCCCAGGAGGGGAAGTGAGCAAAGGTGCCCATTTCTGACACGTAGAGGCTAAGCCTTGTGACTCGGGAGCCTAAGCCCCAATCCAAGCCATGCTTCCTCCCTACTAGTGACAGTAATTCCCTTCCAGGACAGCTCTGCCCACATTATACTATCTGACCCTCCCAACAAACAGGGACAGGCCATCATGTTGCCCCAAATCACAGCTGCCTAGCTGCCCACAGCAGCTCAAGCACAGGTTGGAACCAGGCCTGGGTTCCAGCTGCCCCTACAGGAGGGCACCACTCCCCGAATGCGGACCCCTCTGGCTTCTTCTCACTGCCCTGTAGCCGTGATCTCCCTCCTGCTCTGTGCCTCTGGTGGCTCCTTGCTCAGCATCTTCTGTGGCTCCCACTGACACCAGGACTAACTACTTGCTCAGCATTCAAGGTCCCTCCACCACCTGGCTGCATGCCGCTCCTCCCCCTTCCCCTCTCACTCTTCCTCCCCTTCCCCATCCTCCTCCTCCTCGCTGTGTGCCTCTCCCCCAACCTCTCTCATCGCCCCTCCAAGCCTTTGCCTGGCTCTTCTACCTCCCTCCCCTCCTGCCGCACCCAGTCTCCCTCTTGCCTTGAGAAGGGGGTGAGCTGTTAGGAAGGGCACCCAAGAGAACCATCCTGCTCCTCAACCATGCTCTGCCCAAGGCGGGGCTCCTGGTTCACACAGCGGGGTTTCCTCCCTGCTCCCCATGAAGCTCAGCCCCTGGCTTCTTAGGGACCAGCCCCAGCAGAAGACTGAGGCCTCCGAGTTGTGCAGGCTGCTGTGGTCCACTGCTGTCCTTGGGGCCCAGTGCCAGGCTGACCCTCTTCTGGAGCAGGTGTTGGCAGGGAGCTCAAGCAGCAAGGGAACTAGGAGGCAGCGCGGTGGGGAGGGCACCAGAGCTGCCATCCCCTGCCAGCACCACCTCTCTGGGCCCCTGGGAGCCGTTGCTAGGCTGGCACCCGGCAGCAGCAGGAGCACGTGCTCTCGCTCTCCTGCACGCACAGCCTGTCAGCTGCGCCCACAGCCCACATGGCAGGAGGCGGCTGCGGGCACGGGGCAGCTCTTTGCCTGGAGGGGGATGCCAACAGGCCAGTCAGACTCTAGGGGCAGGGGGGTGCATGCACAAACGGACAGAGCAGGGCCCTGGGGCCACAGAAAGGGAAGCCCTTCCATGACTCTCCAGGCAGATGGGGGTGAGTAAACGGGGGGGGGGGGGTTCCCACTCCTGACAACCCAGGGAGCCCAGCTGGTCTTCCTTAGCTTTTTTTTTTTTCTTCTTCTTTTTGGAGATGGAGTCTTGCTCTGTTGCCCAGGCTGGAGTGCAATGGTGCAATCATGACTCACTGTAGCCTCCAACACCCCAGGGTCAAGCAATCCTCCTGCCTTGGCCTCCTGAGCAGCTGGGACTACAGGCGTGAGCCACTGCAACAGTTTGTTCTTTGCCTTTGTTTGTCTGCATCCTATCTAGGGGACTACCCAGAGCCCTCCTGGCATTACTGGGGGCAAAGGGGCTGACAGGGGCTTCCTGACCCCTCATCCCTGGGTCTGCCTTTTTGATTCTGTCCGGGAGGCTGCAGTACAGAGGACTCTTCAAGGCCTCACATCTGGGAGCCTCCCCTCTTCTTCAGAGCCTCTCCAAGGGCCTTCATTCTAACCAGGAGCTCAGAGAGGGAGCCTGGGCCTGCTCCCAGCTCCTTGCGGGGTCATGGGCTCCATGACAAGCGCTTCCCCAGGGCAGGGCTCAGGATGAGTGTGGCCCAAGAAGGATTTAAGCCTTGGGCTTAGTGGGGACCAGATTGCCCAGACTGGGCCCTCCTGCCCTTCCTGCTGCAGTCTTGGGAGCAGATTTATGCCCTGGGCGTGGGTAGTGAGAGCCCAGAGCTGGGGTCTGTGGGGTAGGGGGGGGCATTCTGGGCAGCCTCTTCAGCTGGCAGAGGCTCCTGCCAAGCCATTTCCCCGCCCCGCCCCACCCCTCCACTCATTATCAACTTGGGGTTTGTGTGCAAACAGCAGCTGGTCTCTTTTGTCAGCCTCCCCTGCCCCCTCAGCCCCCCTACTCCTCCCCTCCTCCCCAGTGCCTCCCAACTGGCTCCTCCATATCAGGCCCTCCTCCTCCGCTTCCCCCCATCCAAGTGATTTAGAAGCTGGGGCCCTGGGGGATCCCAGAGGGAAGGCAGCCCCTGACCATTTTTGGCCCTGGGTCCCAAATTCTTCTCCAGAAGGTGATATTAAACCCATCTGGGATACCATGAGAGGCAGAGTGGGTAAGTAACCAAGCCAAAGTCACTAAGCAGGGCAAGGGCAGAGTCAGGATTCACACCCTGTGTGCCTGTTTGCAGAGCCTGTCTGCAGAGCCAGCCTGCTCCCAGCCTCGGCTGCCCCTCTGGTTGCCCCCAGGGCCTGGCCCTTCTTCTGCTGCTAGGGGCCCTGGGAAGGTGGACCCACTCCCAACCTCCTCGCCTGCATCACGGGCTTCAGCGGGAGTAATTCTGTGTGCCTGTAGTTGAAACAGGAAGGCAGGCAGGGCCAGATGGCAGGGCTTTGTCAGTTACACCCAGGAGCTGGGCTCTGTCAGTTATACCCAGGAGCTGGGACTGGACGCTGAGGGCAGCGCTGGGGAGCCCTCCCGGCAGTGGGTCCTACAGACTGGAGGCAGAGGGCTAAGGGACAGATTAGGAGATCAGGCCAAAAGGAGAAGAGTGTGGGCCAAGGCGCTGCCCCTGGGAGAACAGGGTAGGCTAGGCCTGAGAGCACAGGCTTGGCCCCAGCATACGGTGGGGTGCCACTAGGGTGACGAGGACACTCGGGTCTCTAGGGTGGGCAGTGGTGAGGATGGTGAGTCCTCCACAGAAATAGAAACACATGTGGCCAGTGGGTTGCTGCTGAGGACGTTGAATTTGAGAAAAACTGGTTGGAGGTGTTTGAGGGATATCTCCAGAGGACCCAGAAGAGAGGTGGGGCCAGGGCAAGGAGGTCTGAGATTGGCTGGCCTGGCAGAAGGTGGAGAGAATAAGGGGAGAAGGGGCTGAGGGTGGGGTCCTGAGCAGAAGGTGCAGAGGTCCAGGGAGGGGACTCCAGGAGGGAGACAGAGAGCAGGAGTGTCCCCTGGACCTGGGGATTAGGAAGAGGCAGGGGTGGGGCCTCTGTAGGCACCATGGCTCCTAGCTGGGTATTCTGCTCTTCACAGATTTTAGGGTTTTTTTGTTTTGTTTTGTTTTTGAGACTGAGTCTTGCTCTGTCGCCAGGATGGAGTGCAGTGGCGCGATCTCTGCTCACTGCAACCTCCAACTCCCTGGTTCAAGCGATTCTCCTGCCTGAGCCTCTCCAGTAGCTGGGACTACAGGTGCACGCCACCACGCCCAGCTAATTTAGCATTTTTAGTAGAGACTAGGTTTCACTACGTTGGCCAGGAGGGTCTTGATCTCCTGACCTCGTGACCCGCCCGCCTCAGCCTCCCAAAGTGCTGGGATTACAGGCGTGAGTCACCGCGCCCGGCCAGCTCTTTTAATCCTTACGACAGTCCTGACCTGGGAAACAGAGTTGACCCCGTTAACTATTATCGTGCCCATTTCACCGCTGAGAACACCGCGGCTCCGATTCAGTGAGTGACAGAGCCTCCACGCAGCCTCACACGGAACCAAGATCAGGCCTGGGGTGCCCGCGGAAGCTTGGGGACCAAGGCTTGTTGAGGGCCCCTTGCAGCACTGTAAGTGAGCCCTGCCGGGCGCTGGGGCTCTCTGCTGGGGAGGCCTCAGACCCAGACCAAAAAGGGACCACTACCGGGGTGGGGGTGGCGTCACAGACGATGCACCCCCAAAACGGGTCTGGAAGGAAGGCTGGAATGTACGTGAAAAGAAGTTAGGCCATGGCAGCAGCGTGGGCAAAGCAAGGAGGCTGAGAGTGAGGAGAGCCGCAGCCCGGGAAGGGAAGGTGGGGCCCGGGCTGGACACTGCCCGGGTCCTGGATTCCTCCGTTGCCCTCTGCCCCTGGTCAAAGTTCAGTCCCTCCAAAGGGCTCTTCTGGGAGCTTTGGCCAGGCCCTCCGAAGCGCCCGGGGCCGCCAAGGGCACACGAGCGTGCCCAGCCACAAGCGGGCCTGTGCCTGGCGTTGGGGCCCGGAGTGCGCCCGGGGCGGGCGCAGCCCACACGCGTCCACACGGCAGGGTCCGCGCGGGCCGGAAGCCGCAGGGCCGGAGCGGGGCGCCCGGGAAGGCAGAGGGGAGCGGGAACAAAGGACGCAGCGGAGCGGGGGCGGTCCGGCCAGGCAGTGATTGGAGGCCGGGGTCGGGGGCAGCGTCCGGGCCGGGCAGTGATTGGGCCGCAGCCTCCCCGGGGCCCCCAGGCGCTCGCCCCGCCCCTCTCGGCCGAAACCCGAGCCCCCAGCGGCGGCCCGGGACCAGCCCGCGCCGCCGCCATCTGCGCCGGGGCGGGGCGCGGGCCCAGAGTCGGGTTCCCGCCCAGCCTCCGCCGCCTGCCCCCGCCGCGGTCCGGCAACCTGTGCACCGGCCTCCCCCGCTGCCACCCCCGGCCCAGCTGCGCTCGGAGTCCCCGGGGTCCAAGCAGGGGCTGGGCCACCGCTGTGGGGGAAAAGCCCGATGGGCACGGGACGGGGCCCAGAAAGCGACTCCGTCCTGGGCCTGGCCGTGGCTGGTGGCTGGACTGGGAGAGCGCTCAGAGAACAGGGGACATTGGAGAGGGCGGGTTGGGGTAAGACCAGTTAGTGGAGGAGGCCGCAGGCTGAAAGACGGCTCAGGGAGGGGTGATTCGATGGCCGGAGCCCCAGCAGCTCCAGGAGTCACTGGGACCGAAGGCGGCGCCAGAATGCCAAGCGGGGGCCCGGCAGGGTTTGGAGCAGGAGAGGTTGTTAGCAGTTCACTACCAGCCAGGCCACTGCTGCGTGGTTAAAGGCGGGATGAGGGGCCTTCTCCATTCCCTGCGTCTTTCCCAGCGGCCTGGGAGGTGAGAGAAGGGGTGGGGCTTGGGCTGGGCCGCCAATCACAGCCTCGGCTCCACTTTGAATCTGTGCTGGCGGGCGCGGGCTGCCTGGCCGCCAGGTGTGCCGGCGCCCTCTTTGTCCCCACTTGCCTGCCCAGGCACGTCCCACTCCAACCCCACCTTTCTGGAGGCTCTGTTCCTCACACAGCTGGTTCCCGCCTCCCCAGGTGTCCCCAGCCTGGAATGAAGTTGGACTCAGATTCTGCCCCTTTGAATGCTGGTGACTCTAAACCATGCCTCATGCAGCCCCATCCCCAGTCCGGCACAGGGGTCATCATCCGCAAGGGACAGCTACTTCCATCCCCTAGATGGCCACCAAGGGTCCGGTAGTGCAGGGAACAGGGCGGCGTGGGAGTAAGAGCTCATGATTTGCGGCAAAAATCATGGCAGAGGGCTGGCCCAGGGAGGAGCCGTGTGACCTGGGGCAATCCCCTTCCTTCCCACGTGGCTCCTGCAGTTGTAAGACTAATATAATAAGGGCCTATCTCCCAAATTGCTGTGAAGATTAGATGGGATCCTATAGAAAAGAGGGCTTTAGGCCGGGCGCAGTGGCTCACGCCTGTAATCCCAGCACTTTGAGAGGCCGAGGCGGGCAGATCACGAGGTCAGGAGATTGAGACCACACTGGCTAACACGGTGAAACCCCATCTCTAGTAAAAATACAAAAAATTAGCCGGGCACGGTGGCTCAAGCCTGTAATCCCAGCACTTTGGGAGGCCGAGGCGGGCGGGTCACAAGGGCAGGAGATCGAGACCATCCTGGCTAACACGGTGAAACCGCGTCTCTACTAAAAATACAAAAAAAGTAGCCGGGCGTGGTGGCAGGCACCTGTAGCCCCAGCTACTCAGGAGGCTGAGGCAGGAGAATTGCTTAAACCTGGGAGATGGAGGTTGCAGTGAGCTGAGATCGTGCCACCGTGCTCCAGCCTGGGCGACAGAGCGAGACTCCATCTCAAAAAAAATAAATAAATAAAAATGAGAAGAGGGCTTTGTGGGAGTAAAGCCTCAACATGTGTAGGGAGGTGGAAGGGTGTTATCACTCTGCCCAGATGCTGGGGGACTGGCAGCCACAGAGTGGGTAGGCCCCTTGTCCCCAACGCATGGGCCAGGGCTAGGGTGCCAGGCCGGATGGGAGAGACCAGTCCAGAGGCCCATCGCTGTGGAGCCCTGAGCCCCATGAGCCCCGAGCCCCATGAGCCCCAAACAGAAGGGAGCCAGAGTTTAGGGACCTGGCCCTCACACCTCCCCAAGCTCTCCAAGAAAGATGAGGCAGAGGGATCTGGGGGCTGTTTGTCCTTTATCTTCATCCCTGGGGATATGGAGGCCCTCTCCCAGGTCAAGGCCAGAGGGTAGGCCTGGGCCCCCATGCTTCTCCTCCACTCAGATGCCCCACACGCCCCTACCTCTCCTGTTCTGCTCCCCAGCCACTGCCTTGGCCTCCTCCACTCATGCACTGGAACCAGCCTGCTCATGATTGACCCCTACTCCTTGCTAACTATGCCTCAGTTTCCCCATCTGTAAAATGAGAATGACGATAACAACAGGGCAGTTTTCTGAGTGCTTTACACATACTCCTGCTGAGCAGTTCAATCCCTACAACAGCCTGGTGGAGTAGTAACTCTCATTATGTCTCCCTTACTGTACCAATAATAAGTAGAATAATGGAAGTTATACTGGATATCTAGTTCATACACTCATGGAGTAAATGAATTAATGCATGTCACAAAACAAAAAACAAAAAACTCTGGGCCAGACGCAGTGGATCACGCCTGTAATCCCAGCACTGTGGGAGGCCGAGGTAGGTCACAAGTTCAGGAGTTCAAGACCAGCCTGGCTAAGATGGTGAAACCCCGTCTCTACTAAAAATACAAAAATTAGCCGGGTGTGGTGGTGGGCGCCTGTAATCCCGGCTACTCGGGAGGCTGAGGCAGGAGAATCGCTTGAACCCAGGAGGTGGAGGTTGCAGTGAGCCAAGATGGCACCACTGCACTCCAGCCTGGGCAACAGAGCAAGACTCCATCTAAAAAAAAAAAAAAAACAACCAACTCTGGGCCGGGCTCGGTGGCTCACACCTGTAATCCCAGCACTTTGGGAGGCCGAGGCGGGCAGATCACCTGAGCTCAGGAGTTCAAGACCAGCCTGACCAACACAGTGAAACCCCATCTCTACTAAAAATACAAAATTAGCC
Organism: Homo sapiens; assembly: GCF_000001405.40. Taxonomy (NCBI): domain Eukaryota; kingdom Metazoa; phylum Chordata; class Mammalia; order Primates; family Hominidae; genus Homo; species Homo sapiens. The sequence continues at coordinate 231,678,294 of NC_000002.12, read as the reverse complement.
AGGCATAGTGGTGCATGCCTGTAATCTCAGCCACTCAGGAGGCTGAGGCAGGAGAATTGCTTGAACCCAGGAGGCAGAGGTTGCGGTGAGCCGAGATTGCCCCATTGCACTCCAGCCTGGGCAACAAGAGCGAAACTCCGTCTCGAAAAAGAAAAAACAAAACAAAACAAAACAAAAAAACTCTGGAACAGCTTGGAACACTGCTGATACTCAGTACAGTCTAGCTGGGTTTTTTTTTTTTTTACCCAGCCCCTCCTACCAACACCTTTCCCCAAAATCTAACCTCCATTCCCACCGGACTTTAGGCACACACCTCTTCCCTTGCCTTAATCGCCTTTCCCCTACTTTCCCCCACCTTTCTTCTCTGTGTCCCAGGACCTGGCACAAACGGGTGCTTAATACATGTTTCAGAATGAATGAATGAGGAGGGTTTTGGAAGGAGGCTGGCTGAAGGGATTATTTGATGCTCATCCGCCCTCTGGTGGTCATCAGGGGCATTTCAGGCCTCGGCTCAGCGTTTAAAACAGGAAGGTGGCCAGACAAGGTAGCTCATGCCTGTCATCCCAGTGCTTTGCTTTGGGAGGCTGAGGCAGGGGGATCGCTTGAGCCCAGGAGTTCAAGAGCAGCCTAGGGAACATAGTGAGACCCCTCCCCCCGCAATTTCTGCAAAAAAAAAAAAAAAGTTTTAATTAGTCAGGTGGCCAGGTGTGGTGGCTGACTCCCGCAGTCCCAACTAATTGGGAGGCTGAGGTGAGAGGATCGCTGGAGCCTAGGAAGCTGAGGCTGCAGCGAGCCATGAGCTGTGACGGCGCCACTGCACTCCAGCCTGGGTGACAGAGAGCTTGTCTCAAAAATAATAATATTGGCCAGGCGTGGTGGCTCATGCCTGTAATCCCAGCACTTTGGGAGGCCGAGGCGGGCAGATCACGCACGAGGTCAGAAGATCGAGACCATCCTGGCTAACACGGTGAAACCCCATCTCTACTAAAAATACAAAAAATTAGCCGGACGTGGTGGCGGGTGCCTGTAGTCCCAGCTACTCAGGAGGCTGAGACAGGAGAATGTCATGAACCCGGGAGACGGAGTTTGCAGTGAGCTGAGATCATGCCCTGCACTCCAGCCTGGGCGACAGAGCAAGACTCCATCTCAAAAAAAATAAAATACAATAAATAATAATAATAATAATAATAATAACTAACTAACTAAAATGGGAGGGCAGGCTGGGCACAGTGGCTCACGCCTGTAATCCCAGCACCTCGGGAAGCCAAAGGGGGCAGATCATCTGAGGTCTGGAGTTCGAGACCAGCCTGGCCAACATGGTGAAACCCTGTCTCTACTCAAAATACAAAAAAAAAGTAGCCAGGTGCGGTGGCACGTGCCTGTAGTCCCAGCTACTTAGGGAGCTGAGGCAGGAGGATTGCTTGAACTCGGGAGGTGGAGGTTGCAGTGAGCCGAGATCTCACCATTGCACTCCAGCCTGGGTGACAGAGCAAGACTCTGTCTCAAAAAAAAAAAATATATATATATATATATATATAAATAAATAAATAAATAAAATGGAAGGACAGAAGACAGAAGGCAGGCGGGGCCCCAGAAGGTGGGTGGCAGCCACCTGAGGACAGAGTCTGCAGCCCAGGGGCCGGATCCCAGGGCTTAGGCCCTGCGTGTCTGTGGGACTGCAGGGATTTTCAGCTCCTGAGCCAGCTCCTCCTTTCTTCCCCTTCTCTCTGAGACCCCCTTTCATGTGCGTGTGTTTGTCTGTATTGTGTGTGCGTGTGTCTGTGTCTCTCTGTGTGTGTCGTGTGTGTGCTTGTCATTGTGAGCTGAACTGTGTGACCAAGAGGCCAGGTGTTCAACTGTGTCTGCACAGATGGTGGCAGCAGGTTTTGTCTTTGGAAGATGTATATGTGGGTGGAGCCGTGTGTGATTGAACCCACATTCATGGATGTGTTCCCTGCTTGTGCATGGCTGTCACCAGGAACCTGTCTGGGTCTGAGAATGCTGGAGCTCAGCCTGCCAGTAAGCCGAGAGTGGGCCACAACCTGTCACTGGAACTTTCTGGATCTTGGTTCACTCAATGGTGTCTAGGTGCCTGTGGTCTAGAAGGACCAGTACCCAAGCCCTGAGTCTTGTACACATCTTGCTGTTGGCAGGTATCAGGGCCCCTGGGTGCCTGTGTGTGCTGTTTTTGGGGGAAGCTGGGTCCTGCCTTCCTGTTTCTCATGTGTATGCATTCCCTGTGTTCCAGCTGCAATTGCGGAGCGCCTGCTGTGCATGCTTCTGGGGTAAGAAGGCGTTGCACATCCTCGTTGATGAGCATCTCACGAGTATACTCGTGGCTCTCTAGTTACTTGGCCAAGTCATCTTCCTGTGCACAGGCAGGCTTGCATAAGAGCAAAGAGCTAAAGGCCGGACATGGTGGCTCACGCCTGTAATCCCAGCACTTTGGGAGGCCGAGGCGGGCAGATCACGAGGTCAGGAGATCGAGACCATCGTGGCTAACACAGTGAAACCCCGTCTCTACTAAAAATAACAAAAAAATTAGCCAGGCACGGTGGCGGGTGCCTGTAGTCCCAGCTACTCGGGAGGCTGTGGCAGGAGAATGGCGTGAACCGGGGAGGCGGAGCTTGCAGTGAGCCAAGATTGCGCCACTGCACTCCAGCCTGGGCGACACAGCGAGACTCCATCTCAAAAAAAAAAAAAAGAGCAAAGAGCTGGGAGGCAGACATATTTGAGTTCAAGTTCAGGCTTTGTCTAGCTGTGTGATTCTAGACAAAGGATTTAACTTCAGCCTCAGTTTCCTCATCTGCTAAATGGGGAGAATCAGAGTGCCTAACTCCTAGGCTGTTGTGAGAAGTAAATGAGACGAGGGATGGAAAGCCTTGAGCATGGTGACAGGCACACAGAGGCATGTTATACATGATAGTGGTTACTGGTGCATTTCTGGCTTCGAGCTGGGCCTCTGGGCTGTTTCCTGTCCCCATATCTCTGTGTCCTGTGACCCATGACACATGGCAGAGTGTGTCATTCTAAACCCTGCCACAGCTTTAGAATGGCTGCAAGCAGTTCCCCCACAGCCTGCTAAGAATACTTTACAACACCTGGGCTGCAAAGCCGCTGGCTTCCTACAGACGCAAATCCACATACAGGTGGCCTGATTTTCCAAATCCCAAGTCAGAACACCTGGTCCGACCAGGGAGCTGTATTTATGGGGCGGAAGGGGCGAGCTGTTTGCAGTGAGTCTTTGCCGGACTCCCCCGTTTCTGGCCTTCGTGCATTTGGCCACCTGGGGGAGCCCCTGTGCCCTTCAGTCGGAGGGTAGAGGGGCCGTGTGGGAGGGGAGGGGTGCCAGGAGTCCAGAGGGGTTTGCAGGCTGACGGGGCATCCTTCTGGAGCCAGGCCAGGAGTTAACCCATCTGCTGCCAGCCCCCAGCCCTCACGTCCCAGGGCTCTGGGTGGAGATGCCCAGGGTGGGGTAAGGTCGAGGGGATTCGTCCTCCTTGAGACCAGTGGCAGCAGACAGAACACGGTGTTCCGTACAAATGGTCGAGGCCCTCAAAACGCGCCTGCCCCTTGCTTGGAAGAGTAATGCGCTGAGCTGTGTGGGAATGTGTGTGGCTGCTTGGGTCACTGGGACTCCCAGATCAGCCCAAATGCCTGAGGACTTATGAAGCCCTCTGCAAACCTCTCACTGTGGCTGAAAGCACTGGTGCCAGAGTCCATTGGGCAAATCTCAGCCCCCTGGGTGTGCAGCAGCTGCCTGGATGTGTGCCTCTAAGTCCTCACAGGACCCAGAGGCCAATTCCACGTTACCAACCTCACTTTATGCCTGAGGAAACCAAGGCCATCCAGCTGGTACACAGTGAGGCCTCTTTGCACCCAGGGTGCCCTATGCCAGCCTTTGTTCCCAGCCTCCCCACTTCCACTCTCAGAGGGAAGGCAGAAAGAAGGCCCAGGCAGAAAGAAGGGCCTGTGGTGAGGACAGGAGGGCAGAGAGGCAGGCCTGGAGAAACGGGCACCCATGGGGCGGAGAAGAGGAGGGCTCAAAAGACGTGGATGTGGAGCCAGGTAGGTGGGGTTGGCTGGACCAGACTCTGCAGAAGATCCTGGGAGCAGCCGCAGGAGGCCAGCTGCTGAGGAATGAGGAAGGGAGAAGGAGGGGCAGATGGGGTGTGGACATCTCTTTCAAGAAGGAGGCTGCGGGGCCGTGCTTGGTGGCTCACGCCTGTAATCCCAGCACTTTGGGAGGCCGAGGCGGGCGGATCACTTGAGGTCAGGAGTTTGGGACCAGCCTGGCCAACACAGTGAAACTCGGGAAACCCATCTCTACTAAAAATATCAAAAAATTAGCTGGGTGTGGTGGTGGGCGCCTGTAATCCCAGCTACTTGGAGGCTGAGGCAGGAGAATCGCTTCAATCCAGGAAGAGGAGGTTGCAGTGAGCCGAGATCTTGCCACCGCACTCCAGCCTAGGCAACAGAGCAAAACTCCATCTGGAAGGAGAAGGAAAAAATATATATATATATATATGGAGGCTGTGAAGTCAGGGAAGCAGGAGGGAGGTGGGCTAGAGTACCCTGTGTGAACACAAGACCGACCTGGAGGAAGCCAACAGGACGGACAAATACAGTCAAGGGCCAGCACTGTGGTGGAGCCTGGCTGGGAGGGGTCAGACACACCTCCGTTTCCTCACTGAGGACTGGGATTGGGAGCTGTTTGCCGGTGAGAGGCAGGAAGTGGGATGCCCTGGCGTGGGGGGCGGGCCCTCTTTTCCCTGGGGGATGGGAGGAGAAGGAGCCTAAGAGGATGGGTGGGGAAGGGGAGGGAGCAGGGATTCCCCAGTGGCCCAGGGTTGGGGGGCCTTGGAAGTGAGAGCTCTGTGGGGGCTTCAGTCCCCAGAGTCAGTGCCTCAGGAGGGGCCATGCCTTTCAGGGACCAGGTTCTGGGGTCCCAAGGATGGGCCGGACCTTCTAGACCCGGCCTCCCAGATCTGAGTCTCCTCCCCCAAACGCCTCCTTCCTCCGAGGCTCTGACCAAGCTCTTAGGGGAGATTTCAAGGACCCTCCAGAACCAGGGCTCACTGATTTGGTGGAAAACAAGGTCTGCCGTGAAATCAGAACGTCGGTCCCTGCCCAGGGCTTTCAGACCTCCCCCAGTATGGAAAGAGAAAGGGCTTTCAGACTGTCGGGTGGGGCCCGGGCTAGGGTGATTTTGGCGCCTCCAGCAGGCCGGAGGGAAGCAGCTTGCGGGTGGGCCCTCCCTCCAGATCTGCCCTCAGGCCAGGCCCCTCCCTTTCAGGCCTCCTGTTTCTCCTGTGCCTCTCCCTGAACATTCCCAGGTTCACCTGAGCCTCACTGTGTGCAGGGGGTGCTCTGGACCCATCTCATTCCATTCAGCCCTGAGCCAGGTGCCCCTGCCATGCACTCCTGGGGGAGCTGGGCCTGAGGGCGGCCCTGCCTGCTGATACTGGGAAGCCCCTCCCTGGCCCAGCCCTGGGACAGATGGCCCACTGCCCGCACTGTGTGCTCCTCAGTAAACCCCCGTGGGGGCCCCTCGTCTCCTCCTTGTGGCCTCCCCAGTCTCCCCGTCACATTCGGAGAAGCAGTGAGCTGAAAGAGACAACATCTGGGACTCCCCAGGGTCCCCGTGGCCCAGCTGTCTGCCACCCGCAGCCTCAGGGGACTGCTACCCACCCAGTGCTGGCGTCACCCTGCCCAGCATCCTTTGAGGCAGGGTCCCAAGCTTAGTTCCCTCCTGGCCCAGGATCTTTCAGGCAAGAAAGAGCTATGTGGATGGCCGGGTGCAGTGGCTCATGGCTGTAATCCCTGCACTTTAGGGGGCCTAGGTGGGTGGATCACCTGAGGTCAGGAGTTCAAGACCATCCTGGCCAACATGATTAAACCCCGTCTCTACTAAAAATACAAAAAATTAGCTGGGCAAAAAAAAAGAGCTATGTGGGCCTGGCTTACCACCCTGCAGTGGTCCCTGTTATGAAGGCGGGGGAGGGGTTCCCAGCCAGCTCCTCAAAGGTCTGCCCACATCAGCCCCTAGACACACAGGGCCACCTCAGCCCCAGACTGAAAGTCTGCCCTGAGCCTGGGGAAACAGACATCACTGATGGTCTGTGGGATGACTCCACTTGGGACAGGAGTGATTTCAGGAAAGGCAGAATGCTATGAATTCCCTCGGGCGGAGACCGAGGGCTCGCGGCTCCGAAGAGAAAGGGCCGTCTGCTCAGCTGGGTCCTGCCCCAGAGGTTAGCGCTGCTGTGCTCCATCAGGTGCCCAGCCCACTCCTCTCTTGAGGACACCCAGGGACCAGGCCATGCGCGCTCTTTTCGGCATCTGGGTGTGGCTGGCCCTTGTCAGGAGAGAAGGAACAAACAACTGAGTGATTTGCATACGGGGCCATGTTTGCATTTTGCACCCAGGCTCTGGTCCTGACCTCTGGTCCTGCCCACTCAGCTCAGCCGGCTCAGGTGGCTCACGCTCTCACAGGCAGAAAAATTACATGCTGGCTGGCAGAGCTGGGACTGAGCACTGGGGGCCGGCTGGCAGAGTGAACTGCCCCAGGCTCTCTAGCCAGTGAGCGCCGGTGGGCTCTGTCCTGGAACCCCAGGGCTCTTTCAGAGTACACAGCCTGCCTTGGACGGGACTGCAGGTGTGTTCCAGGGGGATCCCTGAGGCCTGGGGAGGTAGCCAGAGGGCTTAGCCTAGGAGGCAGTTCCTCAGACCAGCCACTGTTGCAAAGCCACACTTCCTGCAGGAAGGAGGGTGAGGTGGGCGCAGCCTCTGCTTGGAGTCAGCAGTGCAGGTCTGGGTGTGGGGCCAACTCTCCTTGGCACATCTGGGCAGGCGCTTTCTCAGGCCCGACCAGCCCTTGTGGCATGGGAGCCGAGCTGGTGTCCTCCTGGAGCTGGGCTCAACCGGCCACCTTCTGCTGGGACACAGCTGGTGTCTGCTGACCTGACAGGTCTTGGGAGCCTTTGGGCAGTAACGCCTCCCCCTCTGGGGCCTCTCTCCTGAGTCTTCCTTTCCTTTTCAGGGTGGGGCAAATTTTATTTTCCTTTGGCTTCCCTGCACCAACAGGGGTTTCCTCTCTGTCACAATGATCCCCAGTGGGACTCAGCAGGGAGCAATGGCCCTGACCCACCCCATCCCCTCCCATTCCCCCCCACCCAACCCTGCCTGAGCCTCTGTGGCCACCAGGTGGCCTGTTGAGGGACGGTGCCACAAAACCCCTTCAGGGGAGGAAAACCTCTCTGGTTTTCCAGAGGCCCCAGTTCCTTCCTGGGATAGTCTGGATCTCACTCCTTCTGCCTTTGGACTACAAGTTCAGATCCAGCCTGGTCTTAGCCAGAGCCTCCTCCCTGCCCTTCATCAAATCTGCAACCTGTGTGGCCGGGCGTGGTGGCTCACGCCTGTAATCCCAGCACTTTGGAAAGCCAAGGCAGGTGGATCACCTGAGGTCAGGAGTTCAAGACCAGCCTGGCCAACATGGTGAAACCCTGTCTCTACTAAAACTACAAACATTAGCCGGGCGTGGTGGCGGGCACCTGTAATTCCAGCTACTTGGGAGGCTCAGGCAGGAGAATCGCTTGAACCCGGGAGGCAGAGGTTGCAGTGAGCCAAGATTGCACCACTGCACTCCAGCCTGGGCAACAAGAGTGAAACTCCATCTCAAAAAAAAAAAAAAAGACCTGCAACCTGTGGGCTGGGGTGAGAGGGATGAGTTTGACCTGGCCCCTCACGGCAGAGGGGACCAGGACCCCCCAGCGTCCCAGGTGCCATATGAAGTCTGCCAGCCACCAGCCTGTGGCAGTTCCCCACCTCCTAGCCCTTGGGAGTCAGTCAGCAAACACTTATTAACCCAGAACTGTGTGTTCACAACTACCTCATGCCTATGTGGCTCTCTGGGCCGGCAAAGCTGAGCCACAGTGCCTGGAAGCCCTGGGGCCCAGGGGCTCCTCCACCCACAGTCAGACAACTGCTGATGACCTGGTTATGGGTCTCTCAGCTTGGGGACTGGGAGACCCCCAATGCCAGGTCTCGCTCACTGAGGAAACTAAGCAAGGGGCACACTCTGGCATCTTCTTGCCCCACAACGAGACTGTTGGCCCCTTGAACAGGTTCCACCTAGGAGGGCCTGGGGCTGCCCTCTTCCAAGGTGTGGTACCATTGCCATACAAAGCAAGGAGCCCCATGCTTTGCTAAAACTCTGGAAGTTAAAGTTGCATCTCTGCTGCACCAAGGACCAGCCTGGGGCTCAGAGAGATGCACCTATGGCGTGATGCTGAAATAAGCCCTCGCAGGGCAGGTTGTGCGGACAGCAGCATGGAGTGCACCCCGAGGGGTGGCATGCCCCACTCCACTTCTGTGCCATTCAGGACAGTCCTGGAAAACTGAGTTCACTGCAGAGGGCCCACTGCTCAAAAGAACTCTGCAACCTGCATGTGGTAGAGGCGTGGGAAGGATGAGGAATGTTCTGGAAACCCTGTCTGTCATATGTGAGATGGTGCTGTATAGCCTAGAGTAGATGACTGCAAGGCAGCACCATGGCTAACATTCAGTATTGCTTCATCCATCATTCCGGCAGCATATCCATTGAACATCGCTACATCCCAGCTTTGTATGAGGTGGTGGGATGCAGCGGGTAGCAAACCACCCTGTAACTCTGCTTTCACAGAACACACAGAACAAGGACCACGAGGACAGACGCTGAAGGAGGAAAATTTTAATTCCTTTAAGTATAAGACAGAACACACCCGCCGGGCGTGGTGGCTCGCACCCGTAATCCCAGCACTTTGGGAGGCCAAGGCAGAAGGATCACTTGAGCCTAGGAGTTCAAGACTGGCCTGGGCAACATGGCAAAACCCTGCCTCTGCTAAAAATACAGAAATAAGTGGGGCATGGTGGCACACACCTATAGTCCCAGCTACTTTGAGGGGGAGTGGATTGAGAAGGTAGGATCGCTCAAGCCCAGGAAGTCAAGGCTGCAGTGAGCCATGATCATGCCACTGCAATCCAGCCTAGGTGACAAAGAGAGACTATCTCAAAAACAAGAAGCAAAACAAAACCATACCAAGGCAGTGAGTTCCCCGCTGCTGGAAGCAATCAAGGAAGCAGTAGAAGAGATTTCTGCTTTGGGTAGTTGGGTTGAATGAGATGACCACTAAGATCCCTTTGAACACCAAGGTTTGGCCATTTTATCAGCATCTGGATTGTGAAGTGTCTGATGCTTCTGAGTGTCCATTTCCCCATCTACCTTCTACAGATTCCTGAGACCTCCCCCAGTATGGAAAGAGAATCTTAAAACTGAAGAGTCTGTACACTGATGTATTAACCAGATTCTCTACTTCAGCTCTGGGATCCTAGTGTACCACAGAAGACTGGGTCTCGAACTGGGGGGCTTGAATCCTACCCATTCCCACTGAATCAGGATGGGGCAAGTTGGGCTGGGGCCAATGGGAGCTCTGAGGCAGGAGGTGACTTTCCCAGTGTCAGGTGGTAAGGGTAGTCGCTGGGAGGAAGGCACTTTAGAGATGCATGTCCCTTGACCAAGGGAGGAAGGCAATTTAGAGATGGATGTCCCTTGACTGAGGGACCAAGGACAGACCCCGGGGAGCCGAGCATCAAGGGGCTGTCGGAGAAAAGATGGGAGTCGCAGGGCCAGCTGGCAGCCAGGCCCAGCAGGCTCATCCCCTCAGCCCGGTGGGGGTGGTACTGGCGGTGCTGGCATGCCAAGGCCTCCTAGACCAGGGTTAACTTTCGGAGTCAGCCTCAACCTATATACTCCCTGAAATCAGACCAATTCAAGATGCACTGGAATGAGCACATTTCTTACTGGAGCCCCATTTAAAAAATATCCTGGCCAGGCACGGTGGCTCATGCCTGTAATCCCAACACTTTGGGAGGCCAAGGCAGGCAGATCACCTGAGGTCAGGAGTTCGAGACCAGCCCAGCCAACATGGTGAAACCCCATTTCTACTAAAAATACAAAAATGCCGGGCGCAGTGGCTCATCATGCCTGTAATCTCAGCACTTTGGGAGGCCGAGGCAGGCGGATCACCTGAAGTCAGGTGGTCGAGACCAGCCTGACCAACATGGAGAAACCCCATCTCTACTAAAAATACAAAATTAGCTGGGTGTGGTGGCACGTGCCTGTAATCCCAGCTACTTGGGAGGCTGAGGCAGGAGAATTGCTTGAACCTGGGAAGCGGAGGTTGCAGTGAGCCGAGATTGCACCGTTGCACTCCAGCCTGGGCAACAAGAGGGAAACTCTGTCTCAAAAAAAAAAAACAAACAACAACAAAAACAAAAATTAGCCAGGTGTGTCTCAAAAAACAAAACAAAACAAAAAAAATTCTCCAGGTATGGTGGCAGGTGCTTATAATCCCAGCTACTTGGGAAGCTGAGGCAGGACAATCGCTTGAACCCAGGAGGCAGAGGTTGCAGTGAGCCGAGATTGCTCCATTGCACTTCAGCCTGAGCGACAGAGTGAGACTCTGTCTCAAGAAAAAAAAAAAAAGCCATAAAACAACAATAAAATACATATCCCATGGGGAACACGCCCTGTCAGCCATTCAAATCTGCTTTAAAGGCTGTCACCTTGGAGAAATGACACTGGCCTGAGAAGCTAGGGCAGTTCGGGGGTCTGAGTAGACATCCCAGGGGATCAGGCCTGGGGTGTGCTAACCAGACTCTGGACAGCTGGGGTGCCCCCTGAGGTCAATGTCCTACACCCCGAGAGCAAGTGCAGGGACCATGCAGCCTTGCGTTGCTGTGGGAGGCAGCTATGCTGGGTCTGCCCAGTTTCTTTTTCTTTTCTCTTTCTTTCTTTTTTTTTTGAGATAGGGTCTTATTTTGTTGCCCAGGCTGGAGTGTAGTGGCGTGATCTCGGCTCTCTCCAGCCTTGAACTTCTAGGCTCAGGTGATTCTCCTGCCTCAGCATCCAGAGTAGCTGGGACCACAGGCGTGCACCGTCACACCTGGCTAATTTTTTTCTGTAGAGACGGGGTCTCACTGTGCTGGCCAGGTTGGTCTCAAACTCCTGGGCTCAAGCAATCTGCCCCCCTCGGCCTCCCAAAGTGCTGAGATTACAGGTGGGAGCCCTGGCGTTGTTGGCTGTTTTGCTTTCAGCGCTCACGGAGGGCTAGCACCTGCGGCAGGCTTGGGAACAGAGGGAGCCGCATTTCCAGAGACACAGCTCCTCCACTTCCCACCCCGGGCCGTCCCTCCCATGAGTCACCCTGTTATCCCCCCACAGCCAAATATAGCTCCCAAAGCCTGCCGGAAACAAAGGGAGTAGCGCCGTGCCTGGTGCTGAGTGGGGGGCGGTGCGGGAGGCGCACCCTGAGGCTAGGGGCCTGCCAGCCCACCCTTCACCCCTTCCTGTCCCGGGGCTGGGGTCTCTGCTGTACCTCTAATCTCACAGTTTCTCTTGCAAACACGGGGAATTTGGGGAAACATCCCGTACAGAAGCAGTGACCACTTCCTCCTAGGGGATTGTGGGCCACTCCAGGGGACAAAGAGCCAGGTGGGGGTCCGTTCCTCCACAAGATGAGGCCAAGATCCTGTTGGGCAGGGGCTCTGCTTCTGCGATCACCCAGGGTGTGTCCGGCCCTGGCCCTCCCCAGCAGCCTCTAGGGTGTCGCCCGGGCACTCAGAGCCACCACATAAGGAAATGTTTGTGCCTCGGGGGCTGGGCAGTGGCTCACACACGTCCTCCCTCCCTCTCTCCCCGCCCAGCCTGCCTCCCAGATGGCCTGGGCTGGGGCAGTTGGACCCAGGAGGAACCGCCCTGAGGCCAGGGGTGGGGAATCGGCCCAGCCTACAATTCACCTCAGGCCTCAGCTGAGGACAAGGCAGGGAGAGGGCCGGATGCCGGGCGTATGGGCCACACTTGGTGGTCCTCCTGCTGCGCCGCCTCAGGGGACTCCCTGCCTGGCTTTGCCTGTGCTGGCCGGAAATCATCTCCCCTTACTCCCCAGCAATGCAAGCTGCATGTGCAGCAGGAGGGAGGGTAGGACACATCGGAAACCACCGGGCTCGGCGATTGGGCTTTGAGATCTTGGAGCTACCACACCCAAGAGACTAGGAGCTGAGGGTGGCCGGGAGGAATCTACTCCCTGAAGAGCGCCCACCCACCCAGCCCAGTGTTTCCCCTGGGAGCCCAGGGCAGCCTTACTTCTCGGGGTTGTAACTAGGCCTCCTGACTACCCCCAGCCACCACTTACATGGGAAACATTTTATAACCTGCTTTCTGGCGGGCAAGGCCAGGCTCCCGTGGGCTGCCTTCCTTCTGAAGTTTTCCATTCAATTATTTACACGAGCCCACAGACCTCTGCAGGAAGTCGGCAGGCACAGGGTAGCATTTATTCTTCTGCTGTCTCATTTGTGGAGGGACCTCCCTTCTCTTGAATGTGGCTCCTTTGGAGGTCAGAGACTGAGGACGGTGGCATCATCTAGATCCCCGTTGTTTATTCTTGAGGCCAGAGCATTGCCCACCAGGTGTTTCCCAGGCACGGACCCCTTGCCCAGCGTGGCATTCAGAGGGGGCAGCTCCGGCCGCCTGCTCAGGAGTGGGGTGGGATGGGGAGCTGCCTCTGGAGCCTTGTGCTGAAGGAGAGGACCGTTGACGGAGAAGGACATCACCCAAGTCCTGGGGCCTTTGGGGAAAGTAGGAAACCTGCCTGTCCTACAGGAGAAGAGACCACCTCACCAACTTTGAAGGATGCAGGCCTTGTTTAGAGCAGATCTCAGAATTGGTGCCCTGCGGGCTCCAGGCCTTGGCCCTGCTGGTGGATGAAAGTGGCACAACCTGCCCTGAGGCCTGAGTGTCACGGGAACAACAGCTAGACGGCTAGACACTGGCCCCCTCACCCCACCTCCCAGGGTGGCACGGCTGTCCAGATATGGTGCTGAGGGAGGTCAGTGGGATAGCCCCACCATGGCCTCCCCCGCAGACTGCCCTGCACTGAGGACTGTCCCCATCCCCTTCTGAGGAGGGTCCCAACTGGTGTCCCAGAGTGCAGTCAACTCCCCGTTACTCCCAGAAGCAGGGGCTGGGGGCAATTCCCAGGCCTGGGAAAGAGGAAGGCAGTGCCTGGCAGGGCCACTCTCTTGGTGGGGAGAAGGGCCTGCCGCCATCCAATCCCCAGCTTCTCTGTTTTAATTCAAGATGCACGGGGCTGGGTGGGGAGGGTGAAGGCAGGTCCAGGTTCAGTGGAAAGAAGCTGTTTGTCTGCTTCTGGACCCTCATGTCCTGGGACTTGGGCCTGTATGTTCCTTAGAGGCAGGAACTGCTCCACAGCTCTATCTCTAGTCCAGACAGAGGCTTAACAGACCATGTGCTCAGAAAGTATCTTTTGGGTGACAGAAAAAAAGCCTTCATTTCCGTTTCAGATAAAACAGATCTGGTCTAGGCTGGGCGCGGTGGAACACGCCTGTAATCCTAGCACTTTGGGAGGCTGAAGCGGGAATATCATCTGAGGTCAGGAGTTTGAGACCAGCCTGGCCAAGAAAACCCCGTCTCTACTAAAAAGACAAAAAACTAGGCAGGCGTGGTAGCATGTGCCTGTAATCCCGAAATTGCACCTCTGCACTCCAGCCTGGGCAATAAAGCAAGACTCTCTCTCAAAACAAAAAAGTGTCTTCTGGGTGACTGAAAAAAAACCTTCATTTCAGATTAAAAAAAAAAAAATCTGGCCTAGGACGGGTGCATTGGCTAGTGCCTGTAATCCCAGCACTTTGGGAGGCTGAGGCGGGTGGTTCACTTGAGGCCAGGAGTTCGAGACCAGCCTGGCCAACATAGTGAAACCCCATTTCTACTAAAAATACAAAAATTAGCCAGGTGTGGTGATACATGCCTATAATCCCAGTTGCTCAGGAGGCTGAGGCATGAGAATCGCTTGAACCCAGGTGGTGGAGGTTGCAGTAAGCTGAGATCATATTACCTGCACTCCAGCCTGGGCAAGAGAACAAGACTCTGTCTCCAAAAAAAGGAAAAAGAAAAAAGATCTGGCCTACAGCAAAAAGGCTGTCCTGCAAAGTGTGCGAAGTGGCCCCTGCTCCCTGAGACATGTTCCAATGAGCTGGGGACAGACACATTGGGGACCTCGTGGAGAGGGATTCTCAAGGCAAACGCAGACACCTCCAGGGAGAGGTTTTCCGTGAGCATGACTGGAGAGTACCCGTAACCATAAACAGAGGACGGGCCGGGCGCGGTGGCTCACATCTGTAATCCCAAGCACTCTGGAAGGCCGAGGCGGGTGGATCACCTGAGGTCAGGAGTGCCTGAACCCAGCAGACAGAGGTTGCAGTGAGCCTACACGGTGCCAACTGCACTCCAGCCTGGGCGACAGAGACTCCGTCTCAAAAAAGAAAAAAAAAAAATCAGAGGGGACTAGGCTGCTGAGGGAGAGACAAGGAGGGCCTCACCAGGGGACCTCGGCAGTCACTCCAGCTCTGATGCTTGCCATCCCGCGTGTCTGGGACAGGTCCTCTGTGCCGTGGCGTCTCCCTCCATTTCCACCACCAGAGGTACTGTTCTTATGCAGACAACCTGCCCAGGCCTTTCATGGCAGTGCAGGGCTGGAGCCTGCAGTCCGAGTCCCTCTCCCGGAAAGAGGCCTGTGCTCCATACAGAAGCCACGAGGAGCAGTAGCCCGCGAAGGTGTCAACAGTGGGCACACGGGCTCTACCCCCAGGCCCCAGCTGCTTCTCCCCACTGCTCCCTAGGGAGGCCAGTCCATGCGAGCTCTCACTTCAGACGCCTGCCCAAGTCTTCTGCCCCCCGAGCCTCACCAACAGGTCCCTTCCCCACACACTCCTCTCCATGACCTGCCTCCTCTGCTTCCACCCACCATCCTCTCAAATGAGACTGAATGCCTCCCCAAACAGTCCTGGGCCCATTACCCTATTCCCTCTACCCCATGCCCTGGTCTCGGCTCACGGCTTCCTCCAGGCCGCTTCCCCTGTCATTGACAAGCCAAGCGCCTCCTTCACAGTGGTCTCAGGTTGTCCTAACTGCCTATTTCTAGGCGTTTCTCCCACTGGCTTCATGCTCTGCGTCACTATCACCGTGTGCGCCCAAGTGCAAAGTTGGGTCCAGGGCAGGAGCCAAAAAATCAGTGAAGAAAGAACGAAGGAAAGATTAAAAATTGCTTGGGGTGGTCGGCAGATTATGCTTTGCATGTAAACTGGGCAAGTGCAAATGAATCCAAAACAGGCCGGAAACAAGATCGTGTTCGCGGGCCACAGACAGCGGAGGCGGGGCTAGCACTCGAGGGTCCACGTACATCCCCGGGCCGCGCAAACAGCGGCTTCTGTGAACCACTACATTCCTGAATGCACGTGTCCGTGCACACCCGGACCTGTGCAAACACAAATGCGGACATTCTCGGGTCCAAGTACATCCTCGAGGTCGTGCACATACGAAAACATGGAAACCCGCGGGTTCGTGCATGCCAGAGTTTTGGTGTGCGTGCTAGGGAGTGTAAGCAAGGGTATGCGCACACTTCCGAGGTTGTGCACATACAGAAAGGCGCACGCCCCAGGGTTCTGCACACAGAAGGACGTGCACACCCCCGAGGTCAGCCGGCAGACCCTTCTTGAGGAGGTAGAGGCGCCTAATTCCCCCCATATTTGGGCAACGCTGCAAGCTCTAGGCGCCATCTTCGCTCCGCGGGCAGCGGAAGGACCTGCAGACAGCGAAGCCCTGGCGCTTGGGCATTTGTTGTGCCGGCTTCCGGGCGTCCATCACGCGGAAGCCGCGCCCCAGACGCGGGAGACGCGGCGGAGCACGAAATGGCGGGCGAGGGGCGGAGCGAAGGCGGCCCGGGGCGGAGCGGCCGAGAGCCTCGCCCACTCTTGACTCCAGGCTTGGCGCACCGCCTGAACCCTTGCGCAGGCGCACAGCACGGCGCGCGTTCCCGCGTTCCTTCCGACGCGCGCTAGAACACAAAGGGCTGGAGGGAAAGCACGGAGCGCTGCAAACTTGCGGAGCGGCTCGTGGTGTGGAGCGGCCTGGAGCGGACTCTCAAGGGCCGGAGCCGGGCTCGCCGGCACTGCGCTCGGGCGCAGGGTGGGGCGCGACACGGCACTGGTTCCCTTGCCCTCTCTCTCCGGCCGTGGCCGCCTCGCGGGCCGGGGTGGGCGCCCAGGGCGCAGGCGCCGGTGCGCGGGTGGGACCAGGAGCCTCCATTTTCCCTCGCACGCGCTAATGGCGCAGCTGGGCCCTCTTCCTCTGGCGGGGGTGAAAATTCCCCTCCGGGGAAGCCCGAGGCGCTCGCTCCCCAAACTCTTTCGTCGGTGCGCGTGCTTAAAGCGGGCGGATGAAGCGTTCTTGAAAGTGCCTACACCTTTTGAGATGTGATTCTGAGTTGTTCATAGAAAAAGAAAAGACATACCCTTCCGCAAATTCATCCCCATAGTTTGCAACTTTCTACTTCAAATTGGGGTTATGGATTTGGGGGAGGCAAAAATAAGTTTAAAAATTTCCATTAAAGAGATGTTCCTGTAAAACAATGATCAAGAAAATGTTTAAAAGCAAACCTTAGCCATAAAACTAATACAAGTTCTTGGTAGAAGTTTGTTTTTGAGACGGAGTTTCGCTGTCGTTGCCCAGGCTGGAGTTCAGTGGCGCGATCTCAGCTCACTGCAACTTCCGCCTCCCGCTTTCAAGCAATTCTGCGTCAGTCTCCCTATGAGCTGGGACTACAGGCGCCCACCACCACGCCCAGTTAATTTTTGTATTTTTAGTAGAGAAGGGGTTTCACCATGTTGGCCAGGATGGTCTCGATATATTGACCTCGTGATCTGCCCGCCTCAGCCTCCAAAAGTGCTGAGATTACAGGTGTGAGCCACCGCGCCCGGCCAGTAGAAATTTTTGAAAGAAAGAATGGTAGTGTTCACCTTCCGTTTGCAGTATGCCAGGCCCTGTTTTAAGTGCATTAACTTTCATAACCAGGTCCACGTGGAAGAACTGACACACAGAGATAAGTACAGAAGTACTTAAAGGACGCGAAAGGACGAATAGTCTTTTCCACCTTCCAGTACAGCCACTGTCTGATTCAGTGGCATGGTTCCTGCCAGCGCTCTTCCGTGCATTAGGAAGTTTGGTTCATGGTTTACATACATACTGGAGCAGTTTTTGCTTCTCTGGCAGAGCTGTGGTTGGGCAAATAGAAAAAAACTCAGCAGGCTCAGAGGAGCCGGTCAACTGCCAGTTTCTCACGGTCTCTGGGGAGAGCTAGGTCCCGGCCAGTTGAGAGACCACGTTCAAAGGTTAGAATGTTAGTTATCTGGTGACTTGGGATCCAGAATGCACATAACTCTTGTGATCAGGTCATGGGGTTGGAAGGAAAAGTATCCGTATTCCTCCCTCCCTTTATTTTTTCCTACAGGGTCTCAGTAGTCAGTAGCACATTCGCAGGTCACAATTACCTTTCAAGTTTCCGCAGCTCATTTGAGGATTATGAGGAACGGCATTTTTGCAGGTCAGAATGGGGTCAAAGTAGAAGGCAGAGGGCAGGGATCATTCGTCATTGATACCTGAAGCAGCTGAGATTTTAAGGTTATTAGCCTTGCCCAAATTCATAAACTAATAGCGGAGCAGAGATCCTTCATCCAAGTTGAGGTGTCTGACTTGCAACCTCAGTTTCCAAGTCCTTAAGGTCTATATGATCTTTTAATTGTGTCCATCCTTATTTCTCTTTTTAAAACTTTAACAAGGTGGCCGGGTGCAGTGGCTCACGACTGTTATCCCAATACTTTGGGAGACCGAGATGGGTGGATCACTTGAGGTCAAGAGTTCGAGACCACTCTGGCCAACATGGTGAAACCCCATCTCTACTAAAAAAATACAAAAAATTAGTGGGCATGGTGGTGCGCCGCCTGTAATCCCAGCTACTCTCAGGAGAGGCTGAGGCAGGAGAATGGCTTGAACGTGGGAGGCGGAGGTTGCAGTGAGCCAAGATCGCACCACTGCATTCCAGTCTGGGCGACAGAGTGAGACTCCATCTCAACAAACAAACAAAAAACTTTAACAAGGCAGAGTGGTATGTTGGCTCTATGCCTGTAATCCCAGTACTTTGGGAGGCCAAGGCAGGTGGATCACTTGAGGCCAGGAGTTCAGACCAGCCTGGAAAACATGACAAAACCCCATCTCTACTAAAAATACAAAAATTTGCCTGGTGTGGTGGCGTGTGCCTGTAATCCCAGCTACTCAGGAGGCTGAGGCAGGAGAATCACTTGAATCTGGAGATTGCACCAGTGCACCCCATCCTGGGTAACAGAGTGAGACCTTGTCTCAAAAACAAAAAAACAAAAAAACTTTAACAAGGTGGGGACTCCAACACTCAGCAATACTGATAAGTGGTAGGTCCTTGTCTTGCTTGGTGAGAGACTCAATCTTAACAGGTCCCTGACTCCTATTAATAAGACTTCATGAGGCCGGGCGCAGTGGCTCACACCCAGCACTTTGGGAGGCTGAGGTGGGTGGATCACCTGAGATCAGAAGTTTGAGACCAGCCTGGCCAACACAGTGAAACCCCGTCTCCACCAAAAATACAAAAAATTAGCTAGGCGTGGTGGCGGGCGCCTATAATCCCAGTACTCGGGAGGCTGAGGCAGGAGAATTGCTTGAACCCAGGAGGCGGAGGTTGCAGTGAGCTGAGATCCCACCATTGCACTCCAGGCTGGCGATAGAGCGAGACTCCGTCTCAAAAAAAAAAAAAAGAAAAAGAAAAATGTATAATTCAGCCGTTTTCACTGTATTTATAAAGCTGAAAAACCATCATCACTAATTCCAGAACATTTTCATTACCCCAAAGCAAAACCCGTATTCATTAGTAGTCACTCTTCATCTGCCCGCCTCCCTCCCAGCTCTTGGCAACCACTAATCTCCTTTTGTCTCTATGGAGTTTTCTATTCTGGACATTTCATATACATGGAATCATTCAATATGTGGTCTTTGTGTCTGGCGTCTTTCACTTAGCGTAATTTTTAAAGTTCATCCATGTTGTAGCATGTATCATTCCTTTTTATAGCTGACTAATATTCCACTGTATGGATATGCTTCAAAAGACTCTAGAGAGGAGGTATTTCTATGTGTGATGTGAATGAGTGATTTGGTGTCTGGCCTTGGTGTGAGAAGCAGTGTGCTCTGTATGGCATTGGAGTTGGACTGCCTAAGCTCTCCCCCTTGCTGGCTGTGTGACCTGAGCAAATCACTTTCGTTTCTTTTCTTTTTTTTTTTTTTTGAGATGGAGTCTCGCTCTGTTGCCCAGGCTGAAGTGCAGTGGTGCAATCTCAGCTCACTGCAAGCTCTGCCTCCCCAGTTCACACCATTCTCCTGCCTCAGCCTCCCAAGTAGCTGGGACTACAGGCGCTCTCCACCACGCCTGGCTAATTTTTGTATTTTTTAGTAGAGATGGAGTTTCACTTTGTTAGCCAGGATAGTCTCAATCTCCTGACCTGGTGATCTGCCTGCCTCGGCCTCCCAAAGAGCTGGGATAAAAGTGGAGTGTAGTGGCTCACTGCAGCATCAACCTCCCGGGCTCAAGTGATCTTCTGAGTAGCTGGGACTACGCACCACCATGCCCGGTGAGTTTTTTTATTTTTTGTAGATACTGGTTTTCACCATGTTGCCCAAGCTGGTCTTGAACTCCTGAGCTCAAGTGATCTGCCCGCCCCGTCCTCCCAAAGTGCTGGGATTACAGGCGTGAGCCACTGTGCCTGGCACATTTTAAAAATGTATGTAAATTTTCAACATACAAAAAAGTAGAAGAGTATGATTCCCCATGTACCTTCAGCATTTATTCCCTCTTTTTTTTTTTTTGAGACGGAGTCTCTGTCCCCCAGGCTGGAGTGCAATGGTGTGATCCCGGCTCACTGCAACCTCCGCCTCCCAGGTTCAAGCGATTCTCCTGCCTCAGCCTCCTGAGTAGCTGGGATTGTAGGTGCCTGCCACCATGCCAGGCTAATTTTTGGATTTTTAGTAGAGACGGGATTTCACTATGTTGGCCAGGCTGGTCTCAAACTCCTGACCTCACGTGATCTGCCCGCCTCGGCCTCCCAAAGTGCTGGGATTACTGGTGTGAGCCACCGCGCCCAGCCTTTATTCCCATTTTTCAATTCTTGACAGACGGCTTTTGTCCCACAGCCATATAGGGGAGGCACACCCAATAGGTAGAAACCATCTTGCAAGGACCTGGGGAAACTGGTTTTGTGGGCAGGTTGAGAAATGTGGGCTTGACGAGGCAGCAGAGGCACTCACTGAGGGCTCTTTGCCCCTTTCTTCCACTGAGATCACATACTCTGGGGACTTTGCACCTGTAGCATGATGATGTCCCCAGACCCTGCCCATCTTGCCTGTAGTGACAGCAGTATCCATCAGGAGCAAGCCAAGGGGTGGGCCAGCCCATACTACAGCACCAGGTGCTGTCTGGTAACCACTTTTTATTATTTATTTATTTTATATACAAGGTCTTGCTCTGTCCCCCAGGCTGGAGCACAGTGGTCCAATCACAGGACTCCTGGGCTCAAGCGATCCTCCGGCCTCAGACTCCTGAGTAGCTAGGACTACAGGTGTGTGCTATCATGCCTGGCTAGTTTAGTTTAGTTTTGTTTTTTTGATAGAGGCAGGGTCTCAGTACGTTGCCCAGGCTGGTCTCAAACTTCTGGGCTCAAGCAGTGTTCCTGCCTTGGCTTCCCAAAGTGTTGAGAGCCACCACGCCCGGCTAACCTTTTTTATTTTTAATACTTTTTTAAAGAGCAATGATAGTACATGCTAAACAGATTTTTTGTTTGTTTGTTTGAGACAGAGTCTGGCTCTGTCACCCAGGCTGGAGTGCGGTGGCACAATCTCAGCTCACTGCAACCTCTGCCTCCCGGGTTCAAGCGATTCTTCTGCCTCAGCCTTCCCTAGTAGCAGGGATTACAGGTGTGCGCCATGCCCGGCTAATTTTTGCCTTTTTTTTTTTTTTTTTTTTTGAGTTGGAATCTTGCTCTGTCCCCAGGCTGGAGTGCAGTGGTGCGATCTCGGCTCACTGCAACCTCCGCCTCCCGGGTTCAAGCAATTCTTCTGCCTCAGTCTCCCGAGTAGCTGGGACTACAGGCGCGTGTCACCACGCCCAGCTAATTTTTGTATTATTAGTAGAGATGGGGTTTCACCATATTGGTCAGGCTGGTCTTGAACTCCTGACCTCGTGATCCGCCCACCTTGGCCTCCCAAAGTGCTGGGATTACAGATGTGAGCCACCGCGTCCGGCCAATTTTTGTATTTTTACTAGAGATGTGGTTTCACCATGTTGGCCAGGCTTGTCTCAAACTCCTGGCCTCAAGTGATCTGCCCACCTCAACCTCTCAAAGTGCTGGGATTATGGGTGTGAGCCACCGCACCCGGCCCATTTTTTTTTCTTTGAGAAATGTTGGCACCTATATAGGAGTAAAATGAAAGCTAAGCCGTCAATTCTGTGTGTGTAATTCATTCATTCTCACAGCCACTCCATAAGGCATTATTATTATCCTTGTTTTAGAGAGGAGAAAACTGAGGTACAGAGAGGTTAAGAAGTTTGTCCGCTGGGCACGGTGGCTCACGCCTGTAATCCCAGCACTTTGGGAGACTGAGGCTGGCCGATCACGTGGTCAGGAGTTCGAGACCAGCCTGGCCAACATGGTGAAACCCCGTCTCTACTAAAGATACAAAAAATTAGCTGGGGGTGGTGGCGGGCGCTTGTAATCCCAGCTACTTGGGAGGCTGGGGCAGGAGAATCGCTTGAACCCAGGAGGCGGAGGTTGCAGTGAGCCGAGTTCACCAATGCACTCCAGCTTGGGTGACAGGAGGAGACTCCGTCTCACAAAAAATAAAAAAAAATAAAAAAGAAGCTTGCCCAAGGTCACCCAGCTAGTGATCAGCTAAACTGGGGTTTGAACCTTGGTTCTTAAATCCATGCTCAGAACCCGACACAAGGGTCATGGAGATTTGTAAATGCTGTGAGGTACCCTACCTGCGTCTCCTTTCCAGAGTAGGCTTTTTTACCTCTGGGCTCCCATGTCCTCCAGGCGGGGCGGTTCCCCATGCACCTGCCTGCTCCATCCTCCCCACTCCTGTCTTGCTGTGCTGGAAACTCAACTCCACCCCTTTCTATCTTAGTGGCCTTAGTTAACATTTCCTAAACTCACTTCCTTGGGTTCGTGGGAGGATTAAGTGAGGCACACAAGTGCCCTTAACTGTTAGCCAGGGATATTGTTATCATGCATATGGTTTTCATTTCCGAGGGAAGTTTGCAGGGGGAGGGTGCACGCTAATTGATGCAGAGACATCAGGTGATTAGGAGAGATATGTTAAATTCCAACTCAGCCTTGAATAAGAAAAGACACAATCTTGGACCTTGCAAATCTCAGGGACTCCTAGACCTTTATGAAAGCTGAGAGCTCTCGTTCTGGATCATTCCAGTGGACAGCAGCATCCTGCCAGCCATGTGCAGAGACGCAGTGGGCAGCAGCATCCTGCCAGCTATGTGCAGAGACGCCCAGGCAGGGGATTGCTGTAGGCCAGCCCACAAGTGCTAGCCTTGGGGCTACAGAGCCCCGTGCCATCATGGTGGCCCACAAATGCTGCCCACTTGCCCAAGAGCAGCCTCCTGGAGGCAGGAGCTGTCCAGCTGCCTCTGCCCCTCACCGCTCCTGCCCCAGGGCTCTGTCTGAAGCCCTTGCTCTGTAACAGCTGCCTGGTTTCACGAATATTCTCCGTTTCCTTTCAGATGGATGCAAATGCATGGGATAGGCCCCTGACACGTGAGACCTTGAAACCCAGAAGCCCAGAATACTAGGGCCAGCTTTCTGGTTAAGTCTGCGTTGGACATTTTAGACTTTCTAGAGTTTAGGTAGGGTGGCCATAGTATTTATTGTTTGAACTAATGCTTCTCGTTGTTTGCTAATGTATTTTCTTGGGCAAATTTTTTCTTTTTTTTTCTTTTCAGACAGAGTTTCGCTCGTCGCCCCGGCTGGAGTGCAGTGGCCCTATCTCCGCTCACTGCAACCTCCACCTCCCGGATTCAAGTGATTCTCCTGCCTCAGCCTCCCAAGTAGCTGGGATTACAGGCAAGCGCCACCACGCACAGCTAATTTTTTGTATTTTTAGTAGGGGCGGGGTTTCACCATGTTGGCCAGGCTGGTCTCAAAATCCTGACCTCAGGTGATCCACCCTCCTCAGCCTCCCAAAGTGCTGGGATTACAGGTGTGAGCCACCGCGCCTGGCGAATCTGTGTGTATTTTCTTTTTCTTTTATTTTTTTTTGAGACGGAGTCTTGCTCTGTCGCCCAGGCTGGAGTATAGTGGCGCAATCTAGGCTCACTGCAACCTCTGACTCCCAGGTTCAAGCAATTCTCCTGCCTCAGCCTCCTGAGTAGCTGTGATTACAGGCACGTGCCACCACGCCCAGCTAATTTTTATACAGAGACAGGGTTTCACAATGTTGGTCAGGCTAGTCTCGAACTCCTGACCTCGTGATCCGCCAGCCTCGGCCTCCTAAAGTGCTGGGATTACAGGCATGAACCACTGCGCCCGGCTGATCTGTGTGTATTTTCTAAGAATAAGGAAACTGCCTTGTATAACCACATTAAAAAAAAAAAATCAACTTTGGACGGGCACAGTGGCTCACGCTTATAATCCTAGCACTTTGGGAGGCTGAGGCGGGTGGATCACTTGAGGTCAGGAGTTCTAAACCAGCCTGGCCAATATGGTGAAACCCCATCTCTACTAAAAATACAAATTAGCTGGGCTAATTAAATAAAACATTAGCTGGTCGTGCTGGTGGATGCCTGTAACCCCAGCTACTCGGGAGGCTGAGGCAGGAGAATCACTTGAACCAGGGAGGCAGAGGTTGCAGTGAGCCGAGATCACGCCATTGCACTCCAGCCTGGGCGACAAGAGTGAGTCTCCATCTTGAAAAAAAAAATCAACTTCAATGTATTTAACTTTGATAAGAGTTGTATCTGCTCCACTGTTTATATTCCAGTTTTTTTCTTTTTTTTTTTGAGACGGAGTCTTGCTCTGTTGCCCAGGCTGGAGTGCAGTGGCGTGATAGCTCACTGCAACCTCCGCCTCCCAGGTTCAAGCGATCCTCCTGCCTCAGCCCCCCTAGTAGCTGGGATTACAGGCATATGCCACCACGCCCAACTACTTTTATGTATTTTTAGTAGAGATGGGGTTTTGCCATATTGGCCATGCTAGTCTCAAACTCCTGACCTCAGGTGATCCACCTGCTTCGGCCTCCCAAAGTGTTGGAATTACAGGCGTGAGCCACCACGCCTGGCCTATATTCCAGTTTTATCAATTGACCCAAATATGTCCTTAATAGCACTTTTTTTTTTCCTCCAGGGCAGCATTCAGTCTAGGGCCAGAGATTGCATTAAGTTGTTCAAACCAGGACTTCTGAGGGAAAAGATGGCACAACTAATAATTATGCTGAAAAGGGACAGAGAAAACCACTGTGGTGAAAGGTTGAGAATTGTAGAATCTGGGCGAGGAGGTAATGGGAGTATATTTTACTTTTTTTTTTTTTTTTTTGAGACAGAGTCCTGCTCTGTCACCGAGGCCGGAGTACAGTGGCACTATCTCGGCTCACTGCAACCTCTGCCTCTAGGGTTCAAGGATTCTCCTGCCTCAGCCTCCCAAGTAGCTGGGACTACAGGCTCCCACCACCATGCCCAGGTAATTTTTGTATTTTTAGTAGAGATGGGGTTTCACCATATTGCCAGGCTGGTCTCAAACTCCTGACCTTGTGATCTGCCCACCTCAGCCTCCCAAAGTGCTGGGATTACAGGTGTGAGCCACAGCGCCTGGCCTATTTTTTTATACTTTCATGTATTTTTTTAAATTTTTGGTAGGGTGCAGTGGCTCACGCCTGTAATCCCAGCATTTTGGGAGGCCAAGGCAGGTGGATCACTTGAGTCCAGGAGTTTGAGACCAGTCTGGCCAACATGACAAAATCCCATCTCCACTAAAAATACAAAAGTTAGCTGGGCCTGGTGGCACGCACCTGTAATCCTACCTACTCGGGAGGCTGAGGCAGGAGAATTGCTTGAACCCAGGAGGCAGAGGTTGCAGTGAGCCAAGATCGCACCACTGCACTTCAGCCTAGGCAACAGAGCGAGACTCTGTCTCAAAAAAAAAAAGAAAAAATTGTAACACAAAGTGGAAAAACAAACCAAATACACAAACAGGAAAAAAGGTGCCCTGACCTCAGACATAAGATGGAATTGTCTAGGCAACACAGAGCTCCTGGCTATTTTTTGGTTTAGACTCAAGGCTCCTGCAAAGGTGGAACAGGGCAGAGGGGACGCACTTCACCCCATTTCCTTGTTGCTGGCCCGTTGTCAAGGTGACGTGAACCACCCTCTGGAGGGTGGAAGAGGGGCCCTGGGGTACCTTCTGGTTTCCAGAGAATCACGGGCTCCTCTGAAGTGAAAGGAGCTGGGGTGCCTGGGAGAGAGCTGGGGACGTGAGAAGAGGGGAGCCCTGACAGTCCTCCCAGCCAGACCAGCCATGCACTGCTGTTGTCACTGGAGGGCCTGGAGGCGACAGGCGGAGCATCTATCCATGCACACTCCAGGCCAGCTTCCAGCCAGGGCAGAGTGTCCCTGGTGGCAGCTCCACCGTGCCCAGGCTGTCCTCCTATCCCTGGCCCCCACTCTGCCTTCCAGGTCTCCCACAGTAACTTTTTTTTTTTTTGAGACGGAGTTTCACTCTTGTTGCCCAGGCTGGAGTGCAATGGTGCGGTTTCAGCTCACTGCAACCTCCGCCTCCTGGGTTCAAGCGATTCTCCTGCCTCAGCCTCCCAAGTAGCTGGGATTACGGGCACCCGCCACCACGCCAGCTAATTTTTGTATTTTTAGTACAGAAGGAGGTTTCACCATGTTGCTAAAGCTGGTCTCAAACTCCTGACCTCAGGTAGGTGATCCACCTGCCTCGGCCTGCCAAAGTGCTGAGATTACAGGCGTGAGCCACCACGCCCGGCTCCCACACCAACTTTGAATGACAGCAGAATCCAACTCTGGCTCGTGGAGGCGTCCAGAAATTCAGCCTTTCCTCCCAGGTTGAGGCCCCTTCGGACCTGCGCTCCTTAGATTCTTAGTCTACAGTTAAGGATTCCGTGAACTTAGGATGGGAAAAAGTGACACCGTGGAGTTTTACTAATCTCTCGTTGACATCTAGCATTTCTTTCCATGTGTATGTAAGCAGCACACCACAGTAGTAGAGGCAGTTCCTGGGACTTTGTCACCTACAGAAAGCACAGGTAATAAGCCAGGCATGGTGGCTCACGCCTGTAATCCCAGCACTTTGGGAGGCCGAGGCAGGCAGATCACGAGGTTAGGAGTTCGAGACCATCCTGGCCAACATAGTGAAACCCTGTCTCTACTAAAAAAAATACAAAAATTATCTGGGCGTGGTGGCAAGTGCCTGTAATCCCAGCTACTCGGGAGGCTGAGGCAAGAGAATCGCTTGAACCAGGGAGGCAGAGGTTGCACTGAGCCAAGATTGCGCCATTGCACTGAGCCAAGATTGCGCCATTACACTCTAGCCTGGGCAACAAGAGTGAAACTCTGTCTCAAAAAAAAAAAAAAAAGAAAAAGAAAGGAAAAAGAAAGCAAGCACAGGTATTTTCTTCTTCTTCTTTTTTTTTTTTTTGAGACAGAGTCTTGCTCTGTTGCCCAGGCTGGAGTGCAGTGGCATGATCTTGGCTCACTGCAAGCTCAGCCTCCCGGATTCACGCCATTCTCCTGCCTCAGCGTCCTGAGTAGCTGGGACTACAGGCGCCCGCCACCACAGCTGGCTAATTTTTTGTTTTGTTTTGTTTTGTTTTGTTTTGTTTTGTTTTGTTTTGTTTTGAGACGAAGTCTTGCTCTGTTGCCCAGGCTGGAGTGCAATGGCATGATCTTGGCTCACTGCAATCTCCGCCTCCCGGGTTCAAGTGATTCTCCTGCCTCAGCCTCCTGAGTAGCTGGGATTACAGGTGCACACCACCAGGCCCGGCTAATTTTTGTATTTTTAGTAGAGATGGGGTTTCACCATGTTGGTCGGGCTGGTCTCGAAACTCCTGACCTCGTGATCTGCCCACCTCGGCCTCCCAAAGTGCTGGGATTACAGGCATGAGCCACCATACCTGGCTCAATTTTTTGTATTTTTAGTAGAGACGGGGTTTCACTGCGTTAGCCAGGATGGTCTCAATTTCCCGACTTCGTCATCCGCCTGCCTCAGCCTCCCAAAGTGCTGGGATTACAGGCGTGAGCCACTGCGCCTGGCCTTTTTATTTATTTATTTATTTTTTGATATGGAGTCTTGCTGTGTCGCCAGGCTGGAGTGCAGTGGTGTGATCTCGGCTCACTGCAACCTCTGCCTCCCAGGTTCAAGCGATTCTCCTGCCTCAGCCTCCTAAGTAGCTGGGATTACAGGTGCGTGCCACCATGCCCAGCTAATTTTTGTATTTTTAGTAGAGACAGGGTTTCACCATGTTGGCCAGGCTGGTCTGGATCTCCTGACCTCATGATCCGCCCACCTCGACCTCCCAAAGTTCTGGGATTACAGGCGTGAGCCACCACGCCCTGCCGAGGTATTTTCTTATCACGCCACAGTTGTGGAAGATATTTTGGATGTCTTCATGTTCATCATGATTTTGAAATCATGGTAATGCCCGGCACAGTGGCTCACGACTGTAATCCCAGCACTTTGGGAAGTTGAGGTGGGAGGATTTGCTTGAGTCCAGGAGTTTGAGACCAGCCTGGGCAACATAGTGAGAACCATTTCTACAAAAAAAAAAAAAAAAAAACCAGCTGGGCATGATGGCATGCGTCTGTAGTCCCAGCTACTTGGGAGGCTGAGGTGGGAGAATTGCTTGAATTTGGGACGTCGAGACTGCAGTGAGCTATGATCACGTCATTGCACTCTAGCCTGGGTAACAGTGAGACCATGTCTCAAAAAAAAAAAAAGTCGTAGTTATCATGCTCACTGCTGGATCTAGTTATTGAATACATTTATAAAGAATCACCCTTGGCTGGGCATGGTGGCTCATGCCTGTAATCCCAGCACTTTGGGAGGTGGAGGCAGGTGGATCATTTGAGGTCAGGAGTTCGAGACCAACCTGACCAACATGGTGAAACCCTGTCTCTACTAAATATAAAAAAAATTAGCTGGGCGTGGTGGCACGTCTGTGTAATCCTAGCTACTTGGGAGGCTGGGGCTGGAGAATCATTTGAACCCGAGAGGTGGAGGTTGCGGTGAGCAGAGATCGCACCATTGCACTCCAGCCTGGGCAATAAGAGCAAAACTCTGTCTAAAAAAAAAAAAAAAAAAAAAAAAAAAAAAAAAAAAAAAAGAATTACCCTCACACCTGTCATCCCAGCACTTGGGGAAGCTGAGGCAGGAGTATCACTTCTTGAAGCCAGGAGTTTGAGACCAACCTGGCCAACGTAGTGAAACCCCACCTCTACTAAAAATACAAAAATTAGCTGGGTCTGGTGGCTGGCACCTGTAATTCCAGCTACTTGGGAGATTTAGGCAGGAGAATCGCTTGAACCCAGGAGGTGGAGGTTGCAGTGAGCCGAGATTGTGCCACTGCACTCCAGCCTGGGCAGCAGAGCAAGATTCTGTTTCAAAAAATAAAATAAATGTCGGGCATAGTGGCTCACACCTGCAATCCCAGCACTTTGGGAGGCCAAGGCGGGCGGATTACCTGAGGTCAGGAGTTTGAGACCAGCCTGACCAACATGGAGAAACCCCGTCTCCACTAAAAATACAAAATTAGCTGGGCGTGGTGGCTCATGCCTGTAATCCCAGCACTCTGGGAGGCCAAGGCGGGCAGATCACGAGGTCAGGAGATGGAGACCATCCTGGCTAACACGATGAAACCTCATCTCTACTAAAAATACAAAAAATTAGCCAGGTATGGTGGCCTGCACCTGTAGTCCCACATACTCGGGAGGCTGAGGCAGGAGAATCGCTTGAACCCAGGAGGGGGAGGTTGCAGTGAGCCAAGATTGCGCCACTGCACTCCAGCCTGGGCGACAGAGTGAGACTCCATCTCAAAAAACAAAACAAAACAAAAAACAAAACAAAAAAAGAAAAAAAATACAAAATTAGCCAGGCGTCATGGCACATGCCTGTAATCCCAGCTACTTGGGAGAATGAGGCAGGAGAATCACTTAAGCCCGGGAGGCAGAGGTTGCGGTGAGCCAAGATCACACCATTGCACTCCAGCCTGGGCAACAAGAGTGAAACTCCGTCTCAAAATAAATAAATAAATAAAAATAAAAATGCAAAAACCACTCTGAGAAAGGTCCCTGGGCCCCCCTAGACTCCAGGGGCCTGTGGCACAGAAGAGGAAGCAGCCCTGCCCAGCACCAACTACACTCACGGTCACCCCACCAGCCCTCCCTCCTGGCATCCCTGTCTCCACTCCTGTGCCTCAGGTGGCCTGGCACCCCTCCTTAGTGGCCAGACACCTTGAGTGGCCACACGCTGCCATCTGCTGGGGTTGGCCCACACGGCACCCTGGTGGCGCTGGTTCCTGCTGGTCCTTCTGTTCCCTGGGACACCTCTTCCCCAAGGCAGTGGGTGCGCCTGACTGGGAGGAAGTCTCTGGGAGCAGGTCAGCATCAGAGCACAAAACAGGGGTGTCAGAGCTGGAGGCAGGGAAATCTGTAATTTCAATATCAGGTGGAAAGAATCTTTAAGGACAGCTGCTCTTTGAATAGATAAATGAGCACAAGGGACAACATTTCAAAAGGTAAAAAAAAAATGTGAGAAGTTTCTCTCCCACCCTGTCCCTTGGCCTCAAACTCTTTTTTTTTTTTTGAGACGGAGTCTCCCTCTGTGGCCCAGGCTGGAGTGCAGTGGCGCAATCTCAGCTCACTGCAACCTCCACCTCCCAGGTTTAAGTGATTCTCCTGCCTCAGCCTCCCAAGTAGCTAGGATTACAGGCGCCCACCACCATGCCAGGCTAATTTTTTATATCTTTAGTAGAGACGGGGTTTCACCATGTTGGCCAGGCTGGTCTGAAACTCCTGACCTCGTGATCTGCCCGCCTTGGCGTCACAAAGTGCTGGGATTACAGGCATGAGCCACTGTGCCCAGCTGGCCTGCATTTGCTTTTTTATTTAGCAACCTATGCTTTGGAGATTGCTCCTTATCTACATAGAAGTAGCATCCTCGTTTTTTTCTCTTTATTTTTCTCAGATCATTTCCAAAGCAGTCCATTGAAAAATAATGTCTTGGCCGGGCGCAGTGGCTCACGCCTGTAATCCCAGCACTTTGGGAGGCCCAGGCGGGCGGATCACGAGGTCAGGAGATGGAGACTATCCTGGCTAACACAGTGAAACCCCGTCTCTACTAAAAATACAAAAAAGTAGCTGGGCGTGGTGGCAGGCGCCTGTAGTCCCAGCTACTTGTGAGGCTGAGGCAGGAGAATGGCGTGAACCCGTGAGGCAGAGCTTGCAGTGAGCCGAGATTGCGCCACTGCACTCCAGCCTGGGCGACAGAGCGAGACTCCGTCTCAAAAAAAATAAATTAATTAATTAAATAATGTCTTTCCATAGAAACAGGAATACCCAGACATCGTTAGAAATTTCAGGATAGTTCTAGGATTTTCTTACTCACCTCCAAAATTCTAGGGATACTGAGTTGAGTAATTCTGTATTCCTCTGCAGTGGATTTGCATTTCAAAGGGACCTCATAGGACTATGGTGCTTTAACCCCCCAAAATGACTAGATGGTGGAATTTTGGGCAGCAGGATCTGAGGTAGCTTGGTCTCTGGGTAGAGGATTTTATCTGTGGTGTCCCTAAGTCCAGGTGTTAGAGCACCATTTATTTCTGTCTATTCCTCAGTGCTTGATGAGTTTGGTTAGTGTGAGTTGGTCCTCCAGAAAGGGATTCCCTCTGGCACACAGAGCTGAGGGCTGCACTGCAGACCATGCTGAATTCTTAGGTTCAGCGTTCTGGAGCCTGCAAATGAAGCTGACAAAAGACAAACGGCTGGGCTCGGTGGCTCATGCCTGTAATCCTAGCACTCTGGGAGGCCAAGGAGGGCAGATTGCCTGAGCTCGGGAGTTCGAAACCAGCCTGGGCAAAACGGTGAAACCCCACCTCTACTAAAAATACAAAAAAAAATCAGCCGGGCATGGTGGTGTGTGCCTGTAGTCCCGGCTACTTGAGAGGCTGAGACAGGAGAATTGTTTGAACTCGGAAGGCGGGGTTGCAGTAAGCCAAGTTCGCGCCACTGCACTCCAGCCTGGGCAACACAGCAAGACTCCATCTCCAAAAAAAAAGATAAATAAGCAAGAGACATGTTTGCAGGCAGGAGTTTGCAGAAAAATGTGACTCACGGAGGTGGTTAGAATTTGGGGCTTACATATTATCTTCATAGGAGAAGTGAGGGGGAGAAAAGCTACTTATGGGAAAACAAATTACTTTTAGGAGAACTAAATGGGCTCTTAGCGAGAGGATCGCTTGAGCCCAGGAGTTTGAGGTTACAGTGAGCTATGATCAGCTATGATCATGCCATTGCGCTCCAGCCTGGGCAACCAAGCAACACCCTGTCTCAAAACAAACAAACAAAAGAGGCCTTTAGGAGAATAGGTGGAGCTACTTTTGTGACATGTCTGTTTAGGTGATTTCTTAACACTGTGCTGACTTCTCAGTCTTCCCTGCTGCGAAACTCCTGGAAAGGATATTGAGGACAGTTGAATTCTTTTGGGAGGCCCTGCTTTTAGATAGGAGGTATTCAGCGGGGATAAAAGAACAACTCCGGGAGGGCTGAGGTGGGAGGATCACTTGAGCCCAGGAGGTGGAGGTTGAAGAGAGCCGTGATCATGCCACTGCACTCCAGCCTGGGCAACAGAGTGAGACCCTGTCTCAAAACAAAACAAAACAAAAACAAAACAACAACTCTATCCAGTGATACAGATATGCCTCCATTTATGATGGGGTTATGTCCTGATAAACCCATAGGTAAGTTGAAAATATTGCTGAGCATGGTGGCTTGTGTCTGTAGTCCCAGCTACTCAGGAGGCTGAGGCAGGATTGCATGAGCACAAGAGTTCAGGGTGTTAATGCTGTATGCCGAACAGGTGTTCACAGTAAGTTTGGTATCAGTATGGTGACTTCCCAGGAGCAGGGAACTACCAGGTTGCCTAAGTGATCATCCTACTGTGACCATCACACTGTGATGATCACTAGTAGAACGGAGCCTGTGCGTAGCCACTGCACTCCAGCCTGGGCAACATAGCGAGACCCTGTCTCTAAAAAAATCATAAAAAAAGAAAAAAAGAAAATGTCCTAAGACCAGCTGCAGTGACTTACACCTACAATCCTAGTACTTTGAGAGGCTGAGGCAGACAGATCACTTGAGGTCAGGAGTTCAAGACCAGTCTGGCCAACATGGTGAAACCCTGTCTCTACTAAAAATACAAAAAATGAGCCTGGCGTGGTGGCGGGTGCCTGTAATCCCAGCTACTCAGGAGGCTGAGGCAAGATAATTGCTTGAACCCAGGAGGCAGAGGTTGCAGTGAGCCGAGATCGCGCCATTGCACTCCAGCCTGGGCGACAGAGTGAGACTCTGTCTCAAAAAAAAAAAAAAAAGAAAATATCTTAAGTAGAAAATGTATTCAATACACCTAACCTACCAACTGTCATCACTTAGCCTTGCCTGCCTTAAATGTGCTCAGAACACTGACATCAGCCTACAGTTGGGCAAAATCATTTGGCAGGCTGGGTGCGGTGGTCATACTTGTAATCCCAGCATTTTGGGAGGCCAAGGCGAGAGGATTGTTCCAGACCAGCCTGGGCAACATAGTGAGACCCTGTCACCACAAAAAAAAAACGGAAGGAAGGACAGGAGGGAGGGAGGGGCCGGGTGCAGTGGCTCAGGCCTGTAATCCCAGCCCTTCGGGAGGCCGAGGCAGGTGGATGGCTTTGAGACCAGGAGTTTAAGACCAGCCTGGCCAAAATGGTGAAACCCTGTCTCTACTAAAAATACAAAAATCAGCCAGGCGTGGTGGCACATGCCTGTAATCCCAGCTACTCAGGAGGCTGAGCCACGTGAGAATCCCTTGAACCTGGCAGGCGGAGATTGCAGTGAGCCGAGATGGTGCCATTGCACTCTGGCCTGGACGGGCAACAGAGTGAGACTCTGCCTCAAAAATAAAAAAAAAAAAAAAAAGAAAGAAAGGGAGGGAGGGAGGAAAGGAAGAAAGGAAAAAGAAGGAAGGAAGGAAGGAAATCAGAATCCTTGGGCAGCACGTCCACCGCAGAGTGCGGTGCTCACCCAGCGCTGTGGCTCCTGCGGCTGCATCACTGACAGTATCGCCAGTCCGGGAAAAGATCAAAATTCAAAGTTTGAAGTGTGGTCTCTACTGAATGCAGCTCACTTTCACACCGTTGTAAAGTCAAAAAATCATAAGTTGGGGACATGTGTACATTCTGGATCCCTTCACCACGAAGGCACCTCTTCCCAGGCACTGGCCAGGATGGTTGGGGGTGGGGGCGGCAGGGGCTGGGGGTTTGGCTCAGCCTTCCTGAGACAGGCTAGGGAGCTCAGCAAGGGCTGAGTGAGAGAGTAAGAGAGGTGGTTTCCCTCGCAGAGCATGTGCAGGGCTGGGTGGAAAGGGCACCCAGTCAGTGAAGTGGCCAAGGGCACACACGCCAGCACAGACTGCCCGGGTTCCCTGTGTGTCCTTGAACAGGATCCTCAACTTCTCCCGGCTTCCTTTTCCTACTTGGGTAAAAACCTCACAGGTTATCATGAAGATAAAATTAGAAAACCCATTTGAAATGTTTAACAACACCTGGTATCTAGTAAGTGTTTGGTTAATACAGGTAACTTCTCTAGGAACCGGGGACGTAGCAGCGAGCAAAGCCAAGTCCCTGCTCTCCTGGATCTTGCATTCTGGGGGAGGAAGTGCTAAGACACATGGATGTGTGCCACTGTCAGATGATGGTGCCACTGGGGAGAACATGAAGCAGGATGAGGGGCAGTGAGAGGCGGGGACTGATTTGGAGGGTCAGGGCAGGGGCATTTGGGCAGGGAACAGAATGAAGTGGAAATTATAGGAATTATGGTTATATGATTTTTTTTCTTTTTTTTTTTTTTTTCTGAGACATGGTCTCACCCTGTCACCCAGGCTGCAGTGCAGTGGCATGATCTCCGTTCACTGCAACCTCCACCTCCCAGGCTCAAGGGATCCTCCTATCTCAGCCTCCGGAGTTGCTGGGACTACAGGCGCAGACCACCACGCCCAGCTATTTTTTGTATTTTTTTTGTTAGAGACGGGGTTTCACCATATTGCCCAGGCTCCTCTCCAACTCCTGGACTCAAGCAATCCACCTGCCTTGGCCTCCCAAAGTGCTCGGATTACACGGGTGAGCCACTGCGCCCAGCGTGTATGATTTTTAAAAAAGAATTTTTAGGGTAAAGCAGGCCTTAATTCTCATAGATTTTGCTAACTTTGTTTATATATATAGATTGAGACAGGGTCTTGCTCTGTCACCCAGGCTGGAGTGCAGTGGTGCAATCTCAGCTCACTGCAGCAGGACGAGCCTATTTCTGTCTGTGAAGTGAGTGGGGCACATGATCCCAGGCTCAAGCGATTCTCCCACCTCAGCATCTGCAGTAGATGGGACCACAGGTGTGTGCCACCACACCTGGCTAATTTTTGTATTTTTTGTGAGATTGGGTCTCACTATGTTGCCTAGGTTGGCCTCGAACTCCTGGGCTTGAGCAAGCTTCTCGCCTCGGCCTCTGAAAGTGCTGGGATTCACAGCCCTTGGCCTACTCCCTCCCCGCCCTGGCCCCTGCCTCAAGGCATAGATTCAAGTTGCCCTGAACATGCACTCTCTTCCTGCTCACTAATCAGCCCTCTTCTTGTCTGAATTTCCACCAGACCGTGAAGGGGGACCGAGTCTTGGTGGTTCACGTGGCTGACTCTCCACAAACGGCTGTAGGACAAGCATGTTTCTGTCTGTGAAGTTAGTGGGGCGCGTGCACATGGGGTCCCTGGTTCTGAAATTTGTTAGGGTGGAGGATTTTTCTGGCCTTGGTCTTTCTTCCATTCCACTTCACAATTCCACACCACCACAGAACGAAGGTCAGGACACCGTTTACCTCCTACGTGTTCTGTCCCTCCGGAGCACACTTGTGCTCGGGGAAACTGGCTGACCGGTGGCCACGGGGTGAGGCGTGAGCAGCACGGACCAGAATAGAAGGTCTAAATTTAAACTGTGACTGGAGGCTTCAGGGAGCCAGGCCGGCCAGCAGGCTCTCCAGGCGGGTAGCTCTGCCCCGCCTGCAGCCACACCCTCCTGCGCCCTCCCAGAGTGGAAACTGTTTCATTTCTGGCTGCTGAGAACTGGTTTCCTCCCAAGGAAATTATGTCTCACCGCAGTTGTGGCAGGAGCTGCCCTCTGGAATTTCCCTGCAGCGATGAAACACCTCCTGGATGAGCTGCTGTTAGATGGGACACGCCCAGAGCCTGCTAGTGCACAACCCAGAGGGAGACACACCCACACACAGATATAAACAGAAACACTGGAACCCCTCCGCAGGATGCGGCCGCGGGGACCCTCGGGAAGCCGCTGCAGCCCCGGATCTGCTCTGTCTCCTTCCTCCTGTGCTGCAGGAGGGGGTCAGCTGCTCTTCCTGAACCTGTTTGCACCTCTACAGTCTTGAGAGAGATCTTTTAAAAATCAAAATAGAACAGAACTTCAAAGGAATAATCCTAGAAAGTTGTGATTATTTCAAAGATGTTGCTTTCACTGTTCAAAATATTTTATTTTTAAACTTGTTTTAAAAAATATTCTTTTCAGGGCTGAGCACAGTGAGTCACGCCTGTAATCCCAGTACCTTGGGTGGCCGAGGCGGGAGGATCACTGGAGGCCAGGAGTTCAAGACCAGCCTGGGGAACATAGGAAGACCCCCGTCTCTACAAAAAATAAAAAAATTAGCTTGGCGTGGTGGCACGAAGCTGTAGGTGGGAGAGTCACTAAAGTCCAGAGGTCGAGGATGCAGTGAGCTGTGATTGCACCACTGCACCCCAGCCTGGGCGACAGTGAGACCCTGTCTCGAAAAACAAAAATTCCTTTCAGAACCTGTTTTTGGAACATACAAGTTGGCCTTGCCACATTTCCAGTCTATTTCATTTTTGTCTTGAGTGATCACTACACTTGGTACCAAGACACTTTGTGCTGGTTCCAAATAACGAATTTAAAAGATTCCTGCAAGAAGAATGAGAAGGCTGCCGGGCGCGGTGGCTCACGCCTGTAATCCCAGCACTTTGGGAGGCCGAGGTGGGCAGATCACGAGGTCAGGAGATCGAGACCATCCTGGTTAACACGGTGAAACCCCGTCTCTACTAAAAATACAAAAAATTAGCCGGGCGTGGTGGCGGGCGCCTGTAGTCCCAGCTACTCAGGAGGCTGAGGCAGGAGAATGCGTGAACCCGGGAGGCGGAGCTTGCAGTTAGCCATTGCATTCCAGCCTGGGCGACAGAGAGAGACTCTGTCTCACAAAAAAAAAAAAAAAAAAAAAAAAAAAAAAAAAAAAAAAAAAAAAAAAAAATTGCCGGGGCGTGGTGGTGCATGCCTGTAATCCCAGGTACTTGGGAGGTGGGAGGCTGGGTGGGGCACAAGAATCACCTGAGCCTGGGAGGCAGACGTTGCAGTGAGCTGAGATGGCGCCATTGCACTCCAGTCTGGGCAACAAGAGCGAAACTCTGTCTCGAGCAAAAAAAAAAGAATTACCCTCAAGGCCGGGCGTGGTGGCTCACACCTGTAATCCCAACACTTTGGGATTCTGAGGCGGGTGGATCACCTGAGGTCAGGAGTTCGAGACCAGCCTGACCAATATGGTGAAATCCCGTGTCTACTAAAAATACAAAAATTAGCCGGGTGTGGTGGTGGGTGCCTGTAGTCCCAGCTACTCGGGAGGCTGAGATGGGAGAATTGCTTGAACCCGGGAGGTGGTGGGTTGCAGTGAGCCGAGACCATGCCACTGCACTCCAGCCTGGGTGACAGAGTGAGACTCTGTCTCAAAAAAAAAGAGCAAATGCTGTCACTGTGGTCAAATCCACCCAATGCCCAAAGCTGGCCCCCAGAGACGGACAACCACCGTGGAAGGGCAAGCTCCACTCCCTAAATTCTCAGCCATGAGCCAGGTCCTGCTAGAGCCTTGAACAGTCCAACACTCAGACACAGAGCGCACACGAGCGCACGTGCGCTCACACACACACACACACACACACACAGAGCCAAATGGAAACTTCCCATTTCAGCCACAATCTCCAGAGGCAGCAGTGTGTCAGGTCCCCAGCCACACCTCCTGGGCTTTTGTGCACCCTACGACTGGAGGCCAGAGGCTACCCCAGACTGATCAGGTCGGGGTGGCCGCAGCCCTGGATGCCAGCCATGCCAGCTCTGCGTTAGACTCCAGGAGTAGAGAGAATTCTAAGGGGACACACACTGGGTTGCCTGGCAACACAGCAGTGCTGCACAGGGACGCACCCACATTGGGACAACACACTCATACTGTTTGGGCACAAACAGAATTGCAGGAAGCAGGGTGGCCAATGCGGCCCCTCTCCAAGCAAATGTGTCTGTTGGGAATAGCCTCCAAGACAGAACCAGCTGGTGAACTGAAGAGCCCACTCATCTGCCCCCCAGAACACTTCCCCGGATTTGGACAGTGTCCAGGCAAGGCCCCCAACTCCCAGTCACTCCTCAATAACACACACTCTTTCTTGAGCGCTCAGTTGAGACTCCTTGCCTCTTTTTGTTTCCCCCGGAAAACCTTTGTCTTTTCCATTTTAATCAGCCAGTGACCAAACGGTCTATTTCTGTAACTTCTAAGTAGTAGCCAAGGATTGTTTTGAAATATCTACAGTAAGTTACAAATAATGCCTCTGACGTTTGTTTTCTTTTCTTTCTTTTTTTTTTTTTTTGAGACAGAGTTTCGCTCTTTCTGCCTAGGCTGGAGTGCAGTGGTGCCATCTCAGCTCACTGCAACCTCCGCCTCCTGGGTTCAAGCGATTCTCCTGCCTCAACCTCCCAAGTAGCTGGGATTACAGGCGCACGCCACCAAGCCTGGCTAATTTTTATATTTTTAGTAGAGACAGGATTTCACCATAGTGGCCAGGCTGGTCTTGAACTCCTGGTCTCAAGTGATCCACCCACTTCGGCCTCCCAAAGTGCTGGGATTCCAAGTGTGAGCCCCCACGCCTGGGCTCGTTTGTTTTCAAATTCATCCATGGAAACACTAAACACTCCAGCCTAAGTGGCTGGGACTACAGGCACACGAAAACAATTTTTAAAATTCACAGAAGAGGCCGGGCATGGTGGCTCATGCCTGTAATCCCAGCACTTTGGGAGGCCTGGGGGGGGGTGGATCTCCTGAGGTCAGAAGTTCAAGACCAGCCTGGCCAACATGGTGAAACCCCGTCTCTACAAAAAATACAAAAAAACAGGCCAGGCGCGGTGGCTCACACCTGTAATCCCAGCACTTTGGGAGGCCAAGGCAGGCGGATCACCTGAGGTCGGGAGTTCGAGACCAGCCTGACCAACATGGAGAAACCCCATCTCTATTAAAAATACAAAATTAGCGGGGCGTGGTGGAGCATGCTGGTAATCCCAGCTACTCGGGAGGCTGAGGCAGGAGAATCGCTTGAATCTGGGTGGTGGAGGTTGCGGTGAGCCAAGATTGCGCCATTGCGCTCCAGCCTGAGCAACAAGAGCAAAACTCTATCTCAAAAAAAAAAAAAAAATTAGCAGGGCGTGGTGGCGGGTGCCTGTAATCCCAGCTACTTGGGAGGCTGAGGCAGAGAATGTGAGGCCACCCTGGCCTCACATTTATTTTATATAAGTTTTACATGACACAGGAAGCTTTGTAAATGAAAACCCAAAGAAACAGGTGAGAGAAGAAAAGAGCTTTTATCTGAGGAATCTGAGTCCTTTTCAGTTATCAGGCCCAGAGTGACATTAAAATGAGCCAGCAGGCTGGACGTGATGGCTCACGCTTGTAACCCCAGAACTTTGGCAGGCTGAGGCGGGGAGATCAACTTGAGGTCAGGAGTTCCAGACCAGCCTGGCCAACATGGTAAAACCCCATCTCTACTAAAAATACAAAATATTAGCTGGGTGTGGTGGTGCATGCCTGTAATCCCAGCTACTCAAAACGCTGAGGCATGAGAATTGCTGGAGCCTGGGAGGCGGAGGTTGCAGTGAGCTGAGATGGCAACACTGTGCTCCAGATGGGGCGGCAGAGAAAGGATGTCTCAAAAATAAATAAATAAATAAAACAAAAACCCACTTCTAACAAAGGTCAAAGAACTCATATCCAACGTTGCTTGGGTCTGAATCTATCAAGCAGCTGTCCTCACTTTGGCTCAAGTAATCACTTTAAATTATGTGTGTGTGTGAGAGAGAGAGAGTGTGTGTGTGTGTGTGTGTGTGTGTGTGTGTGCATGTATGCATGTATATAGATAGGGTCTTGCTCTGTTGCCCAGGCTGAAGTGTAGTGAGTGGCACAGTCATGGCTCACTGTAGTCTCCACTTCCCAGGCTCAAGCGATTCTCCCACCTCAGCCTCCCTAGTAGTTGGCCCTACAGGCAGGCGCCACTCTGCCTGGCTAACTTTTTCTGTAGAGACGAGGTCTCATATTGTTACCCAGGCTGGTCTCAAACTCCTGGGCTCAAGCAGTCTTTCCACCTCAGCCTCCCAAAGTGCTGAGACGACAGGCATGAGCCACTGTGCCCAGCCTAACCTGTGTATTTTTTTTTCTTTTCTTTGAGACGATTCTTGCTCTGTCACCCTGGCTAGAGTGCAGTGGTGCGATCTGGGCTCACTGCAACCTCCACCTCCTGAGTTCAAGCGATTCTCCTACCTCAGCCGCCAAAGTAGTTGCCATTACAGGCGCCCACCACCGCGCTCGGCTAACTTTTGTATTTTTAGTAGAGGTGGGGTTTCACCATTTTGGCCAGGCTGGTCTCGATCACCTGACCTTGTGATCCACCCACCTCAGCCTCCCAAAGTGCTGCGATTATAGGCGTGAGCCATCGCACCCGGCCAACCTGTGTATTTTTTACGTTAGGTTTGATGATGCAGTGTATAATCGTGGAGAAGTTTGGTTTGATAAATAAATATGATCTAATGGCAGTAAACTGGTGGGGGAGGGGGGTGCGTGAGACTTAGCAAGGCCTGTTTGTTCAGAGTCTTGTCTGTGTCCCTGTCTCTTTGGAGATAAGGCTGTTCCTCTCCTCCGGGTATCGGGAGGGCATCTCTGGAATGAGACTCTTACGACCTGCTTTAGAGGAGCAGGGTGAGATGGTGAGAGCCCTTTCTGCTTCTAGGGTTTTCCAGATGCTGAGGTGCTATATTTTGGGGTGGTATGTCCTAAGCTCCATCAATTCTGTCCCCTTCTTGGGATGTTTCCAAGCCTGTGTTGGTTTGGGTGAGATAATCTGGTTTCCAGAGGCTATGGCGGCCTCTCCAGTGCTGTCACCCCACAGGACTGACCTAGGGACACCTTCAGGGCTACACATGGCCATGCAGATCTTTCCCCCTTCCATCCCCTTTTCCCCTCCTCCCCCACTTCCTTCCCTCCCTGGAGCAATGACCCTTAGTGAACTGGGACCTCTGTGGACCCCACTGGGAGACGTCAGCCTCTGGAAGTTCCTTGGTTCTGCGCCCTTCGCCCCTTCCCTCTGGCGTTTCTGCCCTTGGATGCCTTCTCTTGCCAAGTCACACTCAGCCCTTCCTCCCAAAGATCAAATTCCTTCCTTCCCTCCCTCAACTTTTCTTTCTATTCTCCCTGATTTTACCTGAAAAGATTAATCAGCGCCGTGCCAAAGATGGAAATAAACCAAAACTCCACTAGATTTTTTTAATTAATTTTTTTTTTTGAGAGAGAAGGTCTCACTCTGTCACCCAGGCTGGAGTGCAATGGTGTAATCTTAGCTCACTGCAGCCTCCACCTCCTGGGCCCAAGCAATCCTCCCACTTCAGCCTCCCAAGTAGCTGGGACCACAGGTGTACACCACCACACCTGGCTAATTTTTAAATTTTTGTAGACATGGGATCTCCCTATGTTGCCCAGGCTGGTCTTGAACTCCTGGCCTCAAGTGATCTGCCTGCCTCAGCCTCCCAAAGTGCTGGGATTACAGGTGTGAGCCACCAGGCCCGGCCTTAATTTTAATTTAATTTAATTTTTGAGACAGGGTCTCCCTTGGTCACCCAGGCTGGAGTGCAGTGTTGTGATCTCAGCTCACTGCGGCCTCAACCTCCCAGGCTTAAATGATCTTCCTGTCTCAGCCTTCTGAGTTGCTGGGACTACCACGCCTGGCGAATTTTTCTATTTTTTGTAGAAACGGGGTTTCACTATGTTGCCCAGGCTGGTCTCAAACTCCTGGGCTCAAGTGTTCCTCCCGTCTTGGCTTCCCAAAGTGTTGGGATTACAGGCATGAGCCACCACGCCCGGCCCAGTTTTAATTTTTAATTTTTTTTTTGAGATGGAGTTTCGTTCTGTCGCCCAGCTGGAGTGCAGTGGTGCGATCTTGGCTAACTGCAACCTCCGCTTCCCGGGTTCATGCGATTCTCCTGCGTCAGCCTCACAAGTAGCTGGGATTACAGGCTCACACCACCATGCCTGGCTAATTTTTTTTTTTGTATTTTTACTAGAGACGGGGTTTCACTATGTTGGCCAGACCGGTTTTGAACTCCTGACCTCGTGATCCACCCGCCTCAGCCTCCCAAAGTGCTGGGATTACAGGCGTGAGCCATCATGCCCGGCATTTTTTTTTTTTTTATCCACCTGCCTTGGCCTCCCAAAGTGCTGGGATTACAGGCGTGAGCCACTGTGCCCAGCCTAGAAGGGGCTTTTTTAAAGAATAGGGGCCGGGCGCGGTGGCTCACGCCTGTAATTCCAGCACTTTCGGAGGCCGAGGTGGGTGGATCACCTTAGGTCAGGAGTTTGAGACCAGGTTGGCCAACATGGTGAAACCCCGTCTCTACTAAAACACAAAAATTAGCTGGGCATGGTGGCGGGTGCCTATAATTCCAGCTACTCGGGAGGCTGAGGCAGGAGAATTACTTGAACCCGGGAAGCGGAGGTTGCAGTGAGCCGAG
The DNA here is from genome assembly GCF_000001405.40 of Homo sapiens. Classification (NCBI taxonomy): domain Eukaryota; kingdom Metazoa; phylum Chordata; class Mammalia; order Primates; family Hominidae; genus Homo; species Homo sapiens. The sequence continues at coordinate 231,636,131 of NC_000002.12, read as the reverse complement.
ATCACGCCACTGCACTCCAGCCTGGGCAACAAGAGCAAAACTCCGTTTCAAAAAAAAAAAGAAAAAAAAAAATAGGCCACCAGCCAGGCACAGTGGCTCACACCTGTAATCCCAGCACTTTGGGAGGCCGAGGCGGGCAGATCACCTGAGGTAAGGAGTTCAAGACCAGTCTGGCCAACATGGCAAAACCCCATCTATACTAAAAATACAAAAATTAGCCTGGTGTGGTGGTAGGCACCTGTAATCCCAGCTACTCGGGAGGCTGAGGCAGGAGAATTGCTTGAACCCAGGAGGCGAAGGTTGCAGTGAGCCAACACTGTGCCATTGCACTCTAGCCTGGGCAACAAGAACAAAACTCCGTCTCCAGAAAAAAAAAAAAAAGAATAGGGCACCAAGGAGAAATATGGAGAATGTGTGAGCTGGCAGATGAATCAACGATGAACCAGATGGTTAATAAGAGAAGAAAATCTTCAGCCTCTTTAATACTCAACACAAGGCAAAGTAAAACCATTTGAGATAACATTTCTCCTTTCACCTATCAGATTGGCAAATGAGTATCACTTAGAGAAGAGGCTTTCTCACTAATTACTTCTAAGAATGTATAAAATGGGAAGAGCATTTTTGGAGGAAAATTAAGCCTTTAAATTACCAATTCCTTTTGACCAGTCATTTCCACCCCTAGAAATTATTCTGGAAGGAATATTTAAGACGTCCAAAATGCAGCAACAAAAATGTTCATTGCAGTATTGTTGCTAAAACAAAAAGAAAAAAAATGATTTGTAATTTTCTCTTGTTTCTTGACTGTATACCCAATTCTCCTGGGCCTGTTTTATGTTACATTTACTTAAATCCTGCACCTCCTGTGCCAGAATGTTATTGCATATTTTATTGTCTTAATAAAAAATGCAGTTGATAAATATTCTGAGCCAGGCAAGTCTGAGGCTTCACCCAGCCCCTCCCTGGGTCTGCAGTCTCCTGTGGACAGAGTCTTCCCTGAATCCTTGTGCTCTGAGGTGTGTGGGACCTTGGAATGAGGCCAGGGAGGTGGGAGCGGATGCGGTAAGGAGAGCAGTTGGCAGGATGAATGGGCGAGGGGCTCTTGAGGAGCGACCTGGAGGTTGGACTGCAGGTAACCAGACCCCTGATACTGAGCCAGGTGTCTGGGGTGAGGAGGCCTCTGCTGAAGAGGATGGAGTGGACAGACTGAGTCAGGATTCAGGCCCTTACCCACATGGCTGTCACCATGGAGTTGGGCTGTCCTGGGCTTTCCCAGGGCACAGATCTTGTGGGACCTGCCTGTGAGAGACCCCGCTGCCATGAGGAAAGGCAACCTGGAGAAAACCCTTTTATGGAAAAGCTGCCAGGTCACCCGAGCTTTCCTTTGCAACGTCACTCAATTCCCTCCTCTCATTCCCTAGTAGGGCCCAGGCCTGTCACCTGTCAGCTCTCCTGTCTCTAGCAGGATGGTTTCATCCTCAGGGTAGACATGAAAGTAGATTGGCCCTGGCCTAGGTAGGGTTGGAACTGCCCTGTTTCTCTCTATCCCTTCACCCTACCCTGTAACATGGTGCCTCAGTATGGGCCCCATGCCCAGCCAAGCCCAGCTCAGGCTTGCAGGCCTAGCAGTCCCAGCAGTCCCCTCCCCTCCCCTCCCCTCCCCCTCCCCCTTCTTTCTTTCTTTCCTTCTTTCTTCCTTTTTTTCTTCTTTTCTTTCTTTTCTTTCTTTCTCTCTGTCTCTCTCTCTCTATATATTTAATTTTGAGACACAGTCTCTCTCTCTCATCCAGGCTGGAGTGCAGTGTTGCAATCTCAGCTCACTGTAGCCTTGTCCTTGGCTCACTGCAGTCTCGACCTCCGGGGCTCAAGAGATTCTCCTGCCTCAGCCTCCTGAGTAGCTGGGACTACAGGCATACGCCACCATGCCCTGCTGGTTTTGTATTGTTTGTTGAGACAGGGTTTGGCAGTGTTGCCCAGGCTGGTCTCCAACTCCTGGGCTCAAGTGCGGGATTACAGGTGTGAGCCACCGTGCCAGCCAGGCCTTTCATGCTTTGGCCAGAGAGTCAGTTGTTTCCTCTACTTCTTCCCTACGTGTGTGTTAGTCCTGCCATTTTCCACTCCCGTTCTCCTCGTCCTGGCCCTCCTCCCCTGGGGCCTATGCTATTATACTCTCAGAGTCTCCAGGCTGGTCAAGAAATACACATACCTGCGTGTGCACACACGTGCACACACACACAGGCGCACACACACACAGGCACACACACACATAAGCATGCTGCTTATTTGTAACCCGTATACACACACACACACACACACACACACACACACTCTCACACACCGTCACACTGTCTCCTTACCCTTACCCTTGGTCTCTACACTCACACAGACACACAGACGCAGACACACTGCTTTATTTGTAGCCTCTACATACACGCCTGCCTGCACACACACACTCACACACTCACATGTGCACGCATAGAAATATGCACCGGTGTTTTCCTCTGAACATAATTTTTTCTGGTTTCTCACATGCCTTTTAACCCTCCTCTCCTATCAGCTTCCTTCTCTTCTCAAGCCCAACTTCAATGAGTGGGTGCTGTTGGCTGGGTACCTCACAGCTTCACTGGCTCAGCTCTCAGGTGGAGCCCAGGAGGGTACTGCCCCGAGTGAGAGGTGTCAGCCCCTGTGAGCACTGTGCTGCCACCCTCACTGCTGAGCTGCTCTGGTGGTGGAGGAGGACCTGCCCATCTGACATCCAGCACCACCCTTTCCAGGCAAATCTTCTCCACACTGGCCAGCCCCTGGGTGGTTCATGCAGCCTTTTCAGAAGGTGGATAAAGAGGGTAAGGAGAGGGTTCCAGGCGCGCTCCTTTCAGTGCCTCAAAGCTCGTCTCTGCAAACTGTCACCCTCAGCCTTCTGTGAGCTTCTGGCAGCTCCACCTTCCAGGGAAAAAGGGACCAGTTCCAGAGGTTCCCCTAGTGCAGCTCACCCCAGCCCCCAAACATTTTCTGACAACCAGGTCTTCCAGAAACCCCAGGGCCTCCTGAGATGGGCGTATAGCTCCATCTTTCGCACAGAAGTCTCGTGATGTATTCATGGTATGGCTGGTTGAGAAGGGCCCCTGAACAGCTCCCCACCTCCTCTGAAGGAGGAGGAACAGGAAGATATCAATAGACAGGACTCAGGCCTCTCACAACATAACGTCATACAAGAAAAACAAACAAAAAGTTAAAATGATGAAACATTCCCAGAAGTCCTGGATTAGATTCCTATTGCTGTTGTAACGAATTCCCACAAATTTAGTGACTTAAAACATTGAAATTTATTTATTCTCGTACATTTCTGGAGGTCAGAAGTCTACAGTGAAGGGTTGGGGATGGTGGCTCATGCCAGGAATCCCAGCACGTTGGGAGGCCGAGGCGGGTGGATCACTTGAGCTTAGGAGTTTGAGACCAGCCTGGGTAACGTGGCAAAACCCCGTCTCTACAAAAAAATACAAAAATTAGCTGGGCACAGTGGCGTGCACCTGTAGTCCCAGCTACTTGCGGGGCTGAGGTGGGAGGATCGCTTGAGTCCAGGAGGTCGAGGCTGCAGTGAGCTGAGATTGTGCCACTGCACTGCAGCCTGGGTGACAAACAAAGAAAAAAGAGGCTACAATGAAGGTGTTGACAGGGCCATGTTTTTTCTGGAGGCCTCAGGGAAGAATCTTTTCCTTGTCTCTTCCAGCTTCTAGAAACTGTCTGTATTCCCTGGCTCGTGGCCCCTTCCCGCATCTTCAAAGCACATTACCCCAACTTCCACTTCCGTTGTCACATTTCCGCTTTCTGACTTTGACCTTCCTGCCTCCCTCTTACAAGGAACCTTGTGATGATGTTGGATCCACTCAGAAAATTCAGGATTATCTCCATCTCAAGACATATAATCACATCTGCAAAGTTTCCTTTACAACATGAAGGTTCTGAGAATTAGGATAGCGGGTGGACATTTGTGGAGGTGCCACTATTCAGCCCAGCACAAATATAAAATGAAATATCATAAACACACATGTGTAATATGTATTAAATACATATTAATATTTTGCCTCATTTTCTTCAGCTTTTTTTTTTTTTTTTTTTTTGAGACGGAGTCTCGCTCTGTCACCCAGGCTGGTGTGCAATGGCGCGATCTCGGCTTACTGCAACCTCCACCTTCCAGGTTCACGCCATTCTCCTGCCTCCGCCTCCGGAGTAGCTGGGACTACAGGCGCCTGCCACCACACCCGGCTAATTTCTTTTGTATTTTAGTAGAGACAAGGTTTCACCATGTTTGCCCAGGCTGGTCTCGAACTCCTGAGCTCAGGCAATCCGTCCGCCTCTGCCTTCCAAAGTGCTAGGATTACAGGCGTTAGCCACCGTGCTTGGCCTTCTTCAGATTTTTTTAAAAAGAAATAAAGCTTTACAGAAATAGCTAAAGCCCTCTATGGCTGTTCTCTCCCTCTCTCCCCAGAGGTGACCATTATCCTGAGGTAGGTGTAAATCACCCCCATGTATGTAAATCACCCTCGTGTATGTTTTTTTGTTGTTGTTTTACTACATATTATAAATGTCTTTCTAAACAGAACTTACTATTTTGTGTGTGTGTTTTGGAACTTTACATAAATGGAATCACTATGTGTACCATTTTGCAACTTTTGCTTCTTTTTTTCTTCTTTTTTTTTTGGACAGAGGAGTCTCACTCTGTCACTCAGGCTGGAGTGCAGTGGTGCAGTGGCGCTGCCTCGGCTCACTGCAACCTCCACCTCTCGGGTTCAAGCAATTCTCCTGCCACAGCCTCCCAATTAGCTGGGATTATGACTGTAATCCCAGCTACTCAAGAGGCTGAGGCAGGAGGATCACTTGAGGCCAGGAGTTCAAGACCAGCCTGGGTAACATAGGGAGACCTCATCTCATCTCTAAAACAAAAGAAAGGCACAAGCCACCATGCCTGGCTAATTTTTGTATATTTTGTACAGATGGTGTTTCACCATGTTGTCTAGGCTGGTCTCGAACCCCTGAGCTCAAGTGATCCGCTTGCCTCGGCCTCCCAAAGTGCTGGGATATCAGGCGTGAGCCACCGTGCCCGGCCAACTTTTGCTTCTTCTTTTTTGTTTTTTGTTTTCGAGAAGGAGTTTTGCTCTGTTGCCCAGGCTGAAGTGCAATGGCACGATCTTGGCTCACCGCAATCTCCATCTCCCGGGTTCAAGTGATTCTCTTGTCTCAGCCGCCCGAGTAGCTGGGATTACAGGTGCCCACGACCACACCCAGCTAACTTTTGCATTTTTAGGAGAGACCAGGTTTCACCATCTTGGCCAGCCTGGTCTTGAGCTCCTGACCTCGTGATCCACCTACCTCGGCCTCCCAGAGTTCTGGGATTACAGGTGTGAGCCACTGCGCCCAGCCAAAAATGAAGATCTTGTTCATTCATTTTCACTGCAGCATAGAATACCAACTTGAGCAAGTTTGGGTTCATTTTGTCCTTTCTTTTGCTGAGAGAAAATTAGGTTGTTTTAACTTTTTTTTTGCAATTGCATACAGTGCTCCAGTAAATATCTTTGTACTTGTTTCTTGAACACCTGTTCCGAAAGCCTAGGTAAGGAACTCTGAAGAGCACATTCACACACCTCCAGCATTACCAGGTATTGCTACGTGCTCTCAAAGTACTACCAACAACAGTGTCATTTCAGGCTAGGCGCAGTGGCTGAAGCCTGTAATCCCAGCACTTTGGGAGGCCGAGGTGGGCGATCACTTTGGCTCAGGAGTTCGAGACCAGCCTGGGCAATATGGCAAAACCCCATCTCTACACAAAATACAAAAATTACTCAGACGTGGTGGTGAGTGCCTGTAGTCCCAGCTACTTTGGACGCTGAGGTGGGAAGATCACCTGAGCCCAGGTTTTTTTTTTTTTTTTTTTTTTGAGACAGAGTCTTGCTCTATCACCCAGGCTGGAGTGCAGTGGCACAATCTCGGCTCACTGCAACCTCTGCCTTCTGGGATCAAGCGATTCTCCTGCCTCAGCCTCCCGTTTAGCTGGGATTACAGGCGCATGCCACACCATGCCTGGCTAATTTTTTGTATTCTTAATAGACACGGGATTTCACCGTGTTAGCCAGGATGGTCTCGATCTCCTGACCTTGTGATCTGCCTGCCTTGGCCTCCCAAAGTGCTGGAATTACAGGCGTGAGCCACCGTGCCTGGCCCCTGGGCCCAGGTTTGTTGAGGGTGCAGTGAGCCCAGAATGTGCCTCTGCAGTCCAGCCTGGGCAACCGAGTAAGACCCTGTCTCTTGGCTGGGCGTGGTGGCTCAAGCCTGTAATCCCAGCACTTTGGGAGGCCGAGGCGGGCGGATCACGAGGTCAGGAGATTGAGACCATCCTGGCTTACACAGTGAAACCCCGTCTCTACTAAAAATACAAAAAAAAAAAAAAAAAAAATTAGCCGGACGTGGTGGCAGGTGCTTGTAGTCCCAGCTACTCGGGAGGCTGAGGCAGGAGAATGGCGTGAACCCGGAAGGCGGAGCTTGCAGTGAGCCGAGATTGCACCACTGCACTCCAGCCTGGGCGACAGAGCAAGACTCTGTCTCAAAAAAAAAAAAAAAAATAGTACTCATTTCCCCATATCCTCACCAGTATCTGGCATTTTCAGATTTACTATTTTTCTTTTGTCTTAGAGACGAGACGAGGTCTCCCTGTGTACCCAGGCTGGTCTTGAACTCCTGGCCTCAAGTGATCCTCCTGCCTCAGCATCTTGAGTAGCTGGGATTACAGTCATAAGCCACCATGCCCAGCAGATTTACTATTCTTTTTATTTACTTGTTTAAAGGGACTTTTTTTTTGTTTTTTGAGATGGAGTCTCGCTCTGTCGCCCAGGCTGGAGTGCAGTGGCATGATCTTGGTTCACTGCAACCTCCACTTCCCGGGTTCAAGGTCTTCTCCTGGGTCGGCCTCCCAAATAGCTGGGACAACAGGTGTGCACCACCACGCCTGGCTAATTTTTTTTTTTTTTTGTATCATTAGTAGAAACAGGGTTTCACCATGTTGGCCAGGCTGGTCTTGTACTCCTGGCCTCAAGTGATCAGCCTGCCTCGGCCTCCCAAAGTGTTGGGATTACAGGCGTGAGCCACCACATCTTTTTTTTTTTTTTTTTTTTTCTGAGAGGGAGTCTTGCTCTGTTGCCCAGGCTGGAGTGCAGTGGCGCGATCTCGGCTCACTGCAAGCTCCGCCTCCCGGTGTCACGCCATTCTCCTGCCTCAGCCTCCCGAGTAGCTGGGACCACAGGCGCCTGGCTAATTTTTTCTATTTTTAGTAGAGACGGGGTTTCACTGTGTTAGCCAGGGTGGTCTCGATCTCCTGACCTCGTGATCCACCCGCCTTGGCCTCCCAAAGTGCTGGGATTACAGGCGTGAGCCAGCACACCCGGCTGAGCCACCACATCTGATCATACTATTCTTTTTAAATTTTATTTCTTTTTATAAATTATGTTTAAAGTTAATTGAGATGGGGTCTCACTGTGTTGCCCAGGCTCAAGTGCTGGAATTATAGGCATGAGCCACCATGCCTGGCTCAGATTTACTGTTTAAAAAAAAGATTGGCCAGGCGCAGCAGCTCATGCCTGTATCCCAGCACTTTGGGAGGCCAAAGTGGGTGAATTTCTTGAGCTTAGGGTGAATTTCTTCTAGGCCAGCCTGGCCAACACGGCAAAACCCCATCTCTAAAAAAAAAAAAAAAAGTTAGCGGGGTGTGGTGGTTAGTCCCAGCTACTCAGGAAGCTGAGGCAGTAGGATCGCTTTGAACTTGAGAGGTCAAGGCAGCAGTGAGCTGAGATCACACCACTGCACTCCAGCCTGAGTGACAAAGTGAAAGCTTGTTTCAAAAAAAAAATAGATTTTTCTTATGTATTTTCCAGTCAATCTGTACTGCTCCCAATCTTTTCTTGACTGTTCATGCAGCTGGGAACCTTCTTCCATCTTGACCCTGGACGACAAATCCACCCAGGACCTTCTGAGCCCTGCATGGGACCCCTCCCCAGATCCCCTTTCTGTGAAGCCCGTGACTCCAGACTGCTCTGCCCACGGTTTCACTGTTGCCAGCCTGAGAAGAGCTTTACCCTGTGTGGGTCTGGAGCTTTCTGCTCTTCCCACAGAATGCCCTGGAATGCGCAGAGATTTTCCCATGGGAGGAATGAAGTCTTTTGCGTTACTACCCTTTAGTCTACATGAATTAGGCAAGTCTAACCCTGATTATGTGAATAAATCCATTCCAGAATATTCCGTCCTGAACTCCAAAAATAAATGGCTGTTTTTTTCCTGCCCCCAAGGGTGTTGTGAAGTATACCTGCCAATGAACTGAAAACTCTGTCCTGGAATGTGGTGGGAGGGAGGAAGAAATCCAAAGACTCTGACCTTTCTTCCCAGAATAAGCCTCATTTCTTTACCAGCCTGTGGCTTTTAGAAACCAAATCCCCTTCCACTTTAGGTTTTGTTTTGTTGTTGTGGATGTCGTTGTTGTTTGTTTTTGAAACAGGGTCTCACTCTGTTGCCCAGGCTGGAGTGCAGTGGCGCGATCACGGCTCACTGCAGCCTCAACCTCTTGGGCTCAAGGGATTCTCCTGCCTCAGCCTCCCAAACAGCTAGGATTACAGGTACACGCCACCATGCCTAGCTAATTTTCAGTTTAGGTTTTTAACTCTTCCTTTTAAAATCCAACTAGGCCTGGTGCAGTGGCTCACACATGTACAGCACTTTGGGAGGCTGAGGCAGGAGGATCACTTGAGCTCAGGAGTTTGAGACCAGCCTGGGCAACGCGGCAATACCGTCTGTACAAAAAATACCAAAAATTAATTGGGTGTGGTGGCATGTTTCTGTGGTCCCAGCTACTCAGAAGGCTGAGGTGGGAGGATTGCTTGAGCCCAGGAGGTCACGGCTGCACTGAGCCACTGTCATGCCACTGCACTCCAGCCTGGGTGACAAAGAGAGACCCTGTCTCAAAAACTAATAATAATAAAATAAAATAAAAATAAAAGTCCGGGCGCAGTGGCTCACGCCTGTAATCCCAGCACTTTGGGAGGCCGAGGCGGGTGGATCACCTGAGGTCAGGAGTTCGAGACCAGCCTGGCCAACATGGGGAAGCCCCGTCTCTACTAAAAATACAAAAAGAATTAGCTGGGTGTAGTGGCAGGTGCCTGTATTCCCAGCTATTCGGGAGGCTGAGGCAGGAGAATCGCTTGAACTCAGGAGGTGGAAGTTGCAGTGAGCAGAGATCGCGCTATTGCACTCCAGCCTGGGCAACAAGAACAAAACTCCGTCTCAAAAATAAAATAAAATAAAATAAAATAAAATTAAATTAAAAAAAATAAAGTCCAACTATAGCAGTGGGCTAAATATCTTTAGCTCCCTTAACATGGCAGAGGTCATCTCCGAGTTATTTGATCTTCATGATTCATTTCTACTCCTGCCACTCCCTAAACAGACTGCAATAGTATCATCCTCCTGTATATGTGCTCAGGTGAAAGAGATTGCTCAGCTATCTGGTTCCAACCTGATCGTTCGTTGAGCCTTGTTTATATCTCTGGCTGTAAATAGCCATTTTGTATATTCCCATATCCCCACTAGTGTGGCTTTGCCCGTAGTGTACCCCTGCAAAGGATGGTTCCTAGGCGACTGCACCTGCCAATGGGGAAAGGACTGCTCGCTTCAATCGGGACCCAGGTGCTGCTAGTGGGGTCCCCCTTAACCTCCTATTGTGGAACAAGGACTGGTGGGATGCTCAGGGGTCCTTACATTTGGACATTCAACTATTGAGAGTGAATCCTTTTCTGAGTTCTGGGCATGAAATGGGTAATTCAGAAGCTCCCCTTTCTTGCACACCAATGCTTATGATTTTTTTTTTTTTTTTTTGAGACACAGTCTCACTCTATCACCCAGGCTGGAGTGCAGTGGCGTGATCTCTGCTCACTGCAACCTCTGCCTCCTGGGTCCAAGCAGTTCTCCTACCTCAGCCTCCTGAGTAGCTGGGATTACCGGTGCATGCCACCATGCCCGGCTAATTTTTGTATTTTTAGTAGAGACGGGGTTTCACCATGTTGGTCAGGCTGGTCTCAAACTCCTGACTTCGTGATCTGCCCGCCTCGGCCTCCCGAAGTGCGGGGATTACAGGCATGTGCCACCATGCATGGCTACCAATGGTTATGATTCTAACACTCAGCACTGTGACCCCCTGTTCGACTGTTTCTGGGATGGAGACAGGGAAACCGCCTTTGTGGGTCCTCTTCCGCCATCTAAAGGGCATACAAAACTCCATTTCAAGGGACTTTCAGGAGCAGCTTTCCAGAGAATAACCCAGACCCACAAAGCCCAGGTAGACACCAGCCCTAACTGTCCTTCTGATAGAGGCTACAGGAAACTCAAAATGCCTGACAGAGATGTCAGGAGGCAGAGCGACAAGCCAGCCAGAGAGGAAGTCACCCAGAAACCAAAGGAATTGAAGTCCTCATCTCAAGTGCTTGTTTCAAAAAACAAGTGTTTCCTAATGGAGCTTGGGGCGAGTCCTGGGCAGCCACTAAGCCATGTTCTCTTGGCAGGTGTCTGGGCCGGGCCATCGGTGGCTTCTCATGAGGACAAAGAGAGCCCACGGCCATGCTCGCTCATGCACCATCTCCATTAGGCTCCTCTCTCCAGGTTTTGTAGATTCCTGAATTATCTTTGGCTGAGACATTTGATCAATCATCTGAAGTTTTAAAAAGAGCTAGGCAAAGCTTTTTTTTTCTTTCTTTCTTGGCAGAACAGTTTATCTCTTGTCTTGAATTAAGGACTCACTGAACTCCTAATTACTCAATTGGAAATAAATTTTTTTTTGCTGGGCGCAGTGTCTCACGCCTGTAATCCCAGCACTCTAGGAGGCCGAGGCGGAGGTCAGGAGTTTGAGACCAGTCTGGCCAACATAGTGAAACCCCATCTCTACTAGAAATACAAAAAATTAGCCAGGCGTGGTGGCAGTCACCTGTAATCCCAGCGACTGAGGAGGCTGAGGCAGGAGAATCGCTTGAACCTGGGAGGCAGAGGTTGCAATGAGCCGAGATCACCCCATTGCACTCCAGCCCAGGCAACAGTGTGAGACTCCATCTCAAAAAAAAAAAAGGAAAAAAAAAAGAAATTTAAACATTTTTTTTTTTTTTGAGACAGAGTCTCGCTCTGTTGCCCAACCTGGAGTGCACTGACGAAATCTTGGCTCACTACAACCTCTGCCTCCCGGGTTCAAGCGATTCTCCTGCCTCAGCCTCCTGAGTAGCTGGGATTACAGGTGCCTGCCACCATACCCAGCTTAATTTTTGTGTTTTTAGTATAGACAGGGTTTCACCATGTTGACCATACTGGTCTCGAACTCCTGACCTCAGATGATCCACCTGCCTTGACCTCCCAAAGTGCTGGGATTACAGGTGTGAGCCACCACGCTCGGCCAAAACAGTGTTTCTTTAAGATTTACTCAAAGTACATTTCTTTTCTAATTCAAACATGCCTTTATTACAGTGGCAAGAAAGCATTAACTTTACTGTAATTGTTGAAGAGTTATGTTTTTTCTTATAACAGTAAACATGCATCTTAAATATCAACTCATAAAATGTATGTTAAAATAGGCCCACCAGCTTACACAAAATAAGGTATAAATATTTGTTAAAAATTTGAACAAATGGCTGGGCGCAGTGGCTCAGGCTTGTAATCCCAGCACTTTGGGAGGCAGAGGCGGGTGGATCACCTGAGGTCAGGAGTTCGAGACCAGGCTGGCCAACATGGTGAAACCCCGTCTTTACTAAAAACACAAAAATTAGCTGGGCGTGTTGGTGGGTGCCTGTAATCCCAGCTACTCGGAAGGCTGAGGCAGGAGAATCGCTTGAACCCAGGAGGAGGAGGTTGCAGTGAGCCAAGATGGCACCGCTGCACTCCAGCCTGGGCGACAGAGCAGGACTCCGTCTCAAAAAAAAAAAAAAAAAAATTGAACAAATGGCCGGGTTCGGTGGCTCACGCCTATAATCCCAGCACTTTGGGAGGCCGAGGTGGGCGGATCATGAGGTCAAGAGATTGAAACCATCTTGGCCAACATGGTGAAATCCCATCTCTACTAAAAATACAAAAATTAGCTGGGTGTGGTGGTGCGCACCTGTAGTCCCAGCTACTCATGAGGCTGAGGCAGGAGAATTGCTTGAACCCGGGAGGCAGAGGTTGCAGTGAGCCAAGATCGTACCACTGCACTCTGGTCTGGTGACAGAGTATAACTCTGTCTAAAAAAAAAAAAAATTGAACAAATATCTAATAAAATATTAAGAAACCAAGGCTTGGTGGGCAGGTGGGGGTGTGGTGTGGTGGCTCATGCCTGTAATCCCAGTACTTTGGGAGGCTGAGGCAGGAGGATCGCTTGAGCCAGGAGTTTTTCTTCTTTTGAAACAGTCTTACTCTGTTGCCCAGGATGGAGTGCAGTGGGGCAATCCTAGCTCACTGCAACCTCTGCCTCTGAGGTTCAAGCGATTCTCATGCCTCAGCCTCCCAAGCAGCTGGGACAACAAGCGTGCACCTCCATGTCCAGCTAATTTTTTGTATTTTAGCAGAGACAGGGTTTCACCATATTGGCCACGCTGGTCTCAAACTTCCGATCTCAAGTGATCCAGCCACCTCGGCCTGCCAAAGTGCTGGGATTACAGGCTGAGCCCCCGTGCCCGGCCTCTCTTTCTTTTTTGAGACAGGGTCTCATTCTGTTGCCCAGGCTGAAGTGTGGTAGCACGATCAGGGCTCACTGCCACCCCAACATCTCCAGCTCAAGTGATAGTTCTGTCTCGGCCCCCTTGGTGGTATCTGGGACTACAGGCGCATTCCAGCACGCCTGGCTAAATTTTGTTTGAATTTTAGTAGAGACGAGTTCTCACTATGTTGGCCAGGCTGGTCTCGAATTCCTGAGCTCAAGTAATCCTCTCAGCTTAGCCTCCCAAAGTGCTGGGATTACAGACGTGAATCAGACGTGAATCATCATGCCTGCCCCTGGGCCCAGGTTTCAGACCCCTTTGTTTTTTTTTTTTTTTTTTTTTTGGAGACATTGTCTCACTCTATTGCCCAGTTGTGAGATCTCTGCTCACTGCAACCTCCGCCTCCCGGGTGTAAGTGATTCCCTGCTTCAGCCTCCCAAGTAGCTGAGACTACAAGCGCCCACCACCATGCCAGGCTAATTTTTGTATTTTTAGTAGAGATGGGGTTTTGCCATGTTGGCCAGGCTGCTCTCGAACTCCTGGCCTCAAGGGATCCGCCTGCCTCAGTCTCCCAAAGTGCTGGGATACCCAGCCCCTACAGTATTAGTCCCACATTTTAGCTGTGGACTGCCTGGGGCCGAGCTGTTTAGTTGCGGAAGAGCTGGAGCCTGGAGAGGCAGAGGCCCCAGAGCAGCAGCATCCTGGGCCTGGAGCTGGGGCTGGGCAGAGGCAGGGCACTGAGGACAAGCAGAGAGAGTGGAGCAGGCAGTCCTTCCGGATGCTTGGGTTAGGTCCGAGAGGGGAGCCAAGGTATCCCAGGTACCTGGCCAAGAGGTCAGGCCAAAATTAGAGTCACCAGATCTCAAGGATCAAACAGAAAAATGAGTATAAAGAGAGGACACCAAGCCTGGCACAGTGGCTCACACCTGTAATCGCAATGCTTTGGGAGACAAAGGTGAGAGGATAGCTTGATGCCAGGGGTCCCAGAGCAGTCTGGGCAACAAAGCAAGATGCCATCTCTACAAAAGAAAAAATTTTAAAAAATGAGAGGACACCGGCCGGGCGCGGTGACTTATGCCTGTAATCCCAGCACTGGGAGGTCAGGAGTTTGAGACCAGCCTGACCAACATGGTGAAACTCCGTCTCTACTAAAAATACAAAAATTAACTGGGCATGGTGGTGGGCACCTGTAATCCCAGCTACTCAGGAAGCTGAGGCAGGAGAATTGCTTGAACCCGGGAGGCAGAGGCTGCAGTGAGCCGAGATCACGCCACTGCACTCCAGCCTGGGCGACAGTGCGAGACTCTGTCTCAACAACAACAACAACAAAAAAAAAAAAAAAAAAGAGAGAGAGAGAGAGGACACCAAAAATGGTGCAGGTTTAAGGAGGACAGAGGGAAGAGGAGAGCTGATATGATACAAGGGGCATGCTTCACGGAATATTTTAAATTTTAGATTATGGGATCCAGGGGCAGTGTTTTGAGCCCATTTCTGAGACCATTTCTCCTGCAGCTTAGATTATAATGGGGCATCAGCTCTGCCTAAGAGGCAACGAGGACAGACCAGACAATGATGAAACAGAAACAGAAACAGGTTCCCCAGCTCTGGGGAGAAGGCTCATTCCCGCCCCCCTCATCCCCCGCACCCACCGCCGCTGCAATCTGCATCTCCGGTAAACAAGTCCCAGGGAATGTAGTAAAACTCCCGTGGTTTCCAGGAACCTTGTCACACTGCAAAAAAAAAAACCCACAAAAAACAAAAAAACAAACTCTTGGAGGCCCGCATCAGTGTCTGGGGGTGGGGCGGGGGTTCTCCTTGGAGGACTTTGGAGAGACTTGGAAATTCTGAGCACAGATAATGGAGGCTCCAGGTGCTTGGGTCACAGCCAGGAAAATCATCCAAGACGCAGCACGATGCGGGAATGGCGCGCAGCCCTGCGGAAGGCGGCCAGGCCCCACAGATCGGGGACAGGGGTAGCTGTCACCCCTCCCCTGGGGACCCGGATGCTGGGGAAAGGAGACTCTCCAGGAAACTGAACACAAGGTGGCCTACATTTGCCTGGGAAGGCCAGGAAGTCGGGGTAGGGGTGGGAGGATGGAGTGGGCTGTCCCCATGGCTACCCTCCAGGGCGGATCTGTGCACTCCAGGGCCCTCGGACACTCCCCACCTCCTGACGGTACAGGCAGCACCCTTGGAGGTCTTCTCAGGTGAGGCTGCCGCTAGTGACAAAGGACTAGTGACAAAGGACTTGTGTGGCCCCTCCTGTAAATGCCTGGGGCTATGTGCTGAGCAACAAAGCTAATAGGGCCACACCTTGGTCGCCTTCCGTCTTAACTTGTTGCTAAATTCCTTCAGTTTTCAGATCAATTAGACGCATAAATTTCTGATGACTGCCACGGGATGTTCCGCATCTCCATCCATACTGCGGAGATGCCGCTATGAGGAACAACGAGTAACCTTCAAAGGCGGCTGACCCTACTGATTAATTACAGTGAGCCCCCACAGCCTCATATCAATAACAGGGAAACGAAGTCAGTTTCTGCTGACTTTTGCTCTCGACAGGTTGAATGTTGAGTTCACGTGGACACCACAGAATCATGATATCCTACAGATTCAGCTACTTGGGGACATATTTTAAGCTAGCACTTTCTCCAAAGCCTCTCAGGAAGGCAGCAACTGCTTGTGAGCTAGCAGAGAAAGGTCTGCACAGCCTCAATCATTCATTTCACAAATGCTGAGACTCGAGGCTGCTGTGTGTCACGCTAGCTCCAAGGTTGCAAAGAGAGGACAGGCCCTATATGGAGGAAAGGATGGGGCCATGACCACGGTGCCACAGGCTGTAGGCCCCCAAGGACAGCCCTGTGCTGCATTTGTGACTGTGTCTCTTGCACCTAACAGGAGGCCCAGCATTTAGCAGATGCTCAATAAAAACAGTGACAAATGAATAATACAATGTTATGTCTTTGATAACAGTGATCTGGGAGTTCAGGGAGAAAGCAGGTAATTCTGCTTGGGAATTAAAGGCTTTGAAGAAGGAATGACAGGTCCCAGCTGGTCTTTGGAATGTAGGAGGCAATGGGCAGAGAAGGAAGGGCAGTCCAGGAGGAGGGCAACAAGCAGGAGGGTGTGATGTGGCAGGAGGTCAGACCCAAAGGAATCAGCATGAGGAGGACTCTTGAATTGCAGGTGGTCCAGCCCCTACAGACTCAATGCTCTGTTCACGGATTGTACATAGATACTGTCCACATGATAAATTCCTCTTAGAATCAGGAGCCAGTTTCCCTCTTTATTTTTTATTTTTGTAGACATGGAGGTCTCATGATGTTGCCCAGGCTGGTGTCAAACTCCTGGCCTCAAGCAATCCTCCCACCTTGGCCTCCCAAAGTGTTGGGATTACAGGCGAGAGCCACTATGGCTGTCTGGGTTCAATCTTTGAAAACATTTTCTTTTTTCAAATAGTAAAAGTATGCTGTGGTTTCTTTTTCACCTTGACTGTTGGGAGGCTCCTGAAGTGCTGGCTTCCTTATGTTTTTTGGTATCGTCTAACAGCCCCACAGAGGACTTTTTACCTAATAGGCTCTATATTGGTTCTCTGTTGCTACATAAGAATGTCACCACAAAGGTAGAGGGTTAAAACAATACGCACTTAGCTTGGTGCGGGTGCACACACCTATAGTCCCAGAGACTTAGGAGGTTGAAGCAGGAGGAACACTTGAGTCCAGGAATTCACAGCCAGACTGGGCAACATAGTAAGACCCCATCTCTACAAAAATGAAACAAACTAACAAAAACACATATTTATTATCTCACAAATTTCTTTTTTCTTTTCTGTCTTTCTTTCTTTTTTTTCTTTTTTGAGACAGAGTCTCGCTCTGTCGCCCAGGCTGGAGTGCAGGGAGGTGATCTCGGCTCACTGCAAGCTCCACCTCCCGGGTTCACACCGTTCTCCTGCCTCAGCCTCCCGAGTAGCTGGGACTACAGGCACCCGCCACCACGCCCGGCTAATTTTTTGTATTTTTAGTAGAGATGGGGTTTCACTGTGTTAGCCAGGATGGTCTCAATCTCCTGACCTCGTGATCCACCCACCTCGGCCTCCCAAAGTGCTGGGATTACAGGCGTGAGCCAACTCGCCTGGCCTTTTTTTTTTTTTTTTTTTGGAGACAGAGTCTTGCTCTGTCGCCCAGGTTGGAGTGCTGTGGCGAGATCTTGGCTCACTGCAACCTCTGCCTTCCAGGTTCCAGGTTCAAGCGATCCTCCTGCCTCAGCCTCCTGAGTAGCTGGGATTATAGGCGTGTGCCACCACACCTGGCTAATTTTTGTATTTTTAGTAGAGACGGGGTTTTACCATGTTGGTCAGGCACGTCTCGAACTCCTGACCTTGTGATCCACCTGCCTCAGCCTCCCCAAGTGCTGGGATTACAGGTGTGAGCCACCATGCCCGGCCTCACAATTTTCTTTTTCTTTTCTTTTCTTTTTTTTTTTTTTTTTTTTTTTTGAGACGGAGTCTCTCTGTCACCCAGGCTGGAGTGCAATGGTGCCATCTCGGCTCACTGCAACCTCCCCCTCCCGGGTTCAAGTGATTCTCCCACCTCAGCCTCCCAAGTAGGTGGGATTACAGGTACCTGCCATCATGCCCAGCTAATTTTTGTATTTTTGTAGAGATGAGGTTTCACCATGTTGGCCAGGCTGGTCTTGAACTCCTGACCTCAGGTGATCCGCCTGCCTCGGCCTCCCAAAGTGCTGGGATTATAGGCGTGAGCCACCGCACCCAGTCTATCTCACAATTTTCTTACAGGAGTCTGAGCATGGCTCAACTGGGTCCTCTCCAAGCCTGTGATCAAGGTGCAGGCCAGGGCTAGGGTCTCATCTGTGGCTTCACTGGGGAAGGATCTTCTTCCAAGCTCGTGTACTTGTTTGCAGAATTCAGCTACGAGCAGGTTGTTGGACTGAGGGCATCAGTTTCTTGCTCGTAAGCCAACAAGGAAGGAGGCATCCTAGCAAAACTGTCATTACAATTTCATATAACGTACACATAGTCACATCCATCCTGTCACCTTTGCCATATTCTGTTAGTTAGAAGCAAGTCACAGGCCCCACCCACACCCAATGGGGGGCGTCTCAGAAGGGCATGGAGACCAGAGGGATCATGAGCCCACCTTCATGTCGGTCAGCCACGGGTCCTCATCAGATATTAGCTGCTGGTCAATTGAAATGCTCCCTTTGGCAACTGAAGGTATCATTGTTACATGGATGTACTTGTTGTCTCCCCAAGAAGATGGTGAAGTGAGCTCTCTTCCTGCTAAGAATGTTCCCCCGAGCCTCTGCTACAGCACTGGGCACAGGCAAGTGGGTCAATAAATATGAAATGAAGAAATATTATAGGATGCACATTACTGCTGGAAGGACTTGGAGTTTTCTTCCATCAGGGTAATGATCTGACTGGCATACATTTCTCAGTTGACAGCTGTGATTTAAAAAACCCATAAAACAACTGTAACAGCCACAAAGTGGGAACTGCAGCAGACATCGCCGTTACGAATGTGACTCTTCCCAAGAAAAATGTCTCCTAAACCCCAGCACCTATTGTTTTCCTCCTACTCTACAGACGAGCTATGTATATGAACACCACTTCCTGAGTATGCCTGTGCAACACTTTACTAGCACAGTATAGGAGCACAGGCTCTGTGCCAGGCTGCCGCGGTCAACTCCCAGCTGAGCCTCTGCCTGTGTGACCTTGGACAGGTCGCTTCACTTCTTGTGCCTGTTTTCTCATCTCTAAAATGGAAGTGATAATGGTGCCCACCTCCCAGAGTGGTTATGTGGGTTAAATGAATTAACATATGTGAACAGCCTGGCAAGTAGCAAATACTAACTGTTTGCTATCACTATTGGAAGTTTAATTCCATTTTTAGAATGCGTCAAGATCAAAGCATTTCTCTTTGTTTCTGCTTTCCCGAACTCTGCCTTTAAAGGGAGGAGAAAACATTCTGACTAGAAGGAAAGTTCTGGAAAGTGTATGTTTGAGTAGGTGGGAGGTGATGAAGAGGAATAATGCTTCAGGCCAGGACTTAAGATTACACTTGTAATCCTAGCACTTTGGGAGGCCGAGGCTGGAAGATCATTCGAGCTCAGGAGTGAGACCAGCCTGGGCAACATAGTGAGACCCATCTCTATTAAAAATCCAAAAAATTAGCTGGGTGTGTTGGCACGCATCTGTAGTTCCAGCTACTAGGGAGCCTGAGGCAGGAGGATGACTTGAGCCCAGGAAGTTGAGGCTGCAGGGAGCCGTGATTGCACCACTGCACTCCAGCCTGGACAACAGAGTGCAATCTTGTCTCCAAAACAAAAATAGAATATTCTCAGCCTGAGCAAGGACATGGAGATTGAAGGGTGAGCAGTCGATATGACAGCTGAGGATGAAGGAACAGCAAATAGGATTTAGTGGTGCAATCACCTCATCTCTGAGTGACAGAACTTTTGATGTTTGCCCCCTTATGGGAGTCACAACTGGGATCAAGCACCTGCCAACGGGCTCTTTTTCTCTCCTGCTGCCCCAAGGCCGGCCCTGGTCAGGGAGGACAGGTAGAAACCATCTGACACCACTTGAATTGGCACCATTACTATTGGCACCACCGGAATTGACTAGATCTTAAACATGACTTACTCCTCTGTGCAAGGTGAGGGAAGAAGAAAGGAGATGCCAGAGTGCTATCATTTTGGGAACTGGATGGCATCCTGCTCACCCCAATATTTTTAGGTGAGTCTAAGGAGGGCCTGCTTGTCTGATCGGTCTAGTCAATATCAGTTAGCATACTAGGTGAGGAGTTGTGCACCTTGAAGGCCTCTGTTGCTATGGCGTTGAGGGGACTGATGGAGGAGGGAAGCAGGTATCTCGGTTAAAGTTCCCCTTATGGCAGGGCTGGGCCCCAGCCAGGGGCTGTGCCTCTGCTCCTGGAATCTCCCACCAATTCTACAAGGGCAAAGGGCATCTGAGTTATCCTGTGAGCAGCAGGGAACCCAGGTGTGGGATCAAGGCTTTATTTTTTTTAATTCCTTTAATTAATTAATTTTTTTTTTAGAGGGAGTTTCGCTCTTGTTGCCCAGGTTGGAGTGCAATGGCGCGATCTCGGCTCACTGCAACCTCTGCCTCCAGGGTTCAAGCGATTCTCCTGCCAAGTAGCTGGGATTACAAGCATGTGCCACCACACCCGGCTAATTTTGTATTTTTAGTAGAAACGGGGTTTCTCCATGTTGGTCAGGCTAGTCTTGAACTCCCAACCTCAGGTGATCTGCCCGCCTCGGCCTCCCAAAGTGCTGGGATTACAGGCGTGAGCCACCGCGCCTGGCCCTATTTTATTTATTTAGAGACGGAGTCTCGCACTGTCACCCAGGGTGGAGTGCAATGGCACGATCTCGGCTCACTGTAACCTCTGCCTCCCGGGTTCACGCGATTCTCCTGCCTCAGCCTCCCGAGTAGCTGGGATTACAGGCGCACACCACCACACCCGGCTAATTTTTTGCATTTTTAGTAAAGACGGGGTTTCACTATGTTGGCCAGACTGGTCTCCAACTCCTGACCTCGTGGTCCGCCCGTCTCGGCCTCCCAAAGTACTGGGATTACAGGCGTGAGCCACCGCGCCCGGCCAGGACCAAGACATTCTCATCCTGGGATGGTTGGGGATGGGGACTGGTGTGCTGCCTCTGAGAGCAAAAAAGAGGGTCGAGAGGGGAGGCGGCCGAGACACAGGGACACCTTAAAGAGCAGGCAAAGCTGATCAAGAGGACACCTGGAGGAAGGGCCCTTCCAGAGCAGCCTGCCCGTTCCCTCATGACTGGTTAGGCCAGGGAGCTGGCGCTCAAAGCTGCCGACGGGGCATTCCCTCTCACTTGGCACAGCAAGACAGCTCTGGGTCTCTGACCCTTTGCGGATCCGGGTGTCCCTCCTGCTTCGTCCTCCTCCCACCCGCACCTCCAGATCTTTCCCCACCTGAAGGCATGGCTGCCTTCTGCCGGGCTGTAGGAAGGGCGCCACCTGGGATTCCAAAAACCCCACAGAGGCAGGCACCTTTCCCCAGCCTGAAGCACCCCATGCGTATCTGGCTTCTCCTGCAGGGCAAACAGCGTTTCTTACACTTTTCCCGCCAGCATAGCCAGGCAATAGCTGGGAGGCCCCCAGGCGCGCAAAGTCGCAGCGCGCGGAGACACAAACTGAACTCAACCCGGCGCGGGCAGGATCGGTGGCGGACGCGCAGTTCCCACGGGCACGGGGGATCTGAGAGGGTCCTGGGGCTCTTGAGCTTGACCTCACTCTCAAATAATCCCCCCACAACTCCCTCACCCCGCCCTGCTCCTTTCTCCAAGGCCTCTCTTCGGTTTATCTCCACTTCCTTACTGACAGCGGGAAGGGGGTTAAGGGAGCACGTAGTCGTCCCCCAGCCGTGTCGCTTTCCGCCCCCGGTTGAGCCCACTTTCCCGTGGAGGGGGGAGGTGTTTCCGCCCGGGAGCTGCTGCGCGCGGTGATCACACGGAGGTCTCCCGGGCGCGCCGGGCCACGTGCGTGCGCGCGCGCGCGCGGGTTCCCCCTCCTTGGTGGACCAGGCCTCCCAGGGCCCCTACTGCCCCATCTGCCCCTTGGTGAAAACGTGAAGCCTTTTGCAACTGCGAAGCAGAGGAGACCTCTGTCCTTTCCAACGTACAGCCCCAGGGAAGGACTCAGGGCGCGGGCAGCGCCTTCGCGAGATGCCGAAGCGCGCGGGCCCGGTGACCGTCAACTTTGCGCACAAATGTGGGGCTGGGAGGACGCAGGTCCTGGAGGCGGGGACAGTGGACAGAGCAGCGCGTCTGGAGAGAGGGCTAGGATCCCTGAAACAGGACTCGGGGGCAGCCGGGGCAGGGGAGGCTGGGGGCGGGGAGGCGGCTCGCCAGTGCTCCAATTGAGCCCTGGAAAATCCCAGGCGCGCAGGGAGAGGCGGGCCGCTTCGCGGGCAGGCCGGGGACGGCGGGAACAAAGGCGGCCCGAGGCCGGATGCAGTCATGGAAAAACCCATCGGGGCGCCTGGGTGGGGGCGGCGCGCTCCCGGCAGACTCGCCGCCCTAGCAGGCCGGCCCGGGCGGGGCTGCTCTCGGCCCCCGCCCCGGAGCGCGCCTCGCGGAGCAGAAAAAATCCCTGGCGGGGAGGGGGCGCTGGTCTCCGGGACTGGGAACCAGAAGCTCCCACGTTCCAGATGCCGCGCACCGCGTGCTGTCGGCCGCGAGGGGCGAGCGGCCCGGGCTGGTACCCGCGGAGCACACCCGGGGCTGCACACGGCCACCTGGTTGACTAGGGGAGGCCGGCATCTCGGGGGCGCGCACAGAGCCAGGCGCGGACGCCTGTGCCGAGTTGCGTCTGGCCGCCACCGGCTCCTGCACACACATGATCACTTGCACGCACGTGCGCCCACACACGCGAGCTGCCTACAGCTCTCAGGGCAGAGGGAAGGAAACGGTTGGACAGAGGGGGCCGAAATAGATGTTCGTTAGGGCGGGTCCCTGGGGCTAGATACAGAACCTCAAGCTGGGGGCGGGGGGCCTTTGAAGAAGCTACGGTTAGGCCCGCCCCCCATTTTACAGGTGCAGGGACTGGGCCTCCCCGGCGGACGTGCCCAGGTCCCGCCCCAGGGTTAGAATTTCCCTCCGGTGAAGGACGCTGCCGGCCCAGATCCTGGTGCTGTAAACCTGGCTGGAGCCGGGGAGGCAGCACGACGGGTTTTTTCTATAGAAAAGGAAAGTGTTGGCTCAGGTTGGACCCAGTGACTCGAGGCCTTTTCCAGTTCTGACTTTTTATGAAGAAGGAACTGGGCCCAGAGGCCATAAAAGGAGTTGGTAGGAGCTGAGAGAA
Organism: Homo sapiens; assembly: GCF_000001405.40. Taxonomy (NCBI): domain Eukaryota; kingdom Metazoa; phylum Chordata; class Mammalia; order Primates; family Hominidae; genus Homo; species Homo sapiens. The sequence continues at coordinate 231,613,514 of NC_000002.12, read as the reverse complement.
AACCTTGGTGCCTGTTTTGGCCTCAACCACAGGCTCTTCCTGGTTCAAATGTCCCATTGTTTATTCGTGCTGCTGCCTACCGTGGGGTGTCGAGGAGCAAAGCCTGACCCCGCGGGGTCCCTGGGGTGGGGAAGGGATGTCAAGCAGGACAGGGCTGCAGAGGGGGCTCCCGGCTCTGCCCAGATGGGGAGGGTGTGGGATGGGTGGCTGATGGGGGTCCCTGGAAAACAATGAAGCAGGTGCCCAGGCTTCCAGAAAGTTCAGGTTGGAGAAGGGGCAGCTGGAATTGTTGCTGGAACACAGTGGGGGAATAGGTTGTGGTGTTGGCCACGACTCAGAACATAGGATCAACGGGGGGCGGGGGGGGAGACCCCGCTAGGCAACAGGGCCAAATGAGCTAGCATTTGCTTGTGGTCCCATTAGGAACTGACCTTGGAAGCAAATGACGCAGCGCTGCCTGTCCCTAGCCTCTTGATCTTACCCAACATCTTTGGGCCTCAAATTCCTCATCTGTAAAATGGGAGCAGGCACTCCTCCACAGGGCTGGTTTGGGAATTGAAAATGGGTATATGTAGGTTTCCGTCCCCCCTTCCCTTCTCCCTCCCAGTGGGGCAGGGACGAACTCCCACCTCCACTCAGCATCTCCCGCGTTTTTGCCACTTTTCAAAGTCTCTGGTGCCTGCTCCCCGGGACTCCTTCCAAGGCCTGGTTTCTCGCGAGCAGGTTGTTGGGGGGGTGGTGGGGGGTAGGTTCAGTAAGAGGAAGGCTGGGGGAGCGGCGCCCCCTGGTGGCCAGTTGCAGGAGAGCCTGGACGGGCCCTGGGGACAAGTCCAGGCTAACCTGGTTAGTGCCGGATGGCGTCTGGCACGTGAGAACCTCCCAGGGGCTGACCATGGGGCTCCACTCAGGGAGGCTTCCCTTCTGACTCACTTTCCCCGTTGAGTAAGCAGAGAGAATGCTGGTTCCCCACAGCAGCGTTTCCTCTGCCTTCTCATGGCCCAGCTTCTTTGGCCTCAACAAAGAAGGAACTGTTGAGGCCAAAGTTCCTGCCCAGGAGGAATGAAGGAACCTGTTATTTATACTGTGCCTTGCAGTTTCCAAAGCCCTTCGACGCACATTACTTGTCCTGAGGTGCGCTGCGGCGCTAGACGGAGAGAGGATCCTGGTTCAGACCAGGGCTCCAGCCCCAGGGGTTAGTTGGGATTCTGCCTCCTCCAGCTGTGTAACCAGGGTGACCTTCAAAACATTGACTAACCAGTAGGACAGGCATCGGCCAATCAGAACAGACCCTGCCACAAACACTAGGTTTAGCCAAATGCCTGTGTCCTGGCCGAAGAGTCTGGAATAACCCCCACCGCACAGGGCCTCAATTTCTCCATCTGCAGTATGGGATAGTGCCGGTACTAGCTCCACCTCATAGGGCTTTAGATAAGTTCATGCACGGAAGGGATTTGCAAACCAGGGACTGGCCCACAGATAACATCCCAGGAAGCACCAGCTTTGTTACTTGTCCTGCCTCCTCTCTGCCAGAGGTGAGTCACAGACTTAGTGACTCAGGGTGGCTGCCACTTTTGAGGGAGTCTCCCCAACTGAGTCCTCTGTGTGCAGCTGAGCTCACCTCCTGCTCCCTCAGGACCTCCTTCTTGGGAGCAGCCTCACCTATCCTGAGGCATCCATAAACCCCTGTGGCTGAAAGTTTTCTCTCTGACTCTGGTCCTGATCCTCCCCATGCCTCAGACCTCCCCTCTCTGCTGTCCCCTGAAGCCCCCCTCTCCACCCCACCCCAGCCAGACACTTCCCACAGCACGTCTCTCCCAGAGCCTGCCTGCCCTCAGCCCACCTCCTAGCCTAGAAGCCCAGAGCCATCCTGCCCCAGCCTCTCTCTGCCCCAGGGCAGCTGCTTCCCCCTCTCTGAGCTCCAAGGCACCTCTCAATGTCTTGCCCCTATTACACCAACCTCCCATCTGCCCGCAGCCTCTGGCCATGCCCCTGTCCTTGTCTCTGGTGCACCCGCTGGATTTATCTCCCTAAAACACAGGCTGCAGTACTCCCCGTCTCAAAAGCCTTCAGTGCCCCCTCCTGGCCTTCCCAATCCAGCCCGCACTTTATTCGTCATCACAGTTACCATTTACTGAGCGCTCCCCACCTTTCTCCTGTACCAAGCGTTTTATATGTGTTATCTCATTTAATCTTCCTGCCCCCCCAACAGCTGGCACATCTATTATTATCCCCACTTTGTAGAGGCTCAGAGAGTTAAGTATGATAACTTGCCCAAGGTCACTCAGCTAGGGGGAGGCAGAGCCAGAATTCAGCCTCACACCACCTAACTCCCCAGTCTTGTTTGGCCATCTGAGGGGCTGCTCTCTGAGAGAGCTTTCTCCTGCCTTTTTTTTTTTTTTTTTTTGAGACTGAGTCTTGCCCTGTCTCCCAGGCTGGAGTGCAGTGGTGCAATTTCAGCTCACTGCAAGCTCCGCCTCCCGGGTTCAATCAATTCTTCTGCTTCAGCCTCCCCAGTAGCTGGGATTACAGGTGCCTGCCACCATGCCCAGCTAATTTTTGTATTTTAGTAGAGACTGGGTTTCACCATGTTGGCCAGGCTGGTCTCCAACTCCTGACCTCAGGTGATCCACCCGCTTCGGCCTCCCAAAGTGTTGGGATTACAGGCGTGAGCCACTGCAACTGGTGTCTCCTGCCTTTCTGGGAATTTCTACCTCCTCATTTTGCTGGCCCCTGGGGCTGGCTGCTTCAGACCACTGGCCCTCCACCCTCACACTTGCCTCCTCCTTCCCAGCCTTGTCTTAGCCTGGAATGTACCTTCTCTTACCTCCAATCAAAATCTTCTTCCATCCCAGCTGGGCTTAAGGGCTGCCTCTCTTTTAACCCCTGCCCACTTCCTGCTGTCTGTTACGGGTTTTTCGGAGGCCCTTGAGTTATTCTGCCCTCTAGAAGTGCTTCTTAAACTTTACCATTCATTAGGATTTCTTGGGGATCTTGTTAAATGGCAGATTCTGATTTAGTAGGCCTGGGTGGGGCCTAGGATTCTCCATTTCCTACAAGCTCCCAGCTGGTGCGGATACTGGTCTGAGGACCACACTTTGAGAAGCAAAACCAGAAGATCAGGCCTAGCAAGGTGGGTCACGCCTGTAATCTCAGCGCTTTGGGAGGCTGAGGTGGGCAGATCACTTGAGGTCAGGAGTTCCAGACCAGCCTGGCCAACATGGTGAAGGCCTGTCTCTACTAAACATACAAAAAACTTAGCCCAGCATGGTGGCGGGCACCTGTAGCCCCAGCTACTCGGGAGGCTGAGGCAGGAGAATCACTTGAACTCGGGACGAAGAGGTTGTAGTGAGCCGAGGTTGTGCTACTGCACTCAAGCCTGGACAACATTCTGTGTAAAAACAAAACAAAACAAAACAAACCCAGAAGATCATAGCTAAAACAGAAGCATCAACTCATCAAATGTTCATTGAATACCTACTCAGAGCAAGGCAGTTGGGGATCCAAACAAGTCCAAGTGCTGGACTCCAGCTCCTAAACAGCAGACAGGATATTGCACAAATGCAGGTTAAAGCTAATGTTCAGCCACGTGCAGTGGTGCGTACCTGTAGTCCCAGCTACTCGGGAGGCTGAGGTGGGAGAATCATCTGAACCCAGGAGTTTGAGTCCAGCCTGGGCAACATGAGACCCAATCTCTAAAAACATCCCCAAAACAAAAAAAAACTAATGGGAAAAAAAACAAAACAAAACCCAAAACCTTACACCCATTCCATAGAACACTTCCAGAAATACTTCCAGAAATGCTCATGTGCCGAACAGCAGGTATTTCATGTGATGAATTCATTTTCTGTCTGACCGCCAGTGATGGCTTGAAACAGGTAAAGATTCCATGCTGGGCGCGGTGGCTCACACCTGTAATCCCAGCACTTTGGGAGGCCGAGGCGGGTGGATCACCTGAGGTTGAGAGTTTGAGACCAGCCTGACCAACATGGAGAAAACCCATCTCTACTAAAAATACAAATTAGCCGGGCATGGTGGCGTATGCCTGTAATCCCAGCTACTCGGGAGGCTGAGGCAGGAGAATCGCTTGAATCAGGAGGCGGAGGTTGCAGTGAGCTGAGGTTGTGCCATTGCACTCCAGCCTGGGCAACAAGTACGAAACTCTGTCTCAAAAAGAAAAAAAAAAAAAAAGATTCCATGACTGCCCTGCTTAGAACCATCTGACGCTCCCACCTCACTGACAATAAAAGCTAGATTCTTCTAGATTCTTCCTCAAGGCCCTGCATCCTCTGGTCCTGCTTCTTTTTTTCTTTTTTTCTTTTTTTTGAGACAGTCTCACTGTGTCACCCAGGGGCATGATCTCGGACCACTCTAACTTCTGCCTTCCAGGTTCAAGTGATTCTCATGACTCAGCCTCCCAAGTAGCTGGGACTACAGGCACACGCCACCATGCCTGGCTAAATTTTTTTTTTGTATTTTTAGTAGAGATGAGGTTTCACCATGTTGGCCAGGCTAGTCTCAAACTCCTGACCTCAAGTGATCTGCCCTCCTTGGCTTCCCAAAGTGCTGGGATTACAAGCATGAGGCAACCTCCCCGGCCCTCTGGTCCTACATCTCACCTCATCTCCCGTCATCAGCTTCACTTTTGTTCCCTTGAATCCAACACCTCAATTTCCTTCCCATCCAAGAGCCTTTGAACTTGCCTGGTTAATGTTCATCTTTCAACTTATCGAGGAACTGGCCTCTGATTCAGACGTGGCTCCTCAGAGAGACCCTTCTTGACCCAGAGGAAGTTTGTTCTAAAGCAGGTGCCCCCAGCCACAATCAGATTCTCTGTTGTATCATTCTGTGGTATGATGTTTAACGTCATCACATTAAATTTTTGGTTGCTTTTTGCCTGCTCATCTGCAGGCCTGAGCTCCATGAGGGCAGGGGTGTCTGCTTCATTTTGCTTTACCGTCAGCACCCAGAACAGCATCTGGTGCATAGTAGGCCTTCAGTGAGGATCTGCTGAATGGATGACTGTTACAGGGCATTTGAAGAGGTGGGAGGCGCCCACAGGTGCCCCAGGTAGGAGAGACGTGGCTTCGTGGAGGCAGGTCAGCTTTCCTAGAAAGCCAGCTCTGAGAGGGAGACTGCCAGGCAGGAGGTTCATCAGGGAGTGCTCCTGGGGTCAGCATCTCCGGGGGAAGGCACAGGAGGGGCAGAGGGAGAACTTGGAAGGCCCTGCTGACCCCAAGGGGAGCTCTGGAGCAGGGATGGTCTTGTATTACTCTTTATTATTATTATTATTATTATTTTTTAATTTGAGACAGTGTCTCACTCTGTCACCCAGGCTGGAGTGCAGTGGCACAGTCTCGGCTCACTACAACCTCTGCCTCCTGGGTTCAAGCAATTCTCCTGCCTCAGCCTCCCAAGTAGCTGGGATTACAGGCACACACCACCACGCCCAGCTAATTTTTGTATTTTTAGTAGAGATGGGGTTTCACCATGTTGGCCAGGCTGGTCTCAAACTCCTGACCTCAGGTGACCCACCCGCCTCGGCCTCCCAAAGTGCTGGGATTACAGGCGTGAGCCACTGCGCCCGGTGGGTCTTGTATTATTGTCCTGAGTTGAGGCAAGAGGGCTGGATCTTTCCACCTGCCTTGTCACTCATCAGGATGCCACTGCTCGCCAGTCATTGAGTGAACCCAAGAAAGGGAGATGTGGGCTTTTGAGAGGCATTTCTTCCAGTTGAGGCCATCTCTGGAGGGATCTGACAGCGGAGGGCCATATTGTCTGAGGCCAGCAGCCCTGCAGTTCTGTGGGGCATCGGGCATCCCAGCAAGCTGCCCCCCACGTGGCACTCAGACTGGAGGGCAGGATTCAGACAAGCTGGAAGAGAGCATAGGGCATGCAGGGACCCCAGCAGAGACTGGAAGGGGAGTGGACATGGCCTGACTCCAGGGTGGGGACAAACCCAGGTGGGCCAAGGCAGAAGTTCCCTCCTCTGGCTCTCCGAGGGCAGAGTGAGACAAATCATGGGCATGATGTGGACTCTAGGAGGCCACAAACATGCCCTTGACTTTTGTTCTTATATATTGTTTTAATGTTGATCAGTGTCAGATTCTCATCTGTCAGCTGGTACATTTCACCTTAGGTAGACAGCCCTGCTACATTTTCTTCAAGAGCAAGTGTTCTTCAGCTGAAAATAGGCAGGCAAACTTCCAGTGCTGGCAGGATTGAGCATTTCTGGAAGCGTTTCTGGAAGTGTTCTGTGGTCTTGGTCTTTGATGGGAAAGTACTGGGCAGCGTCCCCTAATATCTAGTGGACCTCTCTGAAGACGCCCTGGACGTCCAGCCTGTGTGGAGTGGGCGGGTCAGAGAAATCCCAGGAACTGGCCAGCAGATGGACCTTGAGCAAGGGAAGAGGTGCACGGTGCCCAGGAAAGAGCCTGGCTTGGTGTCCTGGACTTGCCATCCTGGCCAGCTTCATGAGCATATGACCTGTGCAGTCACATGGGTCCCATCCTTAGTTTGATGGTCTTCTGACATTGTCTTGAAATCCTTCATAATTTTTTTTTTTTTTTTGAGACAGAGTCTCACTCTGTCGCCCAGGCTGGAGTGCAGTAGCATGATGTTGGCTCACTGCAACCTCTGCGTCTAGGGTTAAAGCGATTCTCCTGCCTCAGCCTTCCAAGTAGCTGGTATTACAGGCATGCACCACCATGCTTGGCTAATTTTTGTATTTTTAGTAGAGACTGGATTTCACCATGTTGGCCAGGCTAGTCTCGAACTCCTGACCTCAGGTGATCCACCCACCCCGGCCTCCCAAAGTGCTGGGATTACAGGCATAAGCCACCATGCCCAGCCTCTTCATAATTTTTTTTTTCTTTTCTTTTTTTGACAGAGTCTCCTTCTGTCGCCCAAGCTGGAGTGCAGTGGCACAATCTCAACTCACTGCAACTTCTGCCACCTGGGTTCAAGCAATTCTCCCTGCCTCAGCCTCCCAAGTAGCTGGGATTACAGGCACCAGCCACCATGCCCGGCTAATTTTTGTATTTTTAGTAGAGACAGGGTTTCGACACATTGGCCAGGCTGGTCTTGAACGCCAGGACTCAAGTGATCTGCCTGCCTCGGCCTCCCAAAGTGCTGGGATTACAGATGTGAGCCATTGTGCCTGGCCTCTTCATAATTTCTTAACAAAGGGTCTCAAATTTTCAATTTGCACTGGGCTCCACAAATTACGTAGCTGGGCCTGCTCAGCAGCTCTGGTTCCTGGGCCCAGGACTGTTTTCTGAGGGATTGTCTGGGAGAGACTGGGGAACCTAGGTGGGACGTGGGCTCGGGTGCATCCTTGGACAAGTCCTGTAGTCCCTGCGCATCAATGTCCTTGTGCATGAAACAGGGATCATGGTGCCTGCTCCACCCAGACAGGAGAGGACATAGATCTGAGGCTTTTCCCAACTGCAGTAGGCGCCCTGGTGGTGGAGAGTCTGCAGATCTGGCAGTGGAGAGTCCCTGCCCTGGAAGCCAGGCTGGAGCTGCTTTTTCAGAGATGCCAGATGCCTCTCGCACTCAGACCCCCTGGTCAGGCTGTCAGAAGGCAGTCACTGACTGTTGAGGAGAGACGCTGCTATTCACAGGGATGGGCAGATGCCTCCCTGGGCCAGACGGACAAAGCATGCCCAGGCTCCTGGGTAGTCAGTTGGTTTGGATGTCAGTGCTTGGCCTGTTGGGCTGGGGGAGGTGGTGGCTCCCTGGAGACAGATCGTGAAGGGCCTGGATGTCACCCTGTAGTGACAGAGTGCTACTGGGGGAGGAGCCTGGGAGAAGCCTGGGTTGGTGGCATCACTGGGTCTGAGACCCAGTCACAGCGCCCCACGTCTTGAGCCACTGCCACTGGCAGGCCTGGACCAGCTCTCAGGCCCAAATTTAGGTCCCTGCTTTATCTTAGCACAGCTGATGGCCCTTCTGCTCCTGTAGCATCTTGTTTCTCTTACACCCCAGGTTGGAACCTCATCCTCTCTCCTCTACGGCTGATGCCGCCTGCCTCAGTTTACCCATGTATTGTCACTTTCACTCGTGCATTCACCCTCAGTCGACAGGGCTGGGGCCTGTTTCCCACACCGTCCCTCCATCGTTTTGGAACAAGTGTCCATGCATTTTATTCTAGCATTGCGGCCCAGAGGTTACGTAGCCCATCAGCTCACAGGGCTTCGGGAACAGGTGTCCAGGCGCTCGATGTCAGGGGTTCTGGGTGCTGGAGGCGCCTGGCAGCTCCCAAGGATCGGTGCTTGTCCTCAGTCCCATGAGAAGGCCATGCTGAGCGCCTACTGTGTGCTGAGGGCGGCGCTGTGGGCCGGGCTGCCGCACACAGAGGCCCCTTTCTTCAGGGAGTTTACTCAGGAGCACGTTTATAAATAGGACAAAGCCCGGCGGGCCAGGGGCCTCCCAGGCAGAAGTGGGGAGAAGGCCGGGCGTCCTCCTGGAGGGTGCCGCCCCGCCCCGCCCGGGCCCGCAGCCTTCCGGGGCTGAAAGGGCCTCTGTGTCCCGGCCCCCGCCTGCCCCGGGCCAGGAGCGCATTTCCTCAGCTGCGCCAGACCCTGGAGGCTCCGCAGCCCCTCTGGGGACAGACACAAATAGTTCCCGGCCCAGCTGCCCGGCCAGTTGCCTTGGGAACCAAACTCAATTGTCTGACGTCACTGGGCCGTCGCGCAGCAACCGGCTCAGCCTCTCCCTCCCCGCCCAGGCGTTGAGGTCACGGTCGCCATGGAGACGGCGGGGCCGGGCCTGCTGGGCCGGGCCTGCTGGGCCGGGCCTGCTGGGCCGGGCCTGCTGGGCCGGGCCGGGCTGGGGCTGGGGGTGCTCGGCCGGTCTTGCAGGCCCCGTCGGCCACCCGCGCCCTTGGTCCCGCCTCGGAGCCTCGGCCCCAGCTCCGGCCCCGACACGGGAGCTGCTCTTCCCTCGCGGAAGCGGTGCCGCCTGGCCCGCGGCAGCGCAGACGCCCTGCCTTGCCCTCAGGCTGGCCGGGCCGCCTGTGGCCGGAGAAAGCCCCATTGTGGCCTGAGTGCGCCCCGCAGCCAGTCGGGATTTCTCTCGCAGAGAGAGGCCTTTGTTCGCCTCACCCCATCTGACTGCCCCGTGCTCTGTCCCAGCCTCATTTGCTCCCCAAGCCCCAACCTGGGTTCCTGCTCTGGCAACAAGGAGCAGGTGGCAGCAAGGGGCGTTTTCGCGCCCCTCCCCCTAATCACCCAGGAAATCTCTGAGCTTGGCCACCTGCCCTGGGGGAGGAGACGCGAGGCCTGCGCACCCCACTCTGCTTCATCCCTGGTTGCTCTCCCCACTCCTGTGGCCCCTCCGCCGGCGTTTGTGCTGTGTGACATCCCTCTCCTCCACCGCTGCCTGGGGTTGGGGGCAGTCGGGGCAGTCAGGCCAGGCCAGGCCACCCCTGGGTGAAGAGGGCATTGGGGCCAGAAGGGTCTGCACTGACCACCTCCAAGTTTCTGTTCTTAGGCTGTTCCCGCCGCAGCAGAATATAAAGTGCTGAAGCCAGAACCCAGACTGGGACGCAAGGCCCAGAACCTGCGCAGGGGCCACCGGCAATCGGCCACCATGCCCCTGCCCTGCTGTGCCTCGACTTACCCATCTGCTGCTGGGGTAATCCTAACCATCTCTTACTGAGGGACCCTGAGTGCCTTGTTCAAGTTCAGTGTGGTGAGCCCATTGGTGGGAGGTGTTTTTCCTCCCCAAAGACTGTATTTTGAAAAGTACTAATAAAATACAGGAGGTGAGTAGCCAAGGCAGAATTTTAGGTGAATTCTATTTCCTCATTGTTTGACATTTAAAATTTAGAGATGCAAAGGAATATATTTGAATCCATGGGGTTGGGGGGATGAGTACAGAAAGATCTGAGTGCCTTGCTCTTTCCAAAGCACGTGTTTAAAGGAAGGTTCTGGTTGTGTGCAGGGCATTCACAGGCAAGTTTGTGTGTTGTGGGAGGCATACCCCGGGTCCCAGAACCTAGGTGTGGGCTCTGTGTGGCATTAGGCAAACATCGGACCCCATCTGGAGTCCTGGCCTATTTTTGTGGGAAAGGCAACTTTTATCTGCTGGGGAACCTTCAGATATAGGAGGGATGGGGGTTAGGACAGTGTCCCTTGCAGTGGGGGACTTAGGGGAGCCACAAGGGACAGGCTGCTTTGGGCCCCTCCTTCCCCTTTCTGGGAGCAGCCTGCTCTGACAGGATCCAGGCTGGGCCAACCAGGGTCCTTCCCCCTAGGATTGATCAGATCCAACAGGGGAAACCGAGACTTTTCCTCTCTGGTTTATCAAGGAGCAGCCTGTGGGCCTGGAGTCTCCAGGAGCCACGGTCCCTGCAAGGAGCAGAAGCCTGGCGGAGAGAAAGAACCTCCATGGGAGGTGGAGGACAAGTGATGGGGACAGAGTACTGGCAGCAGGGAGTTCCTATTCAGCATCCTCATAGCCAGTTCCTCTTAGCCCTTCCTTACCTCGCCCGTTAATCCGGTTTGTGCCTAAGCTACTACATGCTGGGTTTCTGTCACTTTCAATTAAGAGGCTCCTCACCAATACACAGATCATGTGGAAAATCCCAGTAAAGGAAAACTGACATTTGTCAGATGCCCACTGTTAAATGCTGTTTTTGAAAAATATGCATTATTGCCGGGAACAGTGGCTCACGCCTGTAATCCCAACACTTTGGGAGGCTGAGGCAGGTGGATCACCTGAGGTCAGGAGTTCAAGACCAGCCTGGCCAACATGGTGAAACTCCATCTCTACAAAAACACAAAAATTAGCTGGGCATGATGGCCGGTTCCTGTAATCCCAGCTACTCGGGAGGCTGAGGTGGGAGAATTGCTTGAACCTGGGAGGTGGAGGTTGCAGTGAGCTGAGATGGCACTATTGCATTCCAGCCTGGGCGACAGAGTGAGACTCTGTCTCAAAAAAAAAAAAAAAAAAAAAGCATTATTGACCACAGCATCTCTGTGAGGCAAATGGAAGAACCACTTTGCAGATGAGGAAACACTTTTTTGTGTTTGGAGACACTAAGGGCCACAGTGTCCACTTGTGCAGGACTCCACAGGGTGGGCCAGCCTGCTTCTAGGCACGGAGTCAGTGGGCCTTGCCTGTCCTGAGACCCCTCAGCCAGACTCTACCCATGAAGACCTTTGCTCTGTGTCTGGGTCCTTCCTGGAGGACTCTGGGCCTTCTGTGGTCTGAGTCTTGGAGCACTGTTATATTGCCGTGCTGTTCAGCTCTGGCAGTCACTCCAGTTGGAGGGTCTATGCCCCTCTGTCCTTGTGCCCTTTTTTCCGCTTTCTTTAAAAAATGTTTAAAAATTATTTTTTATTTTATTGTTATTTTTATTATTATTATTTTGAGACAGGGTCTCACTCTGTCACCCAGGCTGGAGTACAGTTACGTGTTCATTGCTCACTATAGCCTCAGCCTCTTGGGCTCAAGTGATCCTCCCCCTCAGCCTCTTGAGTAGCTGGGATTACAGGCATGTGCTGCCACACCTGGCTATTTTTTTTTTTTTAAATTTTGTAGAGATGGTGTCTCGCTATGTTGTGCAGTCTGGTCTCGAACTCCTGGGCTCAAGTGATCTTCCCACCTTGGCCTCAAAGTGCTGAGATTACAGGTTGAGCCACCGCGCCCTTGGGCCACCCTAGTATGGGCCGGTGGTGCCTTCCCTCCAGCAGAGGGCGCAGTCTGTGTCCTTAGAGACTCTGGAAGCTCAAGATCAAGTCAGTCTAGGAAATAGGGCTACCTCTTAGCCTGGGGAGGTCTTTCGTTTAAATAGTTAAATACGTACTTAAGTACTTCGTTTACCTCTACACTTTATCACATCCTCCTTGGGGGACTGTCCTATGTGTGAACTTTGTTTTGGAGACACTCTTTTCCCTGATAGAAGCTATACCTCACCCAGCCAAACCTATAACCTAGACTACAGTGGCATAGGAATTTTAACCAATTAGCCACGGGCCCACAGACTAAACAGAAATATTTTCCTACACTCCTGCCAGCAGAGGTGTGTTGACAAGATTTAAAAAAAAAAAAATTATCCTTACAAAGCAAGTACAAACACTGACAAAGATTTGGTTTCTTTACCATTCTCAAAGTTGCCTTAAATTTTTAACTTTAAAAAAAGAGAGACATTAGAAAAAAATCTTTGATGTTTTTCTATGTTTTGAATCCCTCCCACCACAACACATCTCAGATGGGAGAAATTAGCAGCCTATGGTGATATCTTGGGTTCCCCAGAACGCAGGCCCTGAGCCAGGGTTTGGTACACGGGATGTTTATTTGGGATCACGCCCTGTGAAGAGGAGCAGAATGAAGACAGAGTTGGAGAGGGAGAGGTCGAGCCTGTAGTGCAGGCTCAACGACAGCCCCAGCCAGCCCCGCGGGAGCTCTGGAGCTGCGGTTATCCCAAGCTGGGTCAGGATGGTCAGACCTCAGACCCCTGCACAGACCATTGTGGGGATTGGGCCACCTGGGACCTCACCACCTTGGGTGAGATGCTCTCTGCAGGAGCTGAGGCTGAAGGCTATCCAACAACAGTGCTCCCAGCGGCTGGAGGAGCAAGGCCTTCTTTGAGGGGGTCAGGACAGTCCAACCTTGGGGTGGAGGCCGGCTAGGCTGGGTGTCCCTTCTGATGTCTGCCAGGACTTGTTGGTGCCCTCCCCTTAGCCCATCCCCTGCTGTGCTCAGGCGTTAGGACACTGTGCCTGCCCTGCTGGCTCCTGGTCCAGCCTCCATGCCTATTGGCTGGTGCAGACCTCAGCTTACTTGGCCAATGTCTCCTGGCAGAACACACCAAAAAGATGGCTGTTGATCCTAGAGAAATGCTGATTGTTTTCAAACATTAACCCTAACATATATAAACAAGAAGTCACTGAGAACCAGGCTCCCTGATTTGTTGAGTGAGGAAATGCAAGGCTTTGTAGGGCTGAATTTATAGCTTTGTCATACCTCACTTCTCAACACAGAAGAGACCCTACACACAGCCATCTTTTTATTCTATTGCTCATTCTTTATCCCCTCCTTCTGTCTCTATTAACTGCTTGTCCTCAACAGTTAATAGTGCTCCCCGCTTATTCAGTTTTCATCCATTGCATGCAGTGGACCACATGGGGCCTTTGCAGGGGAGGGAAAAGTATTCCCTACCCTCTTAGGTTCAGTAGCTGGGCCTGCAAAATAATTGGACAAATGACAGATTAACAGGAGAAAAGGGCTGGGTGTGGTGGTGGCTCACGCCTGGAATCCCAGCATTTTGGGAGGCCAAGGCAGGCCAATCACTTGAGGTCAGGAGTTCAAGACCAGCCTGCCGGACGTGGTGAAACTCCGTCTCTACTAAAAATACAAAAATTAGCCAGATATAGTGGTACATGCCTGTAATCCCAGCTACTTGGGAGGGTGAGGCAGGAGACTTGCTTGAACCTGGAAGGTGGAGGTTGCAGTGAGCTGAGATTGTGCTATTGCACTCCAGCCTGGACAACAGAGTGAGACTCTCTCTCAAAACAACAAAAACAAAAACAAACAAAAAAAGACAGATAAAAGACATACACATTTTATTTCATGTTAAAAGTTTTGTTTTTTTTGTTTTTCAAATCGGGTGGACCCCTAAACCAGAATAGGTTCAGCGTGACTCCCTAATGTTAAAAGTGTTACCTGGCATGGGGGAGGTGGTGGTGCTTCATAGAAGAGAAACCCCACAAAGCAGACTTGGTGGCTTTATACCATACTAACAAAGGATGATAAATTTGTGGAGAAGTGACAAGGCAAAGGAAAGTGGCTTCTGAATGTTTTAGGGGTAGTAAGCTGTGGGAAGGTAAACATATGGGGGACACTATGGTAGATAGGGCTATTTAGTAAGGCTTGTCTGTGTAGATGCTTCTCAGTGCCATCTCTCTCTCCAGTGATAAGGCCGTTCTCCCCTTCCTGGTATGGACAAGGTGAGGGGGCTTCACAAGGAAATGTACACCCTGTTTTTCAGGCAGAAAGGGAAAGGGCAGAAAGCTCATCCTGTCTGCTTTTTCTCAATTGCCTTCAGCTCAAATCATCCTTATGCCAAAGTGGCATATTTTGGGGGTGGTCCCCTATGCCTTCAAGCCCAGGTCCCCATAATGGGCCAGATCACCCCCACTTGCCGACTGCTCCTGTGTTTTGTTTTAGGAACTGCTTCCTCTTCTTCTCTTGCCTGTGGGATGGGACCTTTCCCCAAGCTCCTGTCTCTGGGCTTTTGCTTTCTCACTCTACAATGTCTTCCTCAGCCATCCATCCTGAGCTGGAGTGTACCCTTTCTTTCTGTATTGGACACCCCGGCCCTGAGCATGCAGCTCTGACTGCCTCCCCAGTTATGATATAGTACTTGGATCCCTGGGGGTCCCCATGTGTTGCCAGGTGGGTTTGCCAACACAACTGTTTACCCCACAGCAAGGAGGGAAGGATCAAGAAGAGCTAGCAGGGAGGGTCCGTCCAGCAGACACTGGACTGAGTGGGTTTCAAGGCAGCACAGAGTGAGTTGGCCAGTGGTGGGGCCCTGGAGACAAAGCAACCAATGTGGCGTGGCTGTCACAGCCCCCTGGGGGACCGGGAACTTGTCCCTGCAGAATGCAATGCAAGGCAGAGTTGTGTGGTTCCAGTGGGACTTCATAACTTTTCCCTGTTCTAGGCATGAGCTCTGTCCTTGTTGAGTAGCAGTGACTTCTAGGTGTTAATACTAGCCCCTCATAAACACTTTGATGGGAGAAAGTGTGCTAGCTTGCCACTTTTCTTTTTCTTTTGAGATGGAGTTTCGCTCTTGTTGTCCAGGCTGGAGTGCAGTGGCGCGATCTTGGCTCACTGCAACTTCCGCCTCCTGGGTTCAAGCGATTCTCCTGCCTCAGCCTCCTGAGTGGCTGGGATTACAGGTTCCCACCACCACACCCAGCTAATTTTTTGTATTTTTAGTAGAGACAGGGTTTCACCATGTTGGCCAGGCTGGTCTCAAACTCCTGACCTCAGGTGATCCACCCACCTCGGCCTCCCAGAGTGCTGGGATTACAGCACCGCACCTGGCTGAAACTCAATATTTCTAAAAGCAAACATGCCTGGGACAGTGGCTCACGCCTGTAACCCAGCACTTTGGGAGGCCAAGGCAGGAGGATTGCTTGACTCCAGGAGTTTGAGACCAGCCTGGGCAACATAGTGAGAAAAAACTATACAAACAAAAACAAAATAAAACAAAACAAACAAACAAAAAAAAACACCAAAAGCAAACAAAAAAAACAAACACATGATCCAGTCCTTTCCCACCAGCCTCCACTAACCCTTTCCTCATGTCCCACCACCTGTCAGGGACACCTCAAGTCTCCTAACTGCCCAGGCCCAAATCACCCAGGAATCATGTTTTCCTGGCCCCTCAATCCAGCTGGTCACCTGCAATGTCTCCTTTCCCTTTGCTTTGCCACCCCTCCCTGCCAGCCTGAGTTCCATAGGTCTGGACCATCTCCTCATAGAGCAGCCCCCACCCCCATCACCCTCCTGCACGAAGGTGGCACCATCACCACACTGCCAGGCCTTTGCCCTTCTCTCTCCAACAGCAAAGACCCAGCTCAGGTAATTGCCAATGTGCAGCTGCTGCACCCCCATGTTTACTCCCCTTGGAATGAAGTCATGAATGCGCTGGCACACAGCTGCGCAGGCCCGTCTGCAGTAGTCATCAGGCCCACATAGCACTCGACTACGTGCCACGCACTGTTCTAGGCACTTGACACATTAACTCATTTAATCCTCACAACAGTCTTATGCAGAGGTACTATTATCACTTTGTAGATGAGAAAACAGCACGGGAAGATGAAGGTGACACAGTTTGTGGGAGGGAGTCAGGATTCAAGACAGCTGGACCCAAAGGACACACTTGCTACCACTCTGCTGGTGGTGGGCCCAGCATCCCTTCCCCTAGGAAGGCCCCAATTCTGGTCTGACCCTGGCCCCAGGCCCGGTGATGAGGGATTTCATTCCCGTGGCCTCAGTGATTGGTTCAGGGGAGGGCACAGGCACCAAGCCAGGCCTGGCGGCGTCCTCCCCCAACTCTCTTGCCAGAGCCAGTGGGAACAAGCTTCTCTTTTCTCGGAAGGTGACTGAGCTGCCTGAGCACGGAGGGGGCCAGCCCCGGGGAGCCGAGCCGGAACGGCAGAGCCCTGAGGACCAGGGTGAGCCCTGGCCCTGGCCTGGCCTGGCCCACACCCGGCCGTTGTGCTGGTTGACTCATCTCTTTGCTTAATCTGGTTTGAGTTAGGTTTCTGTTCCTTCTGATGGCTGGTTCACCCTTGTGATGGCTGGTTCACCCTTGTGGTCTCAGTGTCTAGCAGTGCCGGGCACATAGTGGATGTTTAAAAAGTATTTGTTGAGGTCAGGTGCGGTAGCTCACGCCTGTAATCCCCGCATTTTGGGAGACTGAGGAGGGCGGATTACCTGAGGTCAGGAGTTCGAGACCAGTGTGGCCAACATGGTGAAACCCCAACTGTACTAAAAATACAAAAATTAGCTGGGCGTGGTGGTACGTGCCTGTAATCCCAGCTACTCAGGAGGCTGAGACAGGTGAATCGCTTGAACCCAGGAGGCGGAGGTTGCAGTGAGACGAGATTGCGCCACTGCACTCCAGCCTGGCGACAGAGCAAGACTCCATCTAAAAAAAAAAAAAAAAGAAAAGAAAAAAAATTTATTGAAAGCATGAGTGAGGCTGGGTGCGGTGGTTCATGCCTGTAATCCCAGTTCTTTGGGAGTCTGAGGCGGGCAGATCACCTGAGGTCTGGGGTTTGAGACCAGCCTGGCCAACATGGCAAAACCCTGTCTCTCCTAAAAATACAAAAATTAGCCAGGCATGGTGGTGCATGCCTGTAATCCCAGCTACTCGGGAGGCTGAGGCAGGAGAATCACTTGAACCCAGGAGGCGGGGGTTGCAGTGAGCAGAGATCGCGCCATTGCACTCCAGTCTGGGCGACAGAGTGAGAATCCGTCTCAAAAAAAAAAAAAAGCATGAATGAGCACATTTTGAGGTCACCCTGGCAGCTTGATCGCCCTCTGCAGTGGGCCCCAGCTGCTCGATAGCCACCCCCCAGCACCCTCACCATGCCTGCCTTGGCTTTTGTTCTTATTGCCTCTGTCTGGGAGGCATCCTCCTTCTCTCTTTTAGGGACTGGCTTAATTGCTTCTCTGAGAATCCCCTGATTACTGGGATCTAAGTCCGCAATCTCACACCTCTGAATTAATTGCTTTCATGACGTGGGGACAGTTCCCGTTGTACCTACAGAAAGTGGCAGCTCCTGGGCTGGGCAAGGTGGCTCATGCCTGTAATTCCAGCACTTTGAGAGACCGAGGCGGGCAGATCACCTGAGGTCACGAGTTCAAGACGGGAAACCCGTCTCTACTAAAAAATACAAAAAATTAGCCGAGTGTAGTAGTGGGCACCTGTAATCCCAGTACTCAGGAGGCTGAGGCAGAAGAATTGCTTGAACCTGGGAGATGTAGGTTGCAGTGAGCCGAGATGGCGTCCCACTGCACTCCAGCCTGGGTGACAGAGTGAGACTCCATCCAAAAAAAGAAAAAAATTGGCAGCTCCTGGAGGGAAGCAGGTATGCACACCGGGCTCATCTTTGCATCCACCTTGGGGCCTGGTATCACCCTTCCTCATGTGAGCCTTCTGCATGGTGGGGCGGGGCTGGTGACATGGGTCACTGATGCAGGCCAGGTGGGCTGTGGTGGACAGTGAGCACATACACCCTAAAGCAGGCAGTTCTGCTGCCTGGGGTCCTGAAGAAACGAGGGCCCTAGATTTTCCCAGAGAAGCAGAAATCCAGATTTTAATGCAAAATCTTTTTTTTTTTTTTTGAGATGGAGTCTTGCTCTTGTCACCCAGGCTGGAGTGCAGTGGTGTGATCTTGGTTCACTACAACCTCCGCCTCCCAGGTTCAAGCAATTCTCCTGCCTCAGCCTCCTGAGTAGTTGGGATTACAGGCGTACACTGCTAAGTCCAGTTAATTTTTTTGTATTTTTAGTAGAGACCAGGTTTCACCATGTTGGCCAGGCTGGTCTCGAACTCCTGAGCTTGGGTGATCCACCCACTTCGGCCTCCCAAAGTGCTGGGATTACAGATATGAGCCACCCTGCCCGGCCGTAAAATCTATTTTTTAAATGCTAGCGATTAGTTTACAATTTGAGAAGCACTATGTAGGTCAAACAACCCATCAGTTGGCTGGCTGCGGCCCCAGGGCTCCCATTTGGAGACTCTGCTGGGAACCAGGAAGGACTAGTGAACCATCTGTGGCCAGGGCCGCACATGAAGGCATGCAGGTGAGAGCTGCTGAGGGCACTTGGCTAAGGGTGGGGCTGGAGCGGACATCCAGCAGGGGCATCACTCACCAGGTCATACCACCGGGTGCTCCACAGGGTCTAGCCAGAGGGTGGGCTGACAGCTTCCGAAGCAGATGGCTGCCCCGTCGCTGCACTCAAGGCCGGGCCTTGCTAATGCTTTCCCAGATGCATATCTTCACAGACAAGAGTAAATACCACGTAAAGAGACCTGGGTCTAAGGTGAGCAACTCATCCTAGTTTGCCTGGGGTTTTCCGGTTTTAAATATGAAAGTCCTACAACCCAGAAACCCCCTTAGTCTGAGGCAAACCAGGACAGTCGGTTTGCTTAGACTCCTGCTCCCTCTGCACCCCCAGCTCACCGGAGGATAATGATAATGGCAGCCACCATGTGTGGGCTTATCAAGTGCCAGACACCATGCATTATGGCCTGCATCGCTTCCCTTCTGTCTTATAACAGTGTCATGGTATGGATTTATTCTCTCCTTTCTACAGCTGAGTAGGCTGAGAGTGACGTGATTCGCCCAGGGCAAGTGCTGGCGCTGGGGTTTGAACCCACATGGTGTGACTCAGTACTGTCAACTGCACTGCCTCTTCTGCCTCTCAGCTTGAGCCCGCCAGGCCAGCCTAGGCCCCTGGGAAGGCTCCTCAGGAGCTTACCTGGGTGGAGGTTCAGTAGGGATGGGTTTTTGCAGGTCTGAGACACCCCCCGCCACACTGCCTCCAGCTCTGTCCAGGTTCTTCTCTGCACGTTTGCCCCCAGCCCCTGAATGGGACAGCCTGAGAAACCCTCAGGGGACGCTGTTTCCACCGCACCCCGAGCCCTCCTGTCCTGTCACCGTGTTGCTCACTGCACCCCAAGGGAGGAGGCTGGTGCTTAGAAATAAATGCTCACTGGTGATTTATTGCATGGGCTGGGGGAACCGTCCAGAGCAAGAATGGGCAAGGGAGCAGGGCGTGAGGGTCCCAGGGATCTCTGGAGGCCACTGAACCAGCCCTTCGGGGGTCCCTGTGCAGGGCTCTAATCATAGTTGGGGTCAGCCTGGGCCTGGCGTGGGGTGAGGTGGCTGGTCAGGTAGCGCATGGCTGAGCGGATGCCCTCCACGGTCCTCTGCTCCACTGTCTCCAGCACACGGGTGATGGTGCGCAGGGCTGAGCTGGTCCCTGACACCAGCCCAGAGGAGAAGGCCGAGCTGACGCTTCCCACCAGGCTGGGGACCGAGCGCAAGCTGGGCCCCGAGCTGTGCAGCAGGTCTGCCACAGTGCTGTGGCCGGAATCCAGGAAGCCTGTGGCTATGGCCATGCCCATGGTGGTCTCGGACCACACCAGGATGTCTGCCAGGGAGCTGATGGAGCCCTCGCCCCTGTCCAGCAGGCTGGTCATGGAGCGCATGTAGCTGTTCTCCTCACTGGCCGTGTACAGGCTGGAGTCCAGGGGCCTTCTCCCCAGGGCCACCTCGTGGGGGCCAGGCGACGGGGACACACTGCCTGCTGGAGGTGGAGGGAAGAACCAAGTCTGCAGGTCTCCTAAGCTGTCCACCACATTTGCCCCCATTGCCACTGGGGACTCATCAGATGGTAAAGCTTCAGCTTCAGGGTGTGGGGCCTTTGGATGCTCAGCTTTCTCCTCAGCAGACTTGGTGGTGCTGGCAGCCTGAGGGCCATGCTGGCCATTGGCACCTGCTGTGACATGGTCAGCATCACTCTCGACGGGCTGAGCCTCCATGTGCTGGGTGGACTGTAGCTCAGCACTCGGGGCAGAGGGGGCTGACTCCGGCTCTCTCTCAGGAACACTCGCCATTTGTGACATCTTGTCTTTACCCAGGAGGTGACTTGGGAAAACCACTAGACTCTGACTTGTCCTTGCGTCTTGAACCTGCCTGTCCCACGCTGGATTCTGAAGGCTCATAGACACTTGCAGGGGACTTGGATTTTGGCTGGGAAGCAGAGGTGTGATTTTTCTGGGTGTCTTCTGGCCGTGTTCTGGAACAACTGCACTCTTGTCTTTGTCTCCAGATGTTGATATGGCCCTGGGGGTGGCCGTCTTGAAGGAGGCCTGATCTATATCCTGCCAGTCAGTGGATGCGACAGAGCTGCTCACTGCCAAGACATCTGCTGTGAGTGGGACCTGACCTTGGGGCTCTCCTGCTGGGCTGTCCTTAGACCTGCTGTCATCCACGTTGCCCAGGGGGTACCCTGGGAGTGCCATGTATGGGGCTGCTGGTGGAGCCGGCCTCCCCCTAGGGCTCTCCTGTGGTCATCTATGCCCTTTGCTGCTTGTGGCGGTTGGAGGGAGTGGCTGCAACCCAGCTGGGCTGAGTTGTCCAAGTGGTGAGGTCACAAGGGACTGTGGCCACTGGTGATGTCACAGGTACCCATAGAGCAAGGGTCTTGAGCTTCTGGAGCAGCCTTCCAAGTGGGCTAAGTCTATGGGACAGTTTGTTGCCAACTTTGCAGGTACATAGGGAAAAAATGACAAATGTTCTTGAAAGGGCTGGAGGCGTGTGCACAGGGGCAAGTACAACCACAGGGACACAGGAGGAGTGACAGCTGTGACTCTGACAAATGAGAAGGGATGCAGATGTTGATTTAGAACAGTGTTTATAAGGGACCCCTCCTGGCACCTCTCTGTCTACACTGGTGCCTCAAGACCCCAATTTAGGCTGGGCATGGTGGCTCACTCCTGTAATCCCAGCACTCTGGGAGGCTGAGGTGGGGGGATCACCTGAGGTCAGGAGTTCGAGACCAGCCTGGCCAACATGGTGAAACCCTGTCTCTACTAAAAATGCAAAAAGTAGCCGGGCGTATTGGCGTGCACCTGTAATCCCAGCTACTGGGGAAGCTGAGGCAGAAGAATTGCTCGAACCCAGGGAGTGGAGGTTGCAGTGAGCCGAGATCGCACCATTGCACTCCAGCCTGGGCAAAAGCGTACTCCGTTTCAAAACAAATAAACAAACAAAACAACAACAACAACAAACAACAACAAATAACCACCCCCAATTTAGTCAGTGTTCCTGCAGGGAATCAGTTTCCCAGCAGTGGTGAGTAGGTATAAGCAAAAGCCAAGGGCCTGGGCAGCTCCATTTGTGGCTGTGGGTTTAACCCTTTTGATGTAGGGCAAAAATCTCTATCTTCTCCTTGCTCATCTGGACTAGAAGGGCAGAGAATAACAAAAGGTCTGCAGACCTCTGAGTGTTTCTTGGAGAAGGATAACCCCAGATACACCTACTTGTGCTTAGCTGGGCACGGTGGCTCATGCCTGTGATCCCAGCACTTTGGGAGGCTGAGGCGGGCAGATCATCTGAGGTCAGGAGTTTGAGACCAGCCTGACCAACATGGAGAAACCCCGTCTCTACTAAAAATACAAAATTAGCTGGGCGTGGTGGCACATGCCTGTAATCCCAGCTGCTCGGGAGGCTGAGGCAGGAGTATCGCTTGAACCCCGGGAGGCGGAGGTTGTGGTGAGCCGAGATCGCACCATCGCACTCCAGCCTGGGCAACAAGGGCGAAACTCTATCTCAAAAAAAAAAAAAAAAAATGCCTACATTAAGAAGATGTTTGGAGAGGAAGGCTCAGTCGGTCGTGTCTGTGCTTCTCCAGGGGTTATCAGCTAACATTTAGTGACTGCTTATGGGCAGAAAAGGGCGCATAGCATCCTTCTCATCACCCATCACCTCTGGGTAGGTACGGTTCTACTAGTATACTCAGTTTACACACAGGCATGCTGAGCCTCACAGAGAATAAGCGACTTACTCAAAGCCACACTATTAATAAGAGCTGAATCTGGGATTTGAACCCTGTCTGGCTTCAATACTAAGCTTTCCAGCACTCTCTCATACCCAGGAGGGATATTAAAAACGTTGAATGAGGGACTGGGCATGGTGGCTCATGCCTGTAATCCCAGAACTTTAAAAGGCCAAGGTGGGAGGATCGCTTGAGCCCAGGAGTTCAAGACCAGCCTGGGCAACGTAGTATGACCCTGTCTCTACAAAAAATAAAACAAAAATTAGCTGGGCATGGTGGTGTGCACCTGTAGCCCCAGCTACTGGGGAGGCTGAGGCCCAGGAGGAGGATTTCTTGAGCTCAGGAGTTCCAGGCTGCAGTGAGCTGTGATCACATCATTGCATCCCAGCCCGGGTGACGGAGCGAGATCCTGTGCCTTAAAAAAGAAAAAAGATATATCTAATGACTGGCATGGTAATGATGCTGGCAGATGCAGACAGAGGCCTCCCATTAGAACCGGTTCCACCACACCAGCAGGTGACAGCTGCTGCCAGTGCTGGGCTGCACCATCAGCAGCATGGTCATGAGTGTATGGAAAATTCCCCTCCCTGAAACTCTCTGCCCTTGTCCTCTATCCTGCTGCCTCTCCGGGCTGGCTCCCTCCCTCCTCCACCTCTCCCAGGATCAGGCCTTCCCTTCACACTCCTTTTACTGACTCCGCCCAGCCAGCCTCCACCTTAACCCTCTGAGGCTGGCGGCACTACTGACACCAGGCTCCTTGCTCACTAAGTGTTTATTTTCCCCGCAGATACCCTGCCGCCACCTCAGAGGTCACAGGGCAAACCCAGGCTTGTTGGAGTGTGAGGGGCCGATGAGTACAGCCTGTAGCTTGTAAAGGAGTCCTGGAGAGAATGGTGGCTGCCCATCCCAGATGACCTTCTTCCTTAGTGTCAGACAATTGCTAAATAGAAATTATAGGAGGCTACTGCTTCGGATGAGGCTCCTGCACCAGGCCCCAGCAGACTGGACTAAACGTCAAGATGGGGTCACTCACACTGAGGTTCCAAATCACCGGGAGACAGAGATGATTGCCAGTTTCCCAAATGGGCCAGTTTCTTTTTTCTTTTTTTTTTTTTTTGAGGTAGAGTCTTGCTCTGTTGCCTTGGTTGGAGTGCAGTGGCGTGATCTCAGCTCACTGCAACCTCTGCCTCCCGGGTTCAAGCGATTCTTTTTCCTCAGCTCAAGCTGGTCTCGAACTCCTGGCCTCAGGTGATCCACCCATCTCAGCCTCCCAAAGTGCTGGGATTACAGATGTGAGCCATCTCGCCCGGTATTTTTTTTTTTTTTTTTGAGACAGCATCTTGCTCTGTGGCCTTGGCTGGAGTTCAGTGTGTGATCCCAACTCCGAGCTGAAGCAATTCTCTTACTTCAGCCTCCCAAGTAGCTGGGAATACAGGCACATTCTAGCACACCTAGTTAATTTTGTTTTTACTTTTTGTAAAGATGGAATTTCACCATGTTGCCCAGGCTGGTCCCGAACTCCTGGGCTCAAGGAATCTGCCCACTTCAGCCTCCCAAAGTGCTGACATGACAGAAACAGGCCAGTTTCAATCTTCAAGTGGCACGATAATGAAGTTCCCTCCGTTTTAATTTTTTTTCTTCTGTCTTGAACTCCTGGGCTCAAGCACTCCTCCAGCCTCAGCCTCCTGAGTAGCTGGGACTATAGGTACGTGCCAACATGTCCGGCTATTTTTTAAATTCTTTGTAGAGATGGGATTTCGCCATGTTGCTCAGCTTGGTTTCTAACTCCTGGGCTCAAGCGAACCTCTCACCTCCCAAGTGCTGGGATTATAGGTGTGAGCCACTGCACCTAGCCTGGTTTTTGTTTTTAGTTTCTGCTTTTTTCCACCCTCTTCCTGTCTATAAAGCCAACTTTCACTGCTTGATTCATTGGAACCCTTATTCTATTTTAGGAAATCAAGTGTTGCCTGATTCTAGAATCACAAAGCCAATTGAGAGCTTTAAACTAAACTTGTAATTTTGTCTTTTGACACTTAGTGTCAGGACCCTGATTTTATTCAGGGCCTCTGTGTCTTAGCTAAAAGAACACATTTCCCAGCCTCCTTTGCAGGTAGGTAAGAACATGTGACCATGTTCTGGCCATTGAGAAGTAAGCAGAAAGTATTGAGTCGAACTTCAGAAAGGATCCTTCAAAGAGTTTAACATCTTTTTGCTCTTCCCCCTATCAGGAATGTGAAGGCTGGAGCAACAGCAACCCTCTTGGTCCAGCAAGAGGACTGGTCTAGCAACCCTCTAGGTAATCTTGAGGGTGGAAGGCACACAGTAAGAGGGTGGACCAAGCAAGGATGGAAGGACCCTGGGTCCCATGATTGGAGCTGTCCGGCAGCCACCAGACCAGACTATCGCCAACCTCTCAAATTCCTTTATGTGAGGGAAAATAACACTATATGTGCCCAAATGATTATTTTTGGTTTTCTATTACATGCAGCTAAACGTAATCCTAATCCAATTCTAACAGTTATGAGATCCCTGTCAAGTGGTTGGTCCGTGTTTGCTTGAATATCTTCCAGTCCTAAACAATCAAGAGTAGCATATGGCACTGAGTGTCAGTAGGCCTGACGCTGGGCAGGGGTTATTTCCCCATTTTTCAGATGAGGAAACTGAGGCTTAGAGAAGCCAAGCACATAGCAAGGTCAGTGGCATCTGCCTGACTCCAAAGCCCCACACCCCACACAGCTCCCTGCTTTTAGTTAGAAAGTTCTCCCCGCTCCCTATCTTTACCCAGGAAATAAAAACCTATATATGACTTAATTTTTTTTTTTTTTTGAGATGGAATCTCACTCTGTCACCCAGGCTGGAGTGCAGTGGCACGATCTCAGTTCACTGCAACCTCCGGCCCCCGGGTTCAAGCGATTCTCCTGCCTCAGCCTTCCAAGTAGCCGGGATTACAGGCGCCTGTCACCGAGCCTGGCTAATTTTTGTATTTTTAGTAGAGACGGGGTTTCACCATCTTGGCCAGGCTGGTCTTGAACTCCTGACCCGTGATCCACCTGCCTCTGCCTCCCAAAGTGCTAGGATTACAGACGTGAGCCACTGTGCCTGGCTGACTTAATGTTTTGTTGTACATTAGACTGTGAAATAATCACTACAATCAAGCTAATTAACATATCCCTCACCTCGTATAGTTTCCATCTCCCTCCCTCCCTCCCTCCTTCCCCCACCCTCCTTCCTTCCTCCCTCCCTCTTTCTTTTCTTTTTTCTTTCCCTTCCCTTCCCTTCCCTTCCTTTCCCTTCCCTTCCTTTCCCTTCCCTCCTTTTCCCTCCTCTTCTCTTCTCTTTTCTTTCTCTTTCTTTCCTCTTCCCCCTTCTCTCTTTTTTCTTGTTTTCTTTCAACAGGGTCTCACTATGTTGCCCAGGCTGGAGTACAGTGGTACAATCATAGCTCACTGCAGCCTTGACCTCCTGGGCTCAAGGGATCCTCCCACCTCAGCCTCTGAGTAGTTGGGACTACAGGTGTGTGCACCATGGCTGGCTGATTTTTAAATATTTTGTAGAGATGGAGTCTCACTATGTTGCCCAGGATGGTCTTGAACTTCTGGGCTCAAGCAATCTGCCTGCCTTGGCCTCCCAAAATGCTGGGATTACAAGCATGAGCCACCGCACCTGGCCATTTTCTTTCTTTCTTACTTTGTGTGTGTGTGTTGAGAATAGAAAGTTTCTGATGTCCCCTCATGTGGCCCACTAAAACCATCATGCACCTTATAGGCACCAAGGACAAACTCTGTATTTGGAATTCAGCTTTTGATTCTACATGTTGCACTTTATGTTGACCCTTGTTACATTTCATATGCTTGGGCCAGGCATGGTGGCTCACGCCTGTAATCCTAGCACTTTGGGAGGCCGAGGCGGGTGGATCACCTGAGATCAGGAGTTTGAGACCAGCCTGACCAACGTGGATAAACCCCATTTTACTAAAAATACAAAATTAGCTGGGCTTGGTGGTGCACCTGTCATTCCAGCTACTCAGGAGACTGAGGCAGGAGAATTGCTTGAACCTGGAAGGCGGAGGTTGTGGTGAGCCGAGGTTGCACCATTGCACTCCAGCCTGGGCAACAAGAGTGAAACTTCATCTCAAAAAAAAAAAAAGTTTCATATGCTTGAAAATCGTGCCCAAGGAAGGCTACAGTGGAATGAATAGGCACTGATGTCAAAGGCAGAGAGATTTATTAAAATTGGGGAACAAAAAATAAAGGATTATTTATTTGTAAATAAATATTAAATGAGATCAGTATAGAACAAAATATATTTATTCTGTTATGTGGACAATATATATTTTAGATATATTCTGTACATAAATAAAATACAAAATAAAATATATATGAAAGTTTTCTCCATCTTAGTTAAAAACTTTCCTACTTTTATTTTTTTTTTTCTGGTGAAAAGATATATATATATTTAGAATTAGCCAGCTGGACTCAGTTTAGATGATCCCTTTTTTTTTTTTTGAGATAGAGTTTCACTCTTGTTGCTCAGACTGGAGTGCAATGGCGCGATCTTGGCTCACCGTAACCTCCTCCTCCCGAGTTCAAGTGATTCTTCTGCCTCAGCCTCCCGAGTAGCTGGGATTACAGGCATGCGCCACCACGTCCAGCTAATTTTGTATTTTTAGTGGAGATGGGGTTTCTCCATGTTGGTCAGGCTGTTCTCAAACTTTTGACCTCAGGTGATCCGCCCGCCTCAGCCTCCCAAAGTGCTGGGATTACAGGCGTGAGCCACCGCGCCTGGCTTTTTTTTTGTTTTTTTTGAGACAGAGTCTTGCTCTATGGCCCAGGCTGGAGTGCAGTGATGTGATCTCAGCTCACTGAAACCTCTGCCTCCTGGGTTCAAGTGATTCTTCTGTTTTAGCCTCCTGAGTAGCTGGGACTACAGGAGCGCACCACCACACCTGGCTTATTTTCTTGTATTTTTAATAGAGACAGGGTTTTGCCATGTCGGCCAGGCTGGTCTCAAACTCCTGACCTCAGGTGATCCACTCTCCTCGGCCTCCCGAAGTGCTGGGATTATAGGTGTGAGCCACCGTGCCCAACCACATGATCTCATTTTTGTTGGCAACATCCAAAGCATCATAATCAGCAGCCAGTTGAACATATGCCTTCTTCTCTCCATCAGGCCTATTCAGGGTGTTGACCACTGCCACGTCGATGTCATAGAGCTTCTTCACAGCCTGTTTGATCTGGTGCTTGTTGGCTTTAACATCCACAATGAACACAGTGTGTTGTTGTCGTCTGTCTTCTTCGTGGCCAACTCAGTGGTCAGCGGAAACTTGATGATAACACAGTGGCCAAGCTTATTTCTCCCAGGGATGCTCTTCTGGGAATATCTGGGCCGCCTCCAGAGTCGCAGTGTCTTGGGCCGCTGGAAGGTGGGTGACGTGCAGATCTTTTTTTTGTGGCTGTGGATACCTTTCAGCTCTGCCTTCTTGGCCTTCAAAGCCTTTGCTTTGGCTTCAGCTTTAGGAGGGGCAAGAGCTTCCTTCTTTGCCTTTGGCATCATCTTGTAAAAAGAGTTCTCTACCTTTATTAAGTAGTTCTCATAAGAGGAAATTCGTCTCAAATAATTTGCCTTTGCTTTCTTTTCAATTCCTTTCTCTCTCTCTCTCTTTTTTTTTTTTTTTTTTTTTTTTTTTTTGAGATGGAGTCTCACTCTGTCACCCAGGCTGGAGTGCAGTGGCATGATCTCGGCTCACTGCAACCTCTGCCTCCCAGGTTCAAGCGATTCTCATGCCTCAGCCTCCCAAGTAGCTGGGACTACAGGCATTTGCCACCACACCTGGCTAATTTTTTTTTTTTTTGAGATGAAGTCTTACTCTTGTCCCCCAGGTTGCGGGCTGGAGTGCGGTGGCGTGAGTGATCTTGGCTCACTGCAACCTCTGCCTCCTGGGTTCAGGCAACTCTCCTGCCTCAGCCTCCCAAGTAGCTGGGATTACGGGTACCTGCCACCATGCCCGGCTAATTTTTGTATTTTTAGTTGACATGGGGTTTTGCCATGTTGGCCAGGCTGGTCTCGAACTCTTGACCTCAAGTGATCCGCCTGCCTCAGCCTCCCAAAGTGCTGGGATTTACAAGCATGAGCCACCGTGCCTGGCCCTCAACTCCTTTCTCTTGGGGAGAATGACTCTCGAATTAAATAATTAAATACTCTTATTTTAGGGTAAACTCAGTTTATGGAATATTATGAAGCTGTATAAAGCCTGTACAGAAACATGGAAAAAGATTGTTATATAATGTTACTTTAAAAAGCAGGAGGTTGGGCGTGGTGGCTCACACTTGTAGTCCCAGCACTTTGGGAGGCCAAGGCGGGAGGATTATTTGAGTCCGGGTGTTCGAGGCTACAGTGAGCTGTAATTGCACCACTGCACTCCAGCCTAGGCAACAGAGTGTGACCCCATCTCAAAAAATAAGGCTAGATATGGTGGTTCATGCCTGCAATCCCAGCATGTGGGAGGCCAAGGTGGGTGGAAGGAGACCAGCCTGGGTAACATGAAGAAACCCCATCTCTCCAACAACAACAAAATTAGCCGGACGTGGTGGTGTGCACCTGCGGTCCCAGCTCCTCTGGAGGCTGAGGTGGGAGGGAGGATCACTTCAGCCTGGGAGGTAGAGGTTGCAGTGAACTGAGATCATGCTACTGCACTCTAGCCTGGGTAACATTTATTACTGCGTCAATAAATAAATAGATAAATAAATAAAATTAAAATACGAAAATAAAAAAATTAGGACCAGGTGTGGTGGCATGCACCCATAGTCCCAGCTACTCAGAAGGCTGAGGCAGGAGGATCACTTGACCTGGGAGGTTGAGGCTGCAGAGAGCTAGGATAGCACCAATGCACTCTAGCCTGGGAAACAGGGTGAGAACCTGTCTCAAAAAATAAAATATTTTAAAAAGCAGGATGCAATATTTTATGCACACTATGTGTATTTATTTGCCCATACTCTTTCAGCTGGAAGCTATAGAAACCCAAATCAAATTGACTTCTGCAAAAATAACAAAAATCAAGAAATTTCTTGGCTCACAGGAACCTGTAAAGCCTGGAGGAAAGGGTCTACACAGCAGGTGCTCATGACGCTGTCAGGGATTCGGTTCTTTCTCTTCTCTTTGCTCCCTTTGTCATTGATGGCTAGATTTTCAGGGGGATTTCCTCCATGCGGAGGCTGCTAGCGCTCCAGGCATCCTTCCTAACAGCTCAGGCCAGTTCAAAGAGATGCTGGTCCCCTGCGGTTTCGGCAAATCTCGGGACAGGATCGTGGGCTCCTGGCGTGTCTCAGAAGCAATTACTACAGCATCCTGATTGCTCAGGCCTGGGTCATGCAACCACTCCTGATGTGGTTGCGGGGGGGGTGCGGCCCCACCCTAACATAAGGCCTGTGGAAGGTAGTGGAATCATTCCCAGGAGGAAAACTGGGGTGCTGTTACCAAAAGAAGGTGAACTGTGAACTGGATGCTGGGCTGGAAACATAAACTCCACTAAATGATAATGACAGACATGTGCAAGAAAGGCTGTTTATTGGGGGAAAGCCTGGCAGGAAATAGAGCAAAATGTCCGGAAGAAGTTCTGATTATTGTTAACAAAATCAGAAAACAGGGCCGGGCGCGGTGGCTCATGCCTGTAATCCCAGCACTTTGGGAGGCCGAGGTGGGTGGATCACTTGAGGTCAGGAGTTCAAGACCAGCCTGGCCAACCTGGTGAAACCCCGTCCCTACTAAAAATACAAAAATTGGCTGGTGTGGTGGTGGGCGCCTGTAATCCCAGCAACTCGGGAGGCTGAGGCACGAGAATGGCTTGAACCTGGGAGGCAAAGTTTGCAGTGAGCCGAGATCGCACCACCGCACTCCAGCCTGGGCAACAGAGTGAGACTCTGTCTCAAAAAAAAAAAAAAAAAAAAAAAAAATCAGAAGACACATAGAAGCAAAAATGACTACCTATAAATAAAAATTTAAATCACCCTAAGAAATATGGTGGACTGAGTGAGTGGGAAGCCTGCTATCTCAGTGCACACACACATACCCCCTCACACACATTCTCACTCTCTTCAAACACACAGAAATGCTGGATAAAATGTGGTCCACAGTAGGTTAAATACCTAGCTGAGCTAGAAAGAATGGGAGACCCCCATGTTCCAGAAGGGTGGACTTAGACAGGGGTGTCCCTGTGAAGACAGAGCCATGGCCTCAGGGTGCCATCCAGATTGCCGTGTGTGGAGCATTTAGCAAACAAGCGGGGCCCTGGGTGGGCTGGCTGAGAGGGGAGAGTCCACTTCGAGAATCCAGCGAGGTGCTGCCCACCAAACTGGAGAGGGGCAAGGCTGTCCTCTCAGTCCAGGCCCTGAGTGGGGCTGAAAGCCTAAGACAGTGGAAGGAAGCTTCTGCTTGTCGTGCAGACGCTGGTGGAAGCAGCTGCCCTCTTAGAACCACGGACCTACTGGGGACACCCAGCAAAGTCCCCAGCCCCACAGAGCTGTGCGTGGTGTGTGTTGCAGTCGGCTGGCGGCCGGTGATTGTGCATCTCTGTGCCCAACTTGGAGTTCAGTGTCGTCAGCTTTGGTGGAATTATTTTCACCACTGAAAGTGGCTACAAATCAGGGCTGTTCCCCCACAACGAATCACGGTTTCCCCGCACAGCATTGAGTCTGATTATGCTCTTTCTCCCAGTGGGGTGGCTGTTTGCTCTGCCCTCTGAAGGGGGCAACCCTCAGGGTTCCCTGTGGAGGAGGACCACACCCCACGACTCCCCAGAGTCCCACAGAGCAAGGCATTCTAGTTTTGTGGCTAACATGTGGCCTTTGGAGCTGGCTGTCTGGGTTCAAATCCTGTCTTTGCTATAGCTAGCTGTGTAATGTAAGGCAAGTTACTTAACACCTCTGTGCCTCAGTTCCCCTAACTGTAAAATGGATATAATAATAGTCCTTACCTTTGGTGTAATACAAAGTATATATTTGGTCTTTGTCCCAGGTCCCTGGCACAGAACTCCAAAAACCTTTGAAATTTCTTTTTATTTTTTGAGACAGAGTCTCGCTTTGCTGCCCAGACTGCAGTGCAGTGGTGCAATCTCGGCTCACTGCAGCCTCCGCCTCCCCGGCCCAGGCTGGTCTTGAACTCCAGGCTTCCAGTAATCTGCCCATTTCGGCCTCCCAAAGTGCTGAGACAGGCCAACGCACCCGGCCTGACATTTTTTTTTTTTTAGACGGAGTCTTGTTTTGTCGCCCAGGCTGGAGGGCATCTTGGCTCACTGCAACCTCCACCTCCCGGGTTCAAGCAATTCTCCTGCCTCAGCCTCCCGAGTAGCTGGGACTACAGGCGCCCTCCACTATGCTCAGCTAATTTTTGTATTTTTAGCAGAGATGGGGTTTCACCATGTTGGTCAGGCTGGTCTCGAACTCCTGACCTCAGGTGATCCGCCTGCCTCGGCCTCCCAAAGTGCTGGGATTACAAGTGTGAGCAACCATGCCTGGCCTGGCCTAACATTTCTTGAGTGATAGATAGGAGCATCTTTTTTTTTTTTTAAATAGAGACGAGTCTTGATGTCACCCAGGATGGATTGCAGCGACTATTCACAGGTGTGATCATAGTGCACTGTGCCTTTGAACCCCTGGCCTTAAATGATCCTCCAGTAACCCCCCGCAACGAGTTCGCCTTGCCTGCTGCCTAGACAAAGCCAATTTCAAGACAGGGAAATTGCAATAGAGAAAGAGTAATTCACACACAGCCGGCTGTGCAGGAGACTAGAGCTTTATTATTACTCGATTAGTCTCCCTGAGCATTCAGGGATCAGAGTTTTAAAAGATAATTTGGTGGGTGGGGAGTTAGTGAGTCAGGATTGCTGATTGGTTGGGTCTGAGATGAAATCATAGGGATTCGAAGCTGTCCTCTTGCCCTGAGTCAGTTCCTGGGTGGTGGCCACAAGATTAGATGAGCCAGCTTATCGATCTGTGTGGTGCCAGCTGATCCATCAAGTGCAGGGTCTGCAAGATATCTCAAGCACTGATCTTAGGTTTTACAATAGTGATGTTATTCCCAGTAGCAATGTGGGAAGGGTCAGAATCTTGTAGCCTCCAGCTGCATGACTCCTAAACCATAATTTCTAACCTTTTGGCTAATTTGTTAGTCCTACAAAAGCAGTCTAGTCCCCAGGCAAGAAGGAGGTTCATTTTGGGAAAGGGCTGTTACTGTCTTTGTTGTAAACTGTAAACAAAGCTCCTCCTAAAGTTAGGAATGAACAAGGACAGCTTGGAGGTTAGAAGCAAGATGGAGTTGGTTAGGTCAGATCTCTTTCAGTGTCTCAGTTATAATTTTGCAGTGGCAGTTTCACTCCCACCTCAACTGGGACTATAGGCACCTGCCACCGGGTTGGAGATAGGAATGTCTTTTGTTATTCATAAGAAGCCCCTTTGACCATATCTTAGTTTATGCTAATGAGGTGACTCTTGATAGGGCCTCCCCACCCCATAGCTTCAGGATGGGGCTGGTCACCACAGGAACCAACCACCTTGATGAGAAGAGGGTTGGTGCAACTTCAGCACCCCTGTGCCCCGCGTCCTCCCCCTTCCTCCAGGAGGCTGGAGAATGAGTTTGGTTACCAGTAGCCAACGATTTAATCAATCATGCCTCCCCAGTGAAAACTTCAGCAACGAGGTTTGGGGAGTTTCTGGGTTGCTGAATACATCCATGTGTGGGGAGTAAGGCCACCCCAGCTCCACAGGGACAGAGGCTCTCTTCTTCTTCCTCTTCTTCCTCCTCCTCCTCCCCCTCCTCCTCCTCCTCCCTCTTCTTCTTCTTCTTCTTCTTCTTCTTCTTCTTCTTCTTCTCCTCCTTCTTCTTCTTCTTCTCCTTCTTCTTCTTCTCCTCCTCCTGCTCCTCCTTCTCCTCTTCCTCTTCCTCCTTCTTCTTCTTCTTTTTCTTCTTTTGAGATGGAGTCTGGCTCTGTTTCCCAGGCTGGAGTACAGTGGCATGATCTCAGCTCACTGCAACCTCTGCCTTCCAGGTTCAAGTGATTCTCCTGCCTCAGCCTCCTGAGTAGCTGGGATTACAGGCGTGCACCACCACGCCTGACTACTTTTTGTATTTTTAGTAGAGATGGGGTCTCACCATGTTGGTCAGGCTGGTCTCAAACTCCTGACTTCAGGTGATCTGCCTGCCTTGGCCTCCCAAAGTGCTGGGATTATAGGCATGAGCCACCACATCTGGCCATTTGTGTCCTTTATAATACACCATAGTCATAAGTATATGTTTCTGAGTTCTATGAGTCGTTCTAGCAAATTATTGAACCTCAGCATGGCCGGGCAGAATTGCATATAGCCAGGGGACCCCATTTATGGCTGTCATCTGAAGCAGAACTAAGCCCCTTGGCCTCTGGACTCAGAGTCTGTGCTAACTCTGAGTAGTTATTGAAGGAATTGAATGGAATTGCAGAACACCCAGTTAGTGTCAGAGAACTGAAGAATTGGTTGTTTGGAAAAACCAAGCACTTCCCGAAAGCATTGTTGTGAGAATGCAAGGAGGTAATGGAGGTCACAGTGCCCTGGAGAGTGCTGGACAGCATGATGGTGGTGGTGATGGTAATGGTGATGGTGATGATGATGGTGACGGTGATGGTGATGGTGATGATGATGGTGATGGTGAAGATGATAGTGATGATGATGATGATGGTGATAATGATGGTGATGGTGATGGTAATGGTGATGGTGATGGTGAAGATGACAGTGATGATGATGATGACGGTGATGATAATGATGGTGATGGTGATGGTTGTGGTGGTGGTGATGGTGGTGATGGTAGGGGTGGTGTGAATATTATTGATGATGATGATGTTGATGCTGATGATGATGATGATGATGATGATGATGATGATGATGATGGTGATGATGATGATGATGTTGTTGATGATGATGATGGTTATTGTGATGATGATGATGATGATGATGATGATGATGATGATGATGATGATGATGATGTTGATGATGATGGAGATGATGATGATGATGATGATGATGATGATGATGATGATGATGATGATGATAATGATGGAGATGATGATGATGATGATGATGATGATGATGATGATGATGATGATGATGATGATGATGATGATGATGATGATGATGATGATGATGATGATGATGATGATGATGATGATGATGATGATGATGATGATGATGATGATGATGATGATGATGATGATGATGATGATGATGATGATGATGATGATGATGATGATGATGATGATGATGATGATGATGATGATGATGATGATGATGATGATGATGATGATGATGATGATGATGATGATGATGATGATGATGATGATGATGATGATGATGATGATGATGATGATGATGATGATGATGATGATGATGATGATGATGATGATGATGATGATGATGATGATGATGATGATGGTGATGATGATGGTGATGATGATGGTGATGATGATGATGATGGTGATGGTGATGGTGATGATGATGATGATAGTGATGACAATAATATTGATGATGGTGATGGTGATGATGATGGTGATGGGGATGGTGATGATGGTTCATCTCTTATGGACAGGCTGCCTACTGTCGAGAGCTCATGGATGATTTGTCCTTTGAAGGGTTTTCTCACCGGAAGCTCCACCATTGCCTGGTGTGAGTGGTTCATCCACAAGTGGCAGCCAAGAGCCTCCTGGCAGTGGCATCAGGTAGGTGGTGCCTATTGCACCCCAGAAGTCCTCCCAGCTCCAGATGTGAACACGTTTTCTTCCACTAGACAGCACAATGTTAAGCTCTGTAAATGCAAATCAATTAATTCTTCCAGCATCTTCATGAGGCAGGGCTTGCTGTTTTTCCAGATGTCTACAGATGAGGAAACCGAGGCCTGGAGAGGTTAAGGAGGCCTGTTCAAAGTCCTACAGTGGCGGCAGACAGGGTCTCATATGTTGCCCAGGCTTGTCTCAAACTCCTGGCCTCAAGAGAGCTTCCCGCCTTGGTCTCACAAAGTGCTGGGATTATATGTCTTTAATACAAAGCAGCTTTTACATTTAAAAAAAATAAAAGCGGGTCATGCCTGTAATCCCAGCACTTTGGGAGGCTGAGGCGGGCAGATCACGAGGTCAGGAGATCGAGACCATCCTGGCTAACATGGTGAAACCCCGTCTCTACTAAAAAAAATACAAAAAAGTAGCTGGGCGTGGTGGCGGGCACCTGTAGTCCCAGCTACTTGGGAGGCTGAGGCAGGAGAATGGCGCAAACCTGGGAGGCAGAGCTTGTAGTGAGCTGAGATCGCGCCACTGCACTCCAGCCTGGGCGACAGAGCAAGACTCCATCTCAAAAAAAAAAAAAAAGGGGGGGGGGGTGGAGTTTTCTCATCAAGTGAGCCCAAGATTCTCTCGTAGTGAACGTCTGCCTGTGGTGATATCCACAGCTAGGAGGGGACTGACAGAGCTGACATCCTTGCCCCCCGTCTTCAAACAAGGAATCGGAGACCCAGGGTGGGGGTGATCAGGGCAGAAGCAGAGCCCCATCTGTCCAGGCTCTTCACCCAAGGAAGCAGAGGAGGTGCTCCCAGCCTCGGCCCACTTTCCCACAGCCTCGCCCCACCCCTCCCCATCAAAGGATCCTCCAAGCCAGATAGCAGCCTGTAGGGGTGGGTTGCCCCTCCACACCTGTGGGTGTTTCTCGTAAGGTGGAACGAGAGAATTGGGAAAGAAAAAGACACAGAGACAAAGTATAGAGAAAGAAATAAGGGGACCCGGGGAACCAGCGTTCAGCATATGGAGGATCCCCCCAGCCTCTGAGTTCCCTTAGTATTTATTGATCATTTGTGGGTGTTTCTCGAAGAGGGGGATGTGTCAGGGTCACAAGACAATTGTGGGGAGAGGGTCAGCAGACAAACACGTGAACAAAGGTCTTTGCATCATAGACAAGGTAAAGGATTAAGTGCTGTGCTTTTAGATATGCATACACATAAACATCTCAATGCTTTACAAAGCAGTATTGCTGCCCGCAGGTCCCACCTCCAGCCCTAAGGCGGTTTTTCCCTATCTCAGTAGATGGAGCATACAATTGGGTTTTATACCGAGACATTCCATTGCCCAGGGACAGGCAGGAGACAGATGCCTTCCTCTTGTCTCAACTGCAAGAGACATTCCTTCCTCTTTTACTAATCCTCCTCAGCACAGACCCTTCCCGGGTGTCAGGCTGGGGTACGGTCAGGTCTTTCCCTTCCCACGAGGCCATATTTCAGACTATCACATGGGGAGAAACCTTGGACAATACCTGGCTTTCCTAGGCAGAGGTCCCTGCGGCCTTCCGCAGTTTTTGTGTCCCTGGGTACTTGAGATTAGGGAGTGGTGATGACTCTTAAGGAGCATGCTGCCCTCAAGCATCTGTTTAACAAAGCACATCTTGCACCGCCCTTAATCCATTCAACTCTGAGTTGACACAGCACATGTTTCAGAGAGCACGGGGTTGGGGGTAAGGTCACAGAATCTCAAGGCAGAAGAATTTTTCTTAGTACATAACAAAATGGAGTCTCCTATGTCTACTTCTTTCTACACAGACACAGTAACAATCTGATCTCTCTTGCTTTTCCCCACAGCAGCCTTCATGGGGAAGCAGGGGAGGAGGAGGGGCTGTGGATACTGCTATCTCCCTGTCTGTCCATGCCCTCCAGTGCTCACCCCAAGTGCCCCAGCCCCAGCATCCGGGAAGCGAGGTCTCAGGGCCCCTCTCCCAGCAAACCACCATGGCCTGCACAGGAGCCCTTTCTTCCTGGGTACCTGCTGTTAGCTTGTGGCCCCTCATTTTGAGGCTGGCCCTGCTGGGGCTGTGCCAACGGGCTGCTGCTCCACCATTTCACACGGTGACCTGGGTGCCATGTACTAGCCATCCTCTTCCTCCCCACAAAGAACACTGAGTTTCAGATATTTCAGGGGCCTGGCCCCAGTCTAGCTCCAGGGGTGGGTTCCTGTGGTCTCAGCCATTTCCCTGGGCATCACTGGCTCAGGCCCATGCTCAGGGCCTTCATGCAGTCCTGGCTGTGGAGTCGTGAGAGCAAGGGGAGGCTCCCTGGAGCCCGTGGGGGGTTTCCTCACTCATTAGGAGGCCTGGGAAGTCATGGTCTTCCTCTCCTCCTATAAATGATCATATCCAGTTAGGCCTCTTGTGACCATGAGGGCATCTGGTCTGAGAAAAGCCCTACATAGAGAATGGCCGAACCAGGGAGATTGCAGAAAAGCAGGGCAAAGCCTTGATCAAACTGCGCCTGCAGCCACCCAGCCACCGGACTTCCTGTGATGGGAGGTGATTGTTTCCATGTTGCTTCAGCCAGTTGAACCAGGGCTTCCTGTGACTATCCACCAAAGGGACCCTGAGAAACAGCAGCCCTAGCCTGAAAGTCACCCAGGGAACCTGAGTGGTGGGGCCCCACCACACTGCCTCTCTGGGAGCACTCTGGCTCCTCCGGCTGCCATGGCTGCAGCTCTCGGGTCACCTCCCTCCTGCTCTGGGTGCTGGAACCCTCCATCCCTAGACTCTTGCCTACACTGGTCCATAAATCACTCCCACAGGCCCCTCCCACACCCGTCTGCAGAGCCTTCCTTGGCACTGCCCCTCACCTATGGCCAGATTCCTCACTTAAATTCAGCATGGAAAGACTCAACATTCAAAAAAGCAAAAGCTGCCGTCCCCGACCCCCAGTCTACACTAGCGAACAGAGAATTGATGAACCGATTCAGTAAGTTGGCATCTGTAGTGGGATGAATTGAGGCCCCTAAAAGATAGATCCATATCCAAACTCCTGGGATGTATGAATGTGACTTTATT
Organism: Homo sapiens; assembly: GCF_000001405.40. NCBI lineage: Eukaryota > Metazoa > Chordata > Mammalia > Primates > Hominidae > Homo > Homo sapiens. The sequence continues at coordinate 231,575,556 of NC_000002.12, read as the reverse complement.
TGGACAAAATGGTCTTTGTAGATATAATTAAGTTGAGGATACCCCTGGGCATGGTGGCTAATGCCTGTAATCAAAGCACTTTGGGAGGCCAATGTGGGTGGATCATGAGGTCTGGAGTTCGAGTTCAGCCTGACCAACATGGTGAAACCCCGTCTCTACTAAAAATACAAAAATTAGCTGGGTGTGGTGGTGCGCACCTGTAATCCCAGCTAGTTAGGAGTCTGAGGCAGGAGAATTGCTTGAACCTGGGAGGCAGAGGTTGCAGTGAGCCAAGATCGTGCCATTGCACTCCAGCCTAGGAAACAAGAGTGAAACTCCATCTCAGGAAAAAAAAAAAAAGAGGAGAAAGGAGAACACACAACACAGGGAAGGTGGGCCTGTGAGGACAGAGGCGGAGAGTGGAGTGAGAGCCAAGAGCTCCTGGAGCCACCAGAAGCTAGAAGAGTCAAGGGGGAGCCCAGCCCTGCCAACACCTTCACTGCGGACTTCTGGCCTCCAGAACTGTGGGATAACACATTTGTGTTGTTGTAAGGTGCCTGGTCTGTGGTCATTTGTTACGCAGCCCAGGGAGCTAACAGGACCTCTAAGGATGTGACCCATTATTGAGTCTTGACCCCGGACACTGTCACACGCAGCACTGCTTAATCCTCCCAAGAGCCCTCGGTGGTAGGTGCTGTTTTTCTGTTTGTTTTTTGTTTTTGTTTTTTTGAGACCGAGTCTTGCTTTGTTGCCCAGGCGGGAGTGCAGTGGTGCAATCTTGGCTCATTGCAACCTCCACCTCCCAGACTCAAGTGATCCTCCTGCCTCAGCCTTCTGAGCAGCTGGAACTACAGGTGTGCACCACCGTGCCCGGATAATTTTTGTATTTTGTAGCGACAGGGTTTCATCACGTTAGCCAGGCTGGTCTCAAACTCCTGACCTCAGGTGATCTACCTGCCTCGGCCCCCCAAAGTGCTGGGATTACAGGCATAAACCACCGTGCCCGGCTGGTAGGTACTGTTATTATCCCCATTTTACAGGTGAGGAAACCGTGGCTCAGCAAAGAGGACAGCAGGGCTTTGAGCTTCGTGTCTAGCCCACGTTCCCGACTACTGCAAGATTGTGTAGGCTGATGTTGTGGAGCCAGCACACCCTTTAGGGAAGCTCGGAACTTTGTTTATTACAGTTAGGCACACCCCTCCTCAGCCTTGTGTCCCTGCTGCAGCCACTCTCTGTCTCCACCTGCTGTGATGGGCACTGCTGACTGTGGTCCCTGCTCTAGCTGCTGCCACCTCCGGGTGGCCACGGGGATCTGGACCCACTGGGCCTCCCATGGCTGCTTCTGGGTGTGTGGGCCTGGACATTTCCAGGGCTCTGCTCTCCCTGTCTGCATGCCCCCATGGCCACGCCCACCTTGAGGAGGGCAGTGCACATGGCCCCTGCCTGCCAACGAGGCCTCTTTGGGGCGGTGCGGGGGTGGGGGGACCTGGGAAGGTCCTTGGGAACCTGGGTCATCGGGCCGACTGTCCCAAGGGGTGCTCTGTCCCAGCTCTCAGCTCTCAGGGCAGCCCCTCTGATCACCAGCCCTCTAGGGGACCTCCAGATTCCACGTCTCCCCAGTAATCCCATTCCCCGAATGTGTAAGAAACCCAGGAGCTGGAGCAGCACTTGCAGCTGGCGTGGGAATTCCCCTTAGAACACACACTGGATTTGTTTGGAAGAAACAGGTTAATAAGCCCCATGGGGTAGGGGCTGGGGACCCACACGCATTCTCAAGTTCCAAAGGACGCTGCCACCCTGCTTTCTAGGGAGGGTGGATGCTGTTACAGGGCCTCTGTCTGGAAGAGGTTGGGTTTGGGCAGGGGCTGCGGTAGAGCCCAGTTGTTCTGCAGGAGTGAGGGGCGAGGAGTGGAAGTTCCTGGGAAATGGGGGTATTGGAGGTGAGCAGTGAGGCCAGCAGTGCTGGGAAGGGGGAAGGTCAGGCCTCCCCGGGTGGAGCAGCTGGGACTTGGGGAGAACAGAAACGCCAAGGGGATTTTCAAGTTGTTTGTGTTGAGGTCCCCAAGGTAAATGCCTTGCCTCCTCCTCCACAACATCAAAAATCCCACCTTGCTTGCTCAAGCTTTTGTGTGAGCGCTGGCTTGGGGGCGACTGCAGGACCTGGGTGCTGTTTTCCCCTACGTGTTGGCTTGGAGCAGGCAGAGACTGCCCTTGAGGACGCAGAGAGCAGGGACAGTGGAGGGCTGAGTTACAAAATGGTGCTGGGAGGATTGCTAAGTATTTGGAAAACACTGGGTTAGCCCTTCACTTTCACTGCCAGATGGCTCAGAGAGGTAAATGCAAGGAGGGAGGGAGGGAGGGAGGGAGGGAGAGAGAGAGAGAGAGAGAGAGAGAGAGACAAGCAAACTAAAAAAATAAAATACATGATCTGGGGAAGAAAAAGTACTTTTTTTTCTTTTTTTTTTTTTCTTTTTTTGAGATGGAGTCTCACTCTGTAGCCCAGGCTGGAGTGCAGTGGTGCAATCTCGGCCCACTGCAAGTTCTGCCTTCCAGGCTCAAGTGATTCTCCTGCCTCAGCCTCCTGAATAGCTGGGATTACAGGCATGCACCACCATGCTGGCTAATTTTTGTATTTTTAGTAGAGATGAAGTTTCACCATATTGGCCAGGCTGGTCTCGAACTCCTGACCTCAAGTGATCCTCCCGCCTTGGCCTCCCAAAGTGCTGCGATTATAGGCATGAGCCAGTGCACCTAGCCAGTAAAGTAATTTCAAAGGGGAAAACAGACATAGGTAAAAAAAAAAAAAAAAAAAAAAAAAAACTCTAAAATTTTTAAGAACAAACCACAAACTGGAAAAAAATATTTGTACAAATACCATGACGGGTTGACATCAACACAATATAAAGACCCCAAACAGATTAATAAGGCATCATTAGATAACCAGTAACAGAATATGCAAAAGACAAAAACAGACTATTCCCCAAAGAAATCCAGATAGCTAATAAACCTGCAAAAATGTTTAAACGTATCAGTAGTCAAATAAATATAAGACACAAAAACAAGATCCTTCAGGTAGTAGGATTCCAAGTGACTGAATAAAATTGTTTTCCTTGGGCTAGCTGCATTTTCTAGTTTTCCTACAGTAAAGGTCTCTTGCTTTAAGAGACTGTCCTGAAAGTGAAAAGTGTACAATGCGAGACAAATAGCAACAAATGGGCAGCCAGTGTCAGAGACAGAATTCTAGTCATGGTAGAATTGTGGGCAAGTTTTTTCTTTTGAGCTTTTGAACATGTTTAAATTCATACAATTCATTTGCCCTTTCAGTATTACTTAATTATTAGGACACATTTGCAAGTTAAAATAAATTCCTTCTTCCCAAGTCCCCAGGAGGCTTTGACCCCTTATGCAAATAGGATTCCTGGGGCCACCCAAACACCCATAGAGTGGGGAAGCAAATTGAACTGAGAGACCATCCCTCCCACTCATCTCTAAAACAAAGGGTGCTTCAGCCCTCTCCATACCACATACACACCCTCTCCCACCGCCCCAGCCCTCCAGTCAACTTTTCTAGCCTCCAGCCCTGTAAACCAAAAATAAAATTCTAAGACTCCCCAACTGACTGAATGGTCCCCTCCTCTCAGCCAAGGGGATTCCAAAGTAAACCTGAAAAACTAGTTCAGGCCATGATGGGAAGCGGGGGTGTCGGCCATGCTCATCACACTCTCCTCCCTTCGCAGTTCAGGCACAACTGTCCAGCATTAACATTAAAACAGAGATCTTAAGACTGATCAAGCAGACTCTTTGTAGCAATAAATACCAAATTCCAAACTGACTCTAGTACAGCATCACATGACAGTAGGCCCTGAAAGAAATGAAAGTATTTTACTCCCAAATATATTTCTTTGAGATATTTTGAAACGGCCCCGCAAAGCTTCCTCTTGTGGGGGAAATTTATGATCCATAGAGAAGCCCTGTCCTTTCCAGATCTTTTTCTTATCCTGAAGTGATTAGCTGAGAGTCCAGCTCCTTTTAAAGATCTGAATAGGAGTGGCAGGGTGTGGTGTCTCACGCCTATAATCCCGGCACTTTGGGAGGCCGAGGCGGGCGGATCACCTGAGGTCAGGAGTTTGGGACCAGCCTGGCCAACGTGACAAAATCCCATCTCTGCTAAAAATACAAAAATTAGCCAGGCTTGGTGGTGGGTGCCTGTAATCCCAGCTACTTGGGAGGCTGAGGCAGGAGAATTGCTTGAACCTGGGAGGCAGAGGTTGCAGTGAGGCAAGATCATGCCACTGCACTCCAGCCTGGGCCACAAGAGCGAGAGTCCATCTCAAAAAAAAAAAAGATCTGAATAGGAAACGTGCCATTTTTTTTTGCCTCTAAGGGCAGTCACCTATGAGACTTCATCTACATAATAAGAACCTTGGTCTACACAACCCCTTATCTTAACCCACACACTCCTTTCCACTGGTTCTAGGTCTTTAGATAATAACAACTCTTGGCCGGGTGTGGTGGCTCACAACTGTAATCCCAGCACTTTGGGAGGCGGAGGCAGGTGGATCACCTGATGTCAGGAGTTCAAGACCAGCCTTACCAATATGGTGAAACCTTGTCTCTACTAAAAATACGAAAATGAACCAGGTGTGGTGGTGCATACCTGTAATCCCAGCTATTCGAGAGGCTGAGGCAGGAGAATCACTTGAACCCGGGAGTCAGAGTTTGCAGTGAGCCGAGATCACGCCACTGCACTCCAGCCGGGCAAGAGAGTGAGACTCCGTCTCAAAAACAAACAAACAAAAAAAACCAACTCTTTCAGACAGTTGTCAATCAGAAAATCTCTGAATCGACCTATGACCTGGAAGCCCCCCAGCTTTGAGGTTTCCTGCCTTTCTGGACCAAACTGATATACACCTCACATGAATTGATTGATATCTGCCTGTAACTTCTGTCCTCCTAAAATGTATAAAATCAAGCTGTAACCCAACCATCTTGGGCACATGTTCTCAGGACCTCTTGAGACTGTAACTCAGGCTCAGAATAAACATCTTTTTTTTTTTTTTTGAGACGGAGTCTTGCTCTGTTGCCCAGGCTGGAGTGCAGCGGCGCGATCTTGGCTCACTGCAAGCTCCGCCTCCCGGGTTCAAGCCATTCTCCCGCCTCAGCCTCCCGAGTAGCTGGGACTACAGGCACCCGCCACCATGCCCGGCTAATTTTTTGTATTTTTAGTAGAGATGGGGTTTCACCGTGTTAGCCAGGATGGTCTTGATCTCCTGACCTCATGATCCACCCACCTCTGCCTCCCAAAGTGCTGGGATTACAGGCGTGAGCCACCGCGCCCGGCCAGAATAAATATCTTTAAATATTTTACAGAGTTTGACTTTTTTTTTTTCAGTGACAATCCCAGGTTAGCCTGCCCGAGAGCTCCGGGAGGTGGGTCATCCCAGGGCCCCCAGAGGCCTGGAGGGTGGCCATGCATTGGCCTAAGGGGGCCCAGGTGCAGACCAGCCTGGAGAGGCTGGAAGTCAAACTATGATGTGTCCACATGGTGGAGCGCCCCTCCATCCCTCATTCCCTTATGAGTCCTGTGAATCCTTTAAACACTGGATAGAATCACAGAGATTAAAGACGGAGTGTGCCTGCAAAAACCTGTATCATTCTATTTGAGAGACAAGTCACTCTCCTGTTTTCATGCGCGTCCGTGTGAAGAGACCACCAAACAGGCTTTGTGTGAGCGATAACAGCTTTTAATCACCTGGGTGCAGGCGGGCTGAGTCCGAAAAGAGAGTCATCGAAGGGAGATAGGGGTGGGGCCGTTTTATAGGATTTGGGTAGGTACAGGAAAATTACAGTCAAAGGGGGGTTGTTCTCTGGCGGGCAGGGTGGGGGTCACAAGGTACTCAGTGGGGGAGCTTTTGAGCCAGGATGAGCCAGGAGAAGGAATTTCACAAGACAATGTCATCAGTTAAGGCACAAACCGGCCTTCTGGATGTGTATGTGCAGGTCACATGGGATATGATGGCTTAGCTTGGGCTCAGAGGCCTGACACCTGTCATCACAACACAGCCCATGGTCAAATGGATGTTCCCAGAAGCATGTGGATCCCCAGGAGCTGGGATGTTGTCAAGACCTACAGGCAAGTCCAGCAGAGGCCAAACCATGGGGTTGTGTTGGGGGTGCCAGGCTCTGTCCTGAGGCTCTCCAGCTCTCTCCCAGGCCCAGGAGAGATTGGCTAGTCATCTGCGTCCCGGGGGTAGAGCCCAAGCCATCCTTACTCCTCCTTCTTGTAGCTCTCAGTCCTCTGCAGGGAGCCAGCTCTCCTCCCCTGGGGCACCCAAGGGCTCTGCCTCCAGGCCGGCACCTGCAGATGGTCCATGGCTCTCAGGGCACACCTCACGGCTGCTTCCTCCAATCCTCCCTGCACCTGCCCTCACCAGGGCCCTGGTCCCCACAATGCAGAGCAGGTGGAGAGAGGGGTTCTTCCACCTTAGCCAGCTTTCCTTGGGGCTGCTAGCTAAGGGAGAGTTACTCTGAGCCTCAGCGCTAAACCTGTGGTTTTTAGCCTCTTTGAGTCAGGAGGGAATGATTTGGGGAAGCCCCCTCCACGGAAAAATGTGCTAGCATGGACTCTCTGAGCTCACCTCTAAGAACTGGATGATCTGTGTTTATTTGCATTGCAGGAACCTGCAGAACCCTGGAGCCCACCCTCTGTGTGGCTTGTAGGCAAACAGGGCTATGGACAGGTGTGGGGAGGATGGAGTGGGGTGCCAGCCAGGCGGAGCAGCACCAAGACAGACAGAGGTGGGACCCTGGGGGGAAGCTGCAGGAACACACTCCCTAAATCCTGGAAGGCTAACTCTGGAAGGAGGAGCAGGAGGTCTTACTTCCTCCTGGAGGCCCTGGGAGTAGTGAAGGGTTCTGGGCAGGAGAGCAGCATGCAGGAAGGGGGCTGTGGGAGGAAGTCTCCAGGAGGGCCCTGTGGGAGCCTGCCTACCGTGCTGCCACCAGGTGAGCATTGCTTTTTTGCAAATGTTTCCCAGAAAGACAGGCCTTGTCTTCCAGGACAAAACAGGAAGGGCAGGGTCAGGAAGTCAAGTCACATTTAGAAGGAATAGAGCAATAGGCCCCACCTGGTGCAAACCGAAAGGTGTTGGTGGGGGCTGGTCAGCAGAGTTTAGGAAATGAGGACTTGGCAGCCAGCACTGTTAGGCGGAGAGGGTGTTCTCCCCAGCAAGTCCCCTGGAGGGGATGGACCCTCAGCTTGCAGACACCAGCCTGGGGGCGGGGCCCTCACCCCCAGCGCTGTGTCCACACTCAGCGGCTACCTTGGTTGTTCTTTAGCTTCTGCAGTGGATTGAACTGTGCCCCTCAATAGACATGTGTGCCTGGACCCTGTGAATGTGACCTTATTTGGAATAGGGGTCTTTGCAGATGTAATAAGTTAAGGATCTTGAGATGACATCATCTTGGATTTAGGGTGGGCCCTAAACCCAATGACTGGACTCCTGATGAGAGAAAGGGGATTGAGAATGAGATCCAGGCTGGGCACGGTGGCTTGCGCCTGTAATCCCAGCACTTTGGGAGGGTGAGGCGGGTGGATCACTTGAGTCCAGGAGTTCAAGATCAGCCTGGGCAACAAAGTGAGACCCCGTTCCTACAAAAAATTAAAAAATTAGCTGGGTATGGTAGTGAGCGCCGTGCTTGTAGTCCCAGCTACTCTGGAGGCTGAGGCAGGAGAATGGCGCGAACCCGGGAGGTGGAGCTTGCAGTGAGCCGAGATCACGCCACTGCACTCCAGCCTGGGCAACAGAGCGAGACTCCATCTCAAAAAAAAAAAAAAAAAAGAGAGAAAAGATCTAATGTTCAAATACATTTGAGAAACACTGTGTGAAACTAGAAATTTCTTTGCTGAGGAACTTCTCTGAGCCTTTAAGAGGCTAAAGAGCTTTGTGAATCACCAGGGGAGTGGGGGAAGGCCAGTACTGCACACAGCTTTTCCCAGACTTATTTAACCCGGGAACCCTTATGTATTATTCAGCTTGGGCTACCATAACAAAAACCACAGACAGGGTGGCTTAAACAACACAAATTTATATTCTCACAGTTCTGGAAGCTGGAAGTCCAAGATCAAGGTGCCAGCAGGGTTGGTTCTGGTGAGGCCTCTCCTGGCTTGCAGACGACTTCCTTCTCCCTGTGGCCTCACATGTGGCCTTTTTTTCTGAGCACGTGCACTCCTGATGTCTCTTCTTATGAGGACACCAGTCCTACTGAATTAAGGTCTCACCCTTATGACTTCATTTAACCTTAATTACCTCCTTAAAGGTCCTATCTCTAAATACAGTCGCATTGAGGGTTAAGGCTTCAATATATAAATTTGGAGGTGGGGACAAATTGTAGCCCATAGCATCTTACTTCATGGGACTGGTGTCCCCAGATACATCTGGGAAAATGCACATTTAATCACCTTGAACTCTATCCCAGGAGTATGGGATTACTGTTAGTTGGCAAGTGCCTGCCATCCATTCCTGCCTATTTGTAAGGATATCCTTGGTGGTAGAAACAGAGGAGACAGCATGTGGAAGACATACTTTTATCATCTATTTTTTTTGAGACAGGGTCTTGCTCTGTTGCCCAGGCTGGAATGCAGTGGCACCATCTTGTCTCACTGCAAACTCCACCTCCCAGGCTCAAGTGATCCTCCCCCCTCAGCCTCCCAAGTAGCTGGGACTACAGTCATGAGCCACAGTACCTGGCTAATTTTTAAATTTTTCTGTAGAGATCAGGTCTCACTATGTTGCCCAGGCTGGTCTCAGACTCCAAGCTCAAGTGATCCTCCCGTCTTGGCCTCCCAACTTGCTGGGATTATAAGGGTGAGCTGCAGCAACCCGGCCAGATACTTTTTTATAGTCCACGACATTTTGCAGCTCCTTTTTCAAAAGATAGAGTCTATTTTCTCCACTACCTGAATCAGGGCTTGGCCTTATGAGTTGCTTTTGTCAAGGGGACAGTAAGGAGCATGACACAAGCAGAGGCATAGAAAGCATTTGTGTTCATCCCTGAGAGGTCTGAGAATAAAAATAATAGGAAAAGCATTTGTGTGCTGGGGCTTGGCCTCTCTTTCTTCTTTTGGAGCCCAGCTGCCGTGTGAAGTCTGGTCTGCTTGATGAGGAGATTAACCTGGCTCTGGTTGCCCCCACCATCCCAGCCAAATGCAGACATGTGAGTGAGGCCATCTGGGACCCAGACCAACCAGCTGCAGCCCACCTGCCAGCTATGGCCACATAGTGAACCAGGTGAGACCAGCAGAAAAACTGAGGAGGAGGTAGGAGTTGACTCTGGAAGCAGGGCTCAAACACCTGACCAAATTGAGGACTAGCTAAAACAGGTTGGGGGCAGAAGCAGCTTTCCATAAGACCCTCCCACCAGCGTGCCCATGTTAGTTTACCATTGCCATGGCAACATCTGGAATTTACCATCCCTTTCCATGGCAACAAGCCAACAACCCAGAAGTTACCACCCTCATCCTAGAAATTTCTGCATAAACTTTGTTTGTTTGTTTGTTTTGAGATGCAATCTTGCTCTGTCGCCAGGCTGGAGTGCAGTGGTGTAATCTTGGCTCATTGCAACCTCTGCCTCCTGGGTTCAAGTGATTCTCCCACCTCAGCCTCCCAAGTAGCTAGGACTACAGGCGCACACCACCATGCCCAGCTAATTTTTGTATTTTTAGTAGAGATGGGGTTTCACCATGTTGGACAGGATGATGTTGATCTCTTGACCTCGTGATCTGCCCACCTCGGCCTCCCAAAGTGCTGGGATTACAGGCGTGAGCCACCATGCCCAGCCAACTGTTTTTTAATTTGCATGTAATTAAAAGTGGGTATAAATATGAGTGCAGAACAGCCTCTGAGCTGTTATTCTGGGCACCCTGTCTATGGGGCAGCCCCACTCCACTAGGAGCAGTACCTCTGCTGCTGCTGTGCACGGCTGTGTCAATAGAAGTTGCTGTTTAACACCACTGGCTTACCTTTGAATTGTTTCCTGGGCAAAGCCAAGAACCCTCTCAGGCTAAGCCCCAGTTTTTTTTTTTTTTTTTTTTTTTTTGAGACAGAGTCTTGCTCTGTCACCCAGGCTGGAGTGCAGTGGCGCCATCTTGGCTCACTGCAAGCTCTGCCTCCTGGGTTTACGCCATTCTCCTGCCTCAGCCTCCCAAGTAGCTGGGACTACAGGTGCCTGCCACCATGCCTGGCTAATTTTTTGTATTTTTAGTAGAGATGGGGTTTCACCGTGTTAGACAGGATGGTCTCGATCTCCTGACCTCGTGATCCGCCCGCCTCGGCCTCCCAAAGTGCTGGGATCACAGGCATGAGCCACCATGCCTGGCCCTAAGCCCCAATTTTGGGGCTTGCCTATCCTGCATCAGAAACACTCAGCTGAGCCCAACCCAAATATAATAATAATAATAACAATAATAATAATAATAGTAGTTGCTTTTTTTTTGAGACAGAGTCTCACTCTATCACCCAGGCTGGAGTGCAGTGGTACAACCTCAGCTCACTGCAACCTCTGCTTCCTGGGTTCAAGCGATTCTCCTGCCTCAGCCTCCCCAGTAGCTTGGATTACAGGCACCCACCACCACACTTGTCTAATTGTCTAATTTTTGTATTTTTAGTGGAGACAGTTTTCACCCTGTTGGCCAGGCTGGTCTTGAACTCCTGACCTCAAGTGATCTGCCGGCCTTGGACTCCCAAAATGCAGGGATTACAGGCGTGAGCCACAGCCCAGCCGTTGCTTTAAGTTACTCAGTTGTGAGGTGGTTTGTTACATAGTAAGGGCCAACTGATACCAAGCATCTTAGAAGAGACCTGTGACTATCATTGCTTTCTTTTTTTTCTTTTGAGATGGAGTCTTGCTCTATCACCCAGGCTGGAGTGCAGTGGTACGATCTTGGCTCACTGCAACCTCCGTCTCCCAGGTTCAAGTGATTCTCGTGCCTCAGCCTCCCTGAGTAGCTGGGATTACAGGCACCTGCTGCCATGCCTGGCTAATTTTTGTATTTTTAGTACAGATGGGATTTCGCCATGTTGGCCAGGCTGCTTTCGAACTTCTGACCTCAGGTGATCCTCCCACCTGGGCCTCCCAAAGTGCTGGGATTACAGGTGTGAGCCACCGCACCCAGCCGACTATCACTGCTTTCTATGAATGGTTTTCTCTGGCTGCTCCCATCTGCACCAAGTTAACCTTTTCAGTATTATAAAGAAACATTCTTGGATGGGCGTGGTGGCTCACACCTATAATCCCAGCACTTTGGGAGGCTGAGGCAGGCAGATCACCCGACATCGGGAGTTCGAGACCAGCCTGGACAACGTGGTGAAACCCCATCTCTACTGAAAATACAAAAATTAGCTGGGTGTGGTAGCATGCACTTGTAGTCCCAGCTACTCGGGAGGCTGAGGCAGGAGAATCTCTTGAACCGGGGAGGCGAAGGTTGCAGTGAGCCAAGATCGTGTCATTGCCCTCCAGCCTAGGAAACGAGCAAAACTACGTCTCCAAAAAAAAAAGAAAGAAACATTCGTCGTTGCCACCAGTCTTGCTATTAAAGTTTCCTAGCATTTTAAAGACATCAGCATAATGAGTATCAGGTGAAAAGTCTTAAAATTAATACCCCACAAAAATAGGATGTGAGCTTTATTAGGCCAACTCCTGAAATTACCCATATGGATTGTCTCAGAGGAAATTCAAAACATGTTTTAAATTATGGAATGTGTTTAACATGTAAAAACTGGTCTTGCTTGAATACTCTTGAATATCCCACTGGAAGGAGCTGGTGGAACACTCAGGTTTTACTTGCAAAAAATTTTCCTGAAAGAAATGGCATCATCTTCTGAAAACCAAACTGATAAGACTGTCTTGGTAGGGTTGGGCAGGGGCAAGAGAGTGGGGGTGGGTGGGAGGAGCCCTGGATATGGGGAGAAACCCAGATGTCCTCCCCAGCCAGATCCAGCTCTCTGCTGCCTCCAAGTGCTGGTTCGATGGCATCTCAGGAGAGCGCAGCCTGTGATTCTATGGGATGGCTGATCCCTCAGACTTGAGTCTGAACCCCAGACCCCAAGTGGCAAGGTGAATAGGAGGTCTGTGCTCTGTACCTCACTCCCACCCTTACCCCAAAAGCTGCCCATTCACTGTCATGCCACAAGGTGTCCGGTGACAGGAGATCAGGAATCATTAGCAACCACTGCCTCTTCCAGAGCAATTTAATTTTGGGGTCCGGTTAGCATTGTATTCAATACACAGAAGGTCATCCAAACCCCCCACTAAGTGTGAGTTCCATCTGCAGTAATTATATAACAGTTGAATTGCACTGAAATTGAACTTTTTGTTTTTGTTTTGTTTTGGTGGTCAAATACACATAAAACGTACCATTTTAAAGTGCAGAATTCAGTGGTATTAAGACCATTCACAATATTGTGCGACCATCACCACTACTTAGTCCCAGAGCTTTTTCATCACCGGATGGCAACCCATACCCATTAAGCAGCCACTGTATTTGACTTTTGACATAAGGTTACAATTCCTAGACACTTAAACATCTATTAACTTTGAAATGGCATTTTAATTTTTATATTTGGAGTCAATTAATTTTTTTTTATATGGAGATTCACTCTTGTTGCCCAGGCTGGAGTGCAGTGGTTCGATATCAGCTCATTGCAACCTCCACCTCCTGGGTTCAGTGATTCTCCCGCCTCAGCCTCCCGAGCAGCTGAGATTACAAGCACATGCCACCACATCCTGCTAATTTTTGTATTTTTAGTAGAGATGGGGTTTCACCATGTTGGCCAGGCTGGCCTTGAACTCCTGACCTCAGGTGATCCACCTGCCTCGGCCTCCCAAAGTGCTGGGATTACAGGTGTGAGCCACTGCACCCGGCCAAGAGTCAATTAATTTTTTAAAAGTCACACACATTTTCACAGGACCTTCAAAGCTGTAGGCTTAGGTCTATGCCTGGAGGGTCTGGGTCGGAGGAGGCCAGAAGAGCCCCTCTCTACTCCCACCTCCCCATCCCACCATGGGCTTCTGGGACTTGGGCCCTACTGTCTTCCCCACAGTAGCCCTGCCTCCCTACATCACACTGCCATTGGCCAGTGATTCTTCTCAATATCCCCATGCAGTATAATGATTTTTCCAAAATATGAAAGTATTACATGGCATTATAGATAAGCTGGAACGTGTAGATGAGCATAAAGGGGAATAGCCACCCTCCCCAATTCTACCCCCTTGAGAGAACCACTGTTAACATGTGGGCATGCTTTTCCCTCAATCCCTTTTTCTAGAGAAAATCGCCACTCAATTCTGGGCTTTCTGCATTTTATTTTTTAAAAAGTGCCCAAGTGCCGGGCATGGTGGCTCACGCCTGTAATCCCAGCAATTTTGCAGGCTGAGTTGGGCGGATCATCTGAGGTCAGGAGTTCGAGACCAGCCTGGCCAACATGGTGAAACCCCATCGCTACTAAAAATACAAAAATTAACTGAGTGTGGTGGTGTGTGCCTGTAATCTCAGCCACTCAGGAGGCTGAGGCAGGAGAAATGGGCAGCAGAGTGAGACTCCATCTAAAAAAAAAAAAAAAAAGCCAAAAGTAACCATTCAAATGACCATACTTCAGCCAATATATATACAAGTCATATTTGCATTTACAATATTGAGATCCTGATGTACTTTCACTTTTAAACTTTGCTTTTGTTCACTTATGAAAATGATATTTTGAGCAATTTTTATCTTTAAACAATTTTAATAGCTGTATAAACTTAAATATAAATTTAATACAGTTTAAGATATAACTTTAATAGCTGCAGGCTGGGCACAGTGGATCATGCCCGTAATCTCAACACTTTGGGAGGCCAAGGCAGGTGAATCACCTGAGGTCAAGAGTTCGAGACCAGCCTGGCCAACATGGTGAAACCCTGTCTCTACTGAAAATACAAAAATTAGCCGGGCGTGGTGGTGGGTGCCTGTAATCCCGGCTACTCGGGAGGCTAAGGCAGGAGAATCGCTTGAACCCAGGAGGCGGAGGTTGTAGTGACTCAAGATCGCGCCATTGCACTCCAGCCTGGGCAACAAGAGCAAGACTCTGTCTCAAAAAAATAAAAATATGTAATCCCAGCACTTTGGGAGGCCGAGGTGGGTAGATCACGAGGTTAGGAGATTGAGACCATCCTGGCTAACATGGTGAAACCCCGTCTCTACTAAAAACACAAAAAATTAGCCGGGTGTGGTGGCTCGCGCCTGTAATCCCAGCTACTCAAGAGGCTGAGGCAGGAGAATCCCTGGAACCCGGGAGGTGGAAGTTTCAGCGAACTGAGATGGCACCACTGCACTCCAGCCTGGGCAACAGAAAGAGACCCCATCTCAAAAAATAAAAATAAAATTAAAATATAAAAAATAAAAATAAAAATAAAAAAATAAAAAAAATTACTAGCTACATTCTCATCATATAGGCACATCATACTTTATTTAACCAATTTATCATAGGATGTTTTTTAGTCAGTTTTCACAGGGTTAAGCTGTGATAACAAACCATCCCAACATCTCAGTGGCTCACAATGATAAAGGCTTATTTCTTGCCTGTTTTTCATTTTTTAAATTTTATTTATTTTTTCAAGACAGAGTCTCACTCTGTCACCCAGGCTGGAGTGCAGTGGCGTGATTTCGCCTCACTGGAACCTCTGCCTCCTGGGTTCAAGTGATCCTCCTGCCTCAGCCTCCCAAGTAGCTGGGATTACAGGTGCCCGCTGCCACACCCGGCTCATTTTTGTATTTTTATTTTATTTATTTATTTATTTATTTTTTTATTTTTTGGAGATGGAGTCTCGCTCTGTCACTCAGGCTGGAGTGCAGAGGCATGAACTCGGCTCACTGCAAACTCCGCCTTCCAGGTTCAAGCAATTCTCCTACCTCAGCCTCCCAAGTAGCTGGGATTACAGATGTGTGCCACCATGCCCGGCTAATTTTTGTATTTCACTTGAGACGGTGTTTCACCATGTTGGCCAGGCTGGTCTCGAACTCCTGACCTCAGGTGATCCGCCTGCTTCAGCCTCCCAAAGTGCTGGGATTATAGGCGTGAGCCACTGTGCCTGGCCCATTATTATTATTATTATTATTATTATTATTATTATTATTATTATTTTTACAGTCCAGAGGTCTGTTATTTTTTTTAACACCTATTATGCCATGAATTCATAAGGAAGAGGTTCCAGCAGCTCAGGGTCCTTCCCACTGGTTCTCACAAAGTGAGCAGGCTGGCGCTTCGGTTGAACCCAGGTATCTTTCTCTGGCTTCTTTCTTTTTCTGATAATTTTCATTCATGTGTTTCAGGAAGCTATCTCGGCTCTTAGAGTGCTTAACGTGCTCAATACGCACATTAATTGTCTTGGCAAGAATGTTGCCCTGAACTTGTTTGTTTACAATGCCAACAGCATGCTGGGGAACACTGTAGACTCTTCCAGTTTTGCCATGGTGACACTTGTGGGGCATTCCTTTTTGAACAGTACCGTTCCCTTGGTGTCCACAATATCACCTTTCTTATAGATTCGCATATACATGGCCAAAGGAACAACTCCAGGTTTTCTAAAAGGCCTGGAGAACCTATATCGGGTACCTCTCCTCTTTCCCTTTGTGTTCGTAATTTTGGCGAATTACAGGAAGATGGCTACAGGAAGATGGCGGTTCTGGCCAAAAGGAGTCATTTTTGTATTTTTAGTAGAGATGGGGTTTCTCCATGTTGGCCAGGCTGGTCTCAAACTCCTGGCCTCAGGTGATCTGCCTGCCTTGGCTTCCCAAAGTGCTGGGATTACAGGCGTGAGCCCCCGCTCCAGGCCTGTTTTCTTTCTTTCTTCTTCTTTTTTTTTTTTTTTTGAGACGGAGTTTTGCTCTTATTGCCCAGGCTGGAGTGCAATGGCACTCTCTCGGCTCATCGCAACCTTCACTTCCCAGGTTCAAATGATTCTCCTGCCTCAGCCTCCCGGGTAGCTGGGGCATGTGCCACCATACCTGGCTAATTTTTGTATTTTTAGTAGAGACGGGGTTTCTCCATGTTGGTCAGGCTGGTCTCGAACTCTCAACCTCAGGTGATCCGCCCGCCTCGGCCTCCCAAAGTGCTGGGATTACAGGTGTGAGCCACCGCGCCCAGCCTGTTTTTCATTTCTTTTGTAGGCTAGTTGTGGCTGGGCTCTTCTTGGCTGTGTGTCAGGTGTGGTTGTAATTCTTCTTCATTCTAGACTGCAAGCCAAAGCAACAGCCCCCATGTGGGATACAGTCTTGTGGCCAAGGACAAGAGCAAGTGAGCAATGGCACTCAGTTTCTGCTCTGAAGGGGCACGGCTCATGTCCACACATGTGCCCTTGGCAAAGGCCATCATGGGATCAGTGGGGCTGGATGAATACTCCTTCCCCATAAGAGAGAAGGTGGACTCAGCTTTCAGGAAGGGGGAGTGAATGATTGGGAACAATAATACAATCTTCCACAGATGTTTCCATGTTTAAACGATCAGGGAAGAGCTGTTGATTTCTCATTTTCAATGTCATTAGAGCATATATATACTTTTTTTTTTCAGACAGGGTCTCCCTCTGTTGCCAGGCTAGATGGTGTGCGGTGGCACAATCTCAGCTCACCGCAACTTCTGCCTCCCAGGCTTAAGCGACCCTTCTGCTTCAGTCTCCCAAGAAGTTGAGACTACAGGCATGCACCACCATGCCCAGCTAATTTTTGTATTTTTTTTTTTTAGTAAAGTTAGGGTTTCACCATGTTGGCTAGGCTGGTCTCAAACTCCTGGGCTCGAGATCCGCCTGCCTCAGCCTCTCAAAGTGTTGGGATTATAGGCATGAGCCACTGTGCCCCGCCACATCTTATATAATTTTATGTATTTATTTATTATGTATTTATTTATCTTTACTTTTCTTTCTTTTTCTTGTTTTTTTTTTTTTTGAGACGGAGTCTTGCTCTGTCGCCCAGGCTGGAGTGCAGTGGCGCGATCTCAGCTTACTGCAAGCTTCGCCTCCTAGGTTCAAGCAATTCTCCTGCCTCAGCCTCCCATGTAGCTGGGAATACAGGCGCTGGCTGCCACACGCGGCTAATTTTTTTTTGTATTTTTAGTAGAGACAGGGTTTCACCATGTTGGTCAGGCTAGTCTCAAACTCCCAACCTCAGGTGATCCTCCCGCCTCAGCCTCCCAGAGTGTTGGGATTACAGGCGTGAGCCACCGTGCCCGGCTCAGGTAATGTTTTTTAAAGCCAAATAATTCTATAGGGCTTATTAAAAAAACAAAAACAAACAAAAAACCCAGCAGCTTCCTCCACCCAAATTACCACACCTCAACCAGTTGATAAGGAATTTTTTTCAGTCTTACTGTGTGCCAGGAATTGTGCTAATTTTCCCAAGTATATCACTTAATCTTTACACCTACCCCAGGAGGTAAATTATGAAATTTGGCTGAAGAAGCAACTTCTTACCATCAGGGGGCAGACTTGGGACAGGAACCCAGGACGCTGACTCCAGATGCAGAGAGCAAAACTTGAGCCTCAGCAGTTCTCAAGGCATGGTCCTAACCTAGCAGTAGAGTGTCGCTGGAGACTTCCTAGGCATGCGTGTTCTTGGGCCTGCCGCTGCCTGGCTGACTTGGGAACTCGGGCTGGGCCCAGCTGTCTGAGTTGCAATCAGCAGTGAGGAGACTCTGGGAGACACCAACGATTGACCACTGGGCTCTCCTTGACAGCCGGCTTTCCTTCCTGCCCAGGAAGGCACCCTGAGCCCCTTCCGTTTCCCCCTTTCCCTGACTTCAGTGACAGCCCCATCTGCCTGCTGGACGCAGATGAGAGCCACTGGAGATGCTGCCCTGCCCCTCCCAGCTTCAGGGACTACTCCAACTGCCCCAGCGCCTGTCTGCAGCATGGCCTCAGGGTGCTTGTGTGAGGGCCAGAGCCCCTCCCTCACAGTGAGTGGGGGTTCCTGGTCCGCAGTTGGGGTCTGTGTATTGGAGAATCCGGCGTCGGGCGGAGGTGGAATGTGATTCCGAGGGGAAGGTCTCAAGTCATGGGCGCTTCTGGACTAGAACGGGGAAAGCCTAGGGTGAGAGAGTTAGGAAAGGGGTCCCAGGCCAGGAGAGGAAGGAGCACCCACGGTCAGGTGGGAAACCCTCGGGACTGTCCTCCTGAGGGGTTTTTCTGAACAGACTGTGTGTGCCTCAATGGAGTGTCTTGGAAACAGCAGGAGAGGTGCCCACTCTCCTCCCTGCCTGAAGCCTGGTGGCCCCTCTGCCCTGGGACACTTGCTCTGGACTTTGAAGTTGGCTGGGCCCTCTTGGGTCTGTGTTCCCGGGAGACCATGAAGGACCTGGCCTGCTGGGTGGTCTAAGACCCGTTAAGACACAGGCCCAGGGCCTGGGGAATCCACCCAGCAACTGGGTTTGGAGCCGGGCCCTTCAGGGGCTTGCCGAGGAGGAGCAAAACCAGGACACCAGAGCCTGGGCTGATGGTCGAATTCATCCGGTCTAGATATCAGCTGTTTCAGATCGAGTCACTTCATTTGGTAACTGTACCCATTTCATTTGGTTCTCTCATGGGCATTCATTTAAAACATCACTTTCAGCCGGTTGCAGTGGCGCACACCTGTAATCCCAGCACTTTGGGAGGCCGAGGTGGGCGGATCACTTGAGGTCAGGAGTTTGAGACCAGCCTGGCCAAAATGGTGAAACCCTGTCTCTACTAAAATATGAAAAATTAGCTGGGCATGGTGGCACGTGCCTGTAATCCCAGCTACTCGGGAGGCTGAGGGAGGAGAATTGCTTGAACCCAGGAGGCAGAGATTGCAGTGACCCGAGATCGCACCGCTGCACTCCAGCCTGGAAGACAGAGCGAGACTCGGTCTCAAAAAAACAAAAACAAAAACAAAAAACAACATCACTTTTGAGCCAGACCTCTGGACCCTTGACCTTCCATGACCCCCTGGCCTGACCAAGCAGTGCCCCTGGTGTGTCTCTCATCTCTACCTCCAGCTAAGCTGGGTATTTATATTTTCCATCTAGGAAACAAGTGGAATAAATACCAAGCCTATGAATGTTAGAAATTTCCAAATTAAGTTCATTGCTGAGCTTTAGAGGGCTTACTTTTGGCCCCCAATTTCCACTCTTGGTGGGTTTAATCTCAGCCCTTGAGGGCTCTCTCCTTCCAGGTCATTCCCGTGCTGAGGCCAGGGTGGGTGGGCAGCAGGTCCCCAGTCAGTAACCCACACCATGGCTGCAAGATTCTCTTTGGCTGTTTTTTTTTTTGTTTTTTGTTTTTTGTTTTTTGTTTTTGAGACAGAGTTTCACTCTTGGTGCCCGGGCTGGAGCGCAATGGCATGATCTTGGCTCACTGCAACCTCTGCCTCCAGGGTTCAAGTGATTCTCCTGCCTCAGCCTCCTGAGTAGCTGGGATTACAGGCGTGTGTCACCACGCCTGGCTAATTTTTGTATTATTATTATTTTTTGAGACAGAGTTTTGCTCTTTGTTGCCCAGTCTAGAGTGCAGTGGTGCAATCTCAGCTCACTGCAACCTCTGCCTCCCGGGTTCAAGCAATTCTCCTGTCTCAGCCTCCCGAGTAGCTGGGATTACAGGCGCCCACCACCATACCTGGCTAATTTTTGTATTTTCAGTAGAGACAGGGTTTCACCATGTTGGCCAGGCTGGTCTCAAACTCCTGACCTCATGATCCACCTGCCTCGGCCTCCCAAAGTATTGGGATTATAGGCGTGAGCCACGACACCCAGCCTTTTATTTATTTATTTATTTATTTTGAGACAGTATCTCACTCTGTTACCCAGGCTGGCAGGCTGGAGTACAGTGGCAGATCTCTGCTCACAGAAGCCTTGACCTCCCAGACTCAAGCAATTCTCCCACCTTACCCTCCCAAGTAGCTGGGACTACAGGTGCACAACACCATGCTCAGCTAATTTTTGTACTTTCTGTAGGTTTTGCTGTGTTGCCCAGGCTAGTCTTGAACTCCTGACCTCAAGTGAGCGGCCTACCTCATCCTCCCAGAGTGTTGGGATTGGAGGCATGAGCCACTGTGCCCAGCCTCTCTTTGTCTTTCTGCCAGATTCTTGAAGGTCAGCTGCTCCCCACAGCTTGGGGCTGCCCTTGGGCCTCAGGACTTCTTTGACGTGGCCCTGGGTCCTCTTCCTGGATGTCTCAGGGCAACAGCATCCCTCTCTTCGTCTCGCCTCATGTCCAGGAGCAGGACCCAGGAAACAGGCCCCCTGCCCTCCTACTCTCGCTGCTCCTTACCTCCCCCCTGCCCATCTTTCCCTCCTGTCCTCTAACTGGGGGGAGAGGACCAGAGGACCTTGTCCCCTGCTTCCAGTCAGACACTCTGCCCTTCTTTCCTTCTACTTGCTCAGTAAACCCTCCAAGTTCTCCTGAGACCTTCAGCTTTAAGAAAACAAAAGCCAGAAGGACCTTCAGGGAGGAAGAGGCCCTGCAGAGTGGGTGGCCTGGGGTGGCGTGGGAGGGCAGAGGCGGAGACAGCTGGGAGGCTGAATCAACAGGACTTACTGTCTGTGGATGGTGAGGAGAGGAAGACGTCAAAGCCGAGCCAGAGAGTCCAGGAGGTCCAAACTGGAGACGTGAAGAAGCTGTCCTCTTCATGGGGAAAGTGAAAGCTGCGGCCTCGCCTGTGGGCGTGTCCAGAGGACCATGGAAAGGACAGTGGTGGGAAGAAGCAGGGCCAGGGGAAGAGCTGAGCCTGGATGCTGGGCCTGGAGGGAGGGCAGGGGCAGCCTTGGTAAGGACCACCCTGCGGAGTGAGAAGGGAGCCTGCAGAGGGAGGGCAGAGGGCCAGGCCTCGCATGAAGACTGCTTTATTTAGGGGATGGAGGCAGAGGAGCGGGAGAAAGGGCTGGGAAGGCTTACAAATAGTGGACAGGGACCAGCCTGGCCCACAGCCCCACGCGGGCAGTGGGTGGGAAAAGGAATCGAGATGTCAGTGTGTCTCCAGTGAGCCCTGTGTGCAGTTGGTGCTGGGCATGGGTGTGTTGGCTCAGTATGAGGGCTGAGTATGTGCTGGCTGAGTACACAGACGAAGGAAGGAAATGTGTGAGTCTGGTGAGGCTGCTGCAACAAACTGCCACAGACTGGGGGGCTCAAAACATAGCAATGAATTTTTTCACGGTTCTGGAGGCTTGAAGTCCAAGATCAAGGTGTCAGCCGGACTGGCTTCTTTGGAAGCCTCTCTCTGGCTTGTAGATGGCCACCTTCTCTGCTTCTTCACGTGGACTTCCCTCTATGAGTGTCTGTGTCCTGATCTTGGTTTTGTTTTTTTTTTTTTTTTGAGATGGAGTCTTGCTCTTGTCACCCAGGCTGGAGTGCAATGATGCGATCTCTGCTCACTGCAACCTCTGCCTCCCAGTCTCAAGCAATTCTTCTGCCTCAGCCTCTTGAGTAGCTGGGACTACAAGTGCACGCCACCACACCCAGCTAATTTTTGTATTTTTAGTAGAGATGGGGTTGTGCCATGTTGACCAGGCTGGTCTCAAACTCCTGACCTCAGGTGATCCGTGCACCTTGGCCTCCCAAAGTGCTGGGACTATAGGCATGAGCCACCATGCCTAGTCCTGATCTTGTCTTCTTATAAGGACTCCAGTCATATTGGATAGAGCCCGCTCCCATGACCTCATTTAACTCTACTTCTTCAAAGATCCTATGTCCAAATACAGTCATACTAATTGAGGGTTAGGACTTCAGCTTATGAATTTTGGGATGACAATTCTGCCCATAACGAGGAGCATCTACATATTGTCAGGGAGAGAAAATATACACACTTAAGTAATGGACAAGATAGTGTACAGTTATTTGCTAAACTGTGTGCTATAAACAAATGAGAAAATAAGAAAGTATATAAGAAATGACTACACATGGAGACACTGAAGAAAATATAGTTCAATAATGCTTTGAACCCTCAACCAGCTTTAAATAAGAGCAGAAAATCTCTGGGTGCTGGGAATACAAAGGGAACATAAAATGAGAGAGTTAGTGGGAGGAGAAGTTGAAATGGCTCATGGAGTTTTGGAGCCAGATGTTGGCCTTCAATGCTTTGGGCAGGGGTTTTGAAATTACAAAGGGGACCAAGAAATTAGCATAACTGGCACATCTCGGCAGCTTGAGAGAGGCAAATGCAAAGCCTCTCTGTAGGATTGTTTCTACAATTTAGGAATGAGAGACTCCCATGGAAAGCATCCCCCACTGAGTTGAGCTCACAAGGGGTCAAAAATTAGAAAAGCAACAGTCAGAAGGAAATAGGAAGAATAGCCTCCCAAGGAATATAATTAATAGAAAAATCTAAAATGTACTCTAATGCAAAGTGTTTAAAGTGTTCACAGGAAAAAAAAAAGAGCTATAAACCATAATGTAAGGACTGAATAAAATGAAAACAGGATAGGCAGATTTGAAAAATAATTAAACAAAAGTTATAGCTATAAAAATACAACTACAGAACAGGAAAAAACATCATTGGATGAGTGAAATGGTATTTTAGACACAGCCAAAGAAAGAATTAGTGAATTAGAAAACAAAGCTGAAGAAATTTTCCAGAATGCATCACAATGAGGTAAAGAAATGGAGTTGGGAGGAGAGAATGAAATGATGCAGCAGCCATTAAACAAGAGTTCCAGAGGAAGAGAATAACAGAATGAGAGAGTTCATACTTGAGGAGCTAGAAATGGCCAAACCTGTGCTAAATAATGTAAATAAGTGTTACATAATTAAAACAAGAAAAGAAAAAGACCAATTTCACTTTAATGCAACCACTTATAATAGAAGACCCATATAGTGCTTGCTACATGCCAGGCATTGTTTTAAGCACTTTACATATATTAACTTGTTTTCTAGAAAATAATACTTCAGGGCTGGGCATAGTAGCTCACACCTGTAATCCCAGGGCTTTGGGAGTCTGAGGCAGGAAGATTGCTTGAGGCCAGGAGTTTGAGATCAGCCTAGGCAACATAGTGAGAACCTGTCTCTACAATTTTTTTTTTTTTTTTTAATTAGCCAGGCATGGTAGTACTTGCCTGTAGTCCTAGCCACTCGGAGGCTGAGGTGGGAACCCAGGAGCTTGAGGCTGCAGTGAGCTATGATCATGCCACTGCACTCTAGCCTGGGTGACAGAGAGCAAAACCCTGTCTTTAAAAAAGTTTTTTAAAATAAAAAAAGAAGATAATACCACAAAGATGAGAGGAGATTGGCATTAAAATATTCTAAGTTCATTATATTATTTGAGAAAAATATGGAGATTTTAATATGTTTAAATATCGGTTCCTTCTGTATGAAGAGGAATAAATATTGAACTCAACTTGATTTCTTTTTTCTTTTTTTTTTTTTTTTTTTTTGAGATGGAATTTCACTCTTGTTGCCCAGGCTGGGGAGCAATGGTGTGATCTTGGCTCACTGCAATCTCCATCTTCCAGGTTCAAGTGATTCTCCTGCGTCAGCCTCCCCAGTATCTGGGATCACGGGCATGAGCCACCACACCCGGGTAATTTTGTATTTTTAGTGGAGATGCCGTTTCACCATGTCAGCCAGGCTGGTCTTGAACTCCTGACCTCAGGTGATCCACCTGCCTTGGCCTCCCAAAGTGCTGGGATTATAGGCGTGAGCCACTGCTCCTGGACAACTTGATTTCTTTCTTTTCTTTCTTTTTTTTTTTTTAGATGGAGTTTTGCTCTTGTTGCCTAGGCTGGCGTGCAATGGTGCGATCTCAGCTCACCGCAACCTCTAGCTCCCGGGTTCAAGCAATTCTCCTGCCTCAGCCTCCTGAGTAGCTGGGATTACAGGCATGCACCATCATGCCCAGCTAATTTTGTATTTTTAGTAGACACGGGGTTTCTCCATGTTGTTCAGGCTGGTCTTGAACTCCCGACCTCAGGTGATACACCCGCCTTGGCCTCTCACAGTGGTGGGATTACAAGCGTGAGCCACCACGCCCAGCCCCAACTTGATTTCTTAATGATGATCACTGGACCTCCTTCTGCTCCCTGCCTTCTGGGTACTTGGCAGGATGACATTTCCTGGCTGTCTTACCATTGATTAGACGGAGCCATGGGGCTAGTTCTGGCCAATGAGTAGAAGTGATTTGACATCCAGGCTAAATATTTAGTTACCAGTACCCTCCAGGGCTCTAATAGAGTGATGTTCAACATGGTGGTTACTCCATCAGCATCAGCCCATCGGTGACATAGATAAGAAGAATACCCCTCTTGTCTCCCTGTAGAGACCCTGAGAAAGAAAAACTTTTATTGTGTTCAGGGCTGGACTAGAAGCTTCATAGTATCACCAGAGACTCATGTTTCCTCTGCCTTTCAGCTCTGCCATTCTTAGGGTGTGATGTCTAGCCTCCAGATCACTTCAGGGTCCATGATAGCTGCTGGACCTCCAGCCATCACATCTGTATTCTAGAAAGGAATTAGGAGATGGAGGCTAAGGAGAAGGTATAAAAATAGCTTTCATCAGCTGTCTGTCCCCAACCCTCTCTTTATTTTTTATTTTTTTGTAGCAACGGGGTCTCATCATGTTGCCCAGGCTGGCCTGAGCTCAAGTGATTTGCCTGCCGCACCCTTCCAAAGTGCTGGGATTACAGATGTGAGCCACTGTGCCCGGCTAGCCTCTTTTTTTTTTTTTTTTTTTTTTTTTGAGACGGAGTTTCACTCTTGTTGCTCAGGCTGGAGTGCAATGGCACGATCTCCCCGCTCACTGCAACCTCTGCCTCCCAGGTTCAAGTGATTCTCCTGCCTTAGCCTCCCGAGTAGCTGGGATTACAGGCATGCACCACCACGCCTGGCTAATTTTGTATTTTTAGTAGAGACAGGATTTCTCCATGTTGGTCAGGCTGGTCTCGAACTCCTGGCCTCAGGTGATCTGCCTGCCTCGGCCTCCCAAAGTGCTGGAATTACAGGTGTGAGCCACCGCGCCTGGCCTTTTTTTTTCTTTTGAGATGGAGTTTTGCTCTTGTTGCCCAGGCTGGAGTGCAAAGGCACGATCTTGGCTCACTGCACCCTCCGCCTCCCAGGTTCAAGCGATTCTCCTGCCTCAGCCTCCCGAGTAGCTGGGATTACAGGTGCCCGCCACCATGCTTGGCAAATTTTTGTATTTTTAGTACAGGCAAGATTTTACCATGTTGGCCAGGCTAGTCTTGAACTCCTGACCTCAGGTGATCCACCTGCCTTGGCCTCCCAAAGTGCTAGGATTATAGGCATGAGCCACTGTGCCCAGCCTCCCTCTCTCTCTCTCTCTTTTTTTTTTTTTTTAGAGACATAGTCTCCTTCTGTTGCCCAGGCTGGAGTGCAGCGGCTATTCACAAGCATGATCTAGCTTACTACAGCCCAGAACTCCTAGGTTCAAGCAATCCTCCAAGCAACTGTGTATGTCTCTCTTAAACCGTTTCCTCATAAGTCCCACTCTACAACCTCTGAATGGCCTCCTGTAGTTGGGAAATGTAGTCATTTAGCTGAGACATGCAGTGTAAATGGTCACTTGGAAAAACAAACAGTCTAGGATCTGTCAGTCAGGAAATAGGGAGAGAGGAAATGACATTGGGTGGGCAGCCTGCAGCCTCTGCCACAGGTCCCAGCCCAAATCTCCTCTCATCTCTCGCAGTCCAGGTTCCACTGAGAAGCCACGGTGATTGTTTAATTTTAAGGCAATACGTGTACATGGTTAAAAAAATCTAGCAGTGTAGCTGATATGATGGTAAAATCCATCCCCTTTTCACCCCATTCCCCACCCTCCCACCCCAGAAACAATCTCTTAAATTTTCTACATGAGGATGAGACCACATCCCTTCCGTGACTCTCGGAGTTGGCCCCTGGGCCCTGCCTTCCTGTCTGCCTTCAGCTCAGGCAGTCCAAACTGGCTTACTTCAGTTCCACCTTGTTCAGTGGCGAGGTTTTCTCCTCGGGCTCCAACCTGTATGTGTCTGAGTCTGCCTCCCACCAGTCAGGAGCTTAAAACTCTCGGACAGCTGCGTGCCAATGCCATCAACCACTAAGGGACAAAATGGGGCCAGCCTAGGGCACCGTGGGAAAATGGGGAGGGACTCTGACCCAAACGTGAGTGAACTTAGGAGCTGAGGAGCCATTCATTCATTCAGGGTACATCAGGTGCTACCTCCTGTGGGCCTGGTACTAGGGAGACACAAGAGAGTAAGTTGGGCCTGTTCTCCTGGAACTTACAGACCAGAGGGGGAAGACAGACAATAAATAGGAAAATAAGCAAACAGAAAAAGATAGTTAGTTTCACATTGTCATTCCTCTGCTTTTCAGTTCTGCCATTCTTAGGGTGTGATATCTAGCCTCCAGAGCACTTTAGGGTCCATGATAACTGCTGGACCTCCAGCCATCACATCTGTATTCCAGAAAGGAAGTAGGAGATGGATGCTCATCTCTCCTACTGTTGTAGGAGAACAGGCTCATCTCATTCTCTTGTGTTCATTGTTCCAAAAGGACATACACAGAAGATGTTATAGAAGGTTTGGGGGCAAGATGTCAGGACACGTGGTCAGAGCCCTAATGGATGAGAAGGTGCTGGGCAAAGAGCCAGGGAAAGGGAATCTCAGCAGGGCAAACAGCACATGCAAACGCCCTGAGGTGTCAGAGAGTGACCTGGCAGGGGCACAAGAAAGGAGAAGGGGAGTAGAGGTGGGCAGGGCTGGGCCACAGGCTGTGTTGGGCACTGGGTTTATTCTGAGGGTCCTCAGGAGGATTTTCAGCAGACAGTGGCGTGATCTGGTCTGATTTATGGGAGAGCTGGACTTTGCAAGTCCTTCAAGTGGTTTCTGTAATTTTCCATTTACAGTGTGGACTTGGGATAGCTTTGTGGGGATTATTTTTGGTTCTCTGGCCATTTTGGTCAAACCAACAGCAGAATGCGTTTTCCAAGCATGGAGCAGCAGGGCAACTTTCAGCAAATGCCCCACCTGCTCCTCCATGACCTCGAGGGCCGTCTCCCCTGGAGACACCCACACCCTCCGAATGGTGGACTCCATGCTCTTGGCACACGGACACCCAGCACCTCGCATGCCTGCCTTCCATGAAGGGTAGATGTATCCCTGTGGGCTCTGCAGAGAGACAGAACCAACAGGACATGCACACATGCATGTGTATGTATACATATGTGTATATCTACATATATTATTTATTTCAAGGTGTTGGCTCATGTGATTGTGGGGCTGGCAGGCTGGAGTCTCAGGCAGGAGTTGATGCTGCAGCCTTTTTTTTTTTTTTTTTTTTGAGATGGAGTCTCACTCTATTGTCCAGGCTGAAGTGCAGAGGTGTGATCTCAGCTCACTGTAACCTCTGCCTTCCAGGTTCAAGCAATTCTGACACCTCAGCCTGCTGAGCAGCTGGGATTACAGGCACGCACTACCACACCCAGCTAATTTTTGTATTTTTAGTAGAGACAGATTTTCACTATGTTGCCCAGGCTGGTCTCAAACTCCTGAGCTCAAGTGATCTGTCCACCTCGGCCTCCCGAAGTACTGGGATTATAGGTGCGAGCCACTGCACCTGGCCAGTGCTGCAGTCTCGAGGCAGAATTTCTTCTCTGGGAAAAGCCTCAGTTTTTGCTCTTCAAACCTTCAACTGATTGGATGAGGCCCACCCACATTTTTGCAAGTCATCTTCTTTACTTAAAGCCAACTCATTATAACACCTACTCTCTACCCACAAAATTTAAAATTAATAAATAGGCCAGGTGTGGTGGCTCGCACCTGTAATCCAAGCACTTTGAGAGGCCGAGGTGGGCAGATCGCTTGAGCTCAGGAGTTTGAGACCAACCCGGGCAACATGGTGAGACCCTGTCTCTACCAAAGAAAATACAAAAATTAGCTGGGCATGGTGGGATGTGCCTGTAATTCCAGCTCCTCGGGAGGCTAATGTGGGAGGATTGCTTGAGCCCAGGAGGTCAAGTTTGCAGTGAGCCATGATTGTGCTGCTGCACTTCATCCTGAGTGACAGAGTGACAGCCTGTCTCAAAATAAATAAATAAATAAATAAAGTAATTAATTAATTAAATGCAAAAAGAAAGTCAACTTATGGTAGATGGTAGTTACATTTACAAAATACCTTCACAGCAGCACCTAGATTAGTGTTTGAATTAATAACTGGGTACCGGCAGCCACAGAGGCTCACGCCTCTAATCTCAGCATTTTGGGAGGCCAAGGCGAGCAGATCACTTGAGTTCAGGGATTTGAGACCAACCTGGCCAACATGGTGAAACCTCATCTCTACTAAAAAAATAAAAATCAGCTGGGTGCGATGGCTCACGCCTGTAATCCCATCACTTTGGGCGGCTGAGGCGGGTGGATCACGAGGTCAGGAGATTGAGACCATCCTGACTAACACGGTGAAACCCCATCTCTACTAAAAATACAAAAAAAAAATTAGCTGGACGTGGTGGCGGGCACCTGTAGTCCCAGCTACTCGGGAAGCTGAGGCAGGAGAATGGCGTGAACCCGGGAGGCAGAGCTTGCAGTGAGCCGAGATCGCGCCACTGCACTCCAGCCTGGGCGACAGAGTGAGACTTTATCTCAAAAAAATAAAAAATAAATAAATAAACGAATAAAAAATTAAAAAAATAAAAATTAACTGGATGTAGTGGTGCGCACCTGTAGCCCCAGCTACTTGGGAGGCTGAGGCAGGAGAATTGCTTGAAGCTGGGAGGTGGAGGTTGCAGTGAGCCAAGATTGTGCCATTGCACTCTAGCCTGGGCAACAAAGTGAGACTCTGTTTCAAAACAACAACAACAAAAACAAACAAACAAAAACTGGGTACTAGTTATTAGCTTGGCCTAGCCAAGTTGGCATGTAAAACTAACATCTCAGTAAAATATATAAAACATAAAATCAAAATCCTTATTATATGATCAACTCCTGCAATCTTTGAGCCAGCCTGAGGCTCTCTGGTGTTGTTGCTCTGAGCAACCCTGTATGTGAGTGTTGGGAACATTAACATTGACCAACTGTCTTTGGGTTGAAGATGAGGGCGTTTGACGGAGGCTGAACAGGGCTGAATTTGTGAAAGAATAAAATTCCGGGCATTCATTTCCCAATCTCTGCCTGGAGGCCAGTGGCGGAGGCCGTGTTGAGCCCATAGCTCTCCTCTCTGCCTTTTGACTCTTGGCCTGTGCTTAGGGTGGCGGTCAGTGAGTTCACAGCCAAAATGACAGGGGCCTCGCTGGGCAGAGGACGCCTCATTGCACTGGTCCCTGTGCCTCCTTTCCCCTTGTTATGGGCTGAGCTACATCACCCCCAAATTCCTGTGTTGAAGTGTTAACCTTCAGTACCTTGGAATATGACTGTATTGGGAGATAGGGCCTGAAAAGAGGTAATTACGGTAAAATAAGTTTACAGGGGTGGGCCTTAGTGCAATATGGCTCACGTCCTTATGAGAAGAGATTAGGACACAGATATGTGTGTGCACAGAAAGACCCTAAGAAGACCCGGGAGAGAGAAGATGGTCGCCTGCAAGCCAAGGAGAGAGGCCTCCGGAGAAACCAAATCTACCGATATCTTGATCTTGGACTTCAGTCTCTAGAACTAGGAGAAGATAAATGTCTGTTGTTTATCCACCCAGCCTGTGATATTTTGTTGTGGCAGCCCTGGCAAATGAATACACCTCTTCTGTGAGGGGCCAGAAGGGTGTTCCTGGTTCCCTAATTTCAAGTCTTGGCTGTGCAATCTTTGCCTTCTCTTAATCGGAGAGTTGAAGATCACAGTCAAGGAGTCTGACCCTTCCCACAGACTCTGCTGAACTCTGCCCCACACCCTTCCGTAAACTCATTTGTCTCAGTCTTGGTGGTTTGTGTGGTCAGATACAGCCCAGCCACAGGAAGAGGCAAAATAAGCTTCAGGGGAAGTGAACACGTCCCACACAGCTTGCCTCTGGGGTAAGGGGCAGTGACAGGGCCTGACTGTTTAACGGTCCCTGCTACTGTTCCCAGGCCTGAAAATGTGTGTCAGCCTGTGTGCAAATCACATCAGGTGGATGCCTGATGGCTGAGGACAGCTCTGTGGCTGTTCTTGACTTTGCTCCACGCCTTGGGCAGTCAGCCAGGGGGACAGCACTCCTGGCCAGTTTCCCTACAGACAGGGCTCAGGGTCAGCTCTACCCCAAGGGGTTTCTTGATTTCCAGCCCAACAAGGGGGATTGCTGTGGCTTGGGTTTCTTCAAAAGGAAGACCTGGAAGCATGAACTTGATGAAATCGTTTATTTGATACGTAAGCCCAGAAAGCATGGTGAGGGGGTGGAGGAAGAGAGATAACGAAGAGAAGAAAGAAAATGAAGTGTGCATTCTGGCTGGGCCCGGTGGCTCACGCCTGTAATCCCCGCACTTTGGGAGGCCGAGGTGGGCGGATCACGAGGTCAGGAGATCCAGACCACCCTGGCTAACACAGTGAAACCTCATCTCTACTAAAAATACAAAAAAAAAAAAAAAAAAAAAATTGCAGTGGCCGGGAGCGGTGGCTTACGCCTGTAATCCCAGCACTTTGGGAGGCCTCGACGGGCGGATCACGAGGTCAGGAGATCGAGACCATCCTGGCTAACATGGTGAAACCCTGTCTCTACTAAAAATAGAAAAAATTAGACAGGCGTGGTGGTGGGTACTTGTAGTCCCAGCTACTTGGGAGGCTGAGGCAGGAGAATGGCGTGAACCTGGGAGACGGAGCTTGCAGTGAGCCAAGATCACGCCACTGCACTCCAGCCTGGGCGACAGAGCAAGACTCCATCTCAAAAAAAAAAAAAAAATCGCCAGGCATGGTGGTGTGCACCTGTGGTCCCAGCTGCTTGGGAGGCTGAGACAGGAGAATGGCGTGAACCTGGGAGGCGGAGCTTGCAGTGAGCCGAGATCGCGCCACTGCACTCCAGCCTGGGTGACGGAGCGAGACTCCGTGTCAAAAAAAAAACAACAGAAAATGAAGTGTGTATTCATTCCCAGGCCAGTCAGGACTATGGGCAGGCAACACGGTGGGGACCCCCTGAGATACCCTGTGGAACATGGCTTAGAATTGTCCCGCCCAGGGACAAGGAAGCTGTGGTGCATTTGTTACCTATTTTTATTTTTATTTATTATTTATTTTTTGAGACAGGGTCTGGCTCTCTTGCCCAGGCTGGAGTGCAGTGGCGTGATCTCAGCTCACTGTAACCTCTTGCCTCAGCTGCCAGAGTAGCTGGGATTATAGGCATGTGCCACCACACCCTGCTAATTTTTGTATTTTTGGTAGAGACAGGGTTTCACCATGTTGGCCAGGTTGGTCTCAAACTCCTGGCCTCAAGTGATCCACCCGCCTTGGCTTCCCAAAGTGCTGGGATCATAGGCATGAGCCACTGTGCCTGGTGTATTTTTAAAAACAGTTTTATTGATACATAATTCACATACCCATCGAAAGTGTACAGTACAGTGTTGTGTTTGTTGTTGTTGTTTTGTTTTGAGACAGAGTTTCGCTCTTGTTGCCCAGGTTGGAGTGCAGTGGTACGATTTTGGCTCACCACAACCTCCACCTCCCGGGTTCAAGCGATTCTCCTGCCTCAGCCTCCCCAGTAGCTGGGATTACAGGCATGCACCACCATGCCTGGCTAATTTTGTATTTTTAGTAGAGACGGGGTTTCTCCATGTTGGTCAGGCTGGTCTCAAACTCCCAACCTTAGGTGACCCACCCACCTGGGCCTCCCAAAGTGCTGGGATTACAGGCGTGAGCCACGGCACCCGGCCAAGTGCAGTGGTTTTTATTGCCACCATCTATGTACAATCATCATCATAGTCAATTTTAGAACATTTTTATCACCTCGAAGAAACTCCATTCTTTTTAGTGATCACGTCTATTCGTCCCTCCCTCAGCCCTAGGCAACCACTAATCTGTTTTCTGTCGCTATAGATTTTCCTGTTCTGGACTTTGCTATGAATGGAGTCATATAATATGTGGACTTATGTGACTGGCTTCTTTCACTTTTCAAGTTTCATTCAAGTGATAGCATATATTACTACTTTGTTCCTTTTTATGCTTAAATAATATTCCATTGTATGGATATACCACATTTGTTTGTTCATTAATCCATTGTTGGACATTTGCATTATTTCTACTTCTTGGCTATCATGAATAAAGCTGCTGTAAACATTCATGTCTATGTATAGGCACATGTTTTCATCTCTCTTGGGTATATCCAGGAGTAGAAGTGCTGGATCATCTGGCAACTCTATAATCATTTTAGGAACTGCCAGCCTGTTTTCCTAAGTGGCTACACCATTTTACTTTCCCACCAATAGTGTATGAGGGTGTTAGTTATCCATTGCTCTATAACAAATAAGCCCAAAATATAGCAGCTTAAAACAATTAACATTTACTATCTCACACCATTTCTGTGGTAAGCTGATGGTTCTGGCTCAGGGTCTCTTAAGAGGCTGCAATCATCTTGAAGACTTGACTAGGGCTGTAGGATACTCTTCCAGCATTGCTGGGTGGCTCACTTGCTTGGCAAATTAGTGCTGGCTGTTGGTAGGAGGCCTTGGTTGCCTGCTGTGTGAACCTGTCCACGAGGCTGCTTGAGCATCCTCACAACATGGCAGCTTGGTTCCCCCAAAGCAGTGATCCAAAAGATTGTAAGGTAGAAGCTGCAATGCTTTTGTTTTTAAATATTTTTAAATTGTCATAAAATACACATAAATTTTATCAACTGAACATTTTCAAGTGTACAGTCAGTGGCATTTAGTACATTCACATTGTTGTGTTACCATCACCACTATCCATCCACAGAATTATTTTTATCTTGCACAATGGAAGCTCCATACCCATTAAATAACAACCCCCCATTTCTCTCCCCCAGGCCCAGGCCACTACCATTCTACTTTCTGTCTCTATGAATCTGATTACTCTAGGTATCTCTTACTGTATTTGTCCTTTTGTGACTTATTTCACTTACCATAATATCCTCAGGCTTCATTTGCTTTGCAGCATATGTCATAATCTCCTTCCTTTTTAAGGCAGAATAATATTCCATTTTATGTATATACTACATTTTGTTTATCCATTCATCTGCCAATGGACAGATGAATGGGTTGTTTCCACCTTTTGGCTTTTGCTAATGATGCTGCTATGAACATGGGTGTATAAATATCTCTTCAAATTCCTGCTTTCAAATGTTTTGGGTATATGCCCAGAAGTGGAATTGCTGGATCATATGATAATTCTATTTTTAATTTTTGGAGGAACTGCTGTGCTGTTTTCCATTCTAGTGATGCCATTTTGCATTCCCGATGACAGCGCACAAGTGCATAAGGGTTCCAATTGCTCCACATCCTCAGCAACTCTTGTTGTTTTCTGGTTTTTAAAAAATAATAGTCAACCTAATGAATGCGAGGTGGTATTTTGTTTTTCATTGTGGTTTTGATTTGCATTTCCCTAATGATGAGTGATAATGAGCACCCTCTCACGTGTTTACTGGCCGTTTGTATAACCTCTTCAGAGGAATGTCTATTCAAGTCCTTTGCTCAATTTAGTTTTCACAATGCTTTTATGATCTAGCCTTGGATGGCATATGCTGTCATTTCCTCAATATCCCGTAGAACAGTTCAGCCCTGTTCAATGTGGGAGGCAACTACACCAGGGTGTGCACACCAGGACGCGGGGATCGCTGGGGCCATCGTGGATGCTGGCTGCTCATGGCGCATTTCTCTACTAGTGCCACCCCTAGAAGGAGCGTGTTCCTGGGTGTTAACTCCCTGGCACTCTGGCCTAAATCAGCACATACAGAAGACACTCCACTGTGCTAACTAGCGCCCCCAGGCGGAGAGAGGAGCTGTCAGCACGTTCAAGCCATGTCTGCAAATGTCTAAGGGAAGCCAGTGATCACATCGAGTCCCACAGTGGGTCTCCTGTGTCCTCCATCCTCACTGAGAGGCCACCACAGCTCAATACTTGCTCTGATGCCAATATCCATCCCCTCCTGTGCATGAATATGCCGTGCCCTTGATCTGTTCCCAATCTTGTGGTCGAAACTAATTCTTATCTGCTCCTCCTGTAGTTGGTCCACAGTTATTTCTGCAGATGCCCCAGGACTTCTTTTTTTGAGTCGGAGTCTCGCTCTGTCGCCCAGGCTGGAATGCAGTGGCATGATCTTGGCTCACTACAAGCTCTGCCTCCCGGGTTCACGCCATTCTCCTGCCTCAGCCTCCCTCCAGGACTTCTTGAATTACAGTTGACTTTTGAACAAAGTGGGGGTTAGGGATGATGACCCCATGTGCAGTTGAATATCCGTGTATAACTTTTGACTCCCCTCAAACTTAACTACTAATAGCCTACTGTTGACTGGAAGCCTTATAGATAACACATACAGTTGATTAACATGAATTTTGTATATTATGTGTATTATGTACTATATTTTTACAGTAAAGCTAGCTAGAGAAAAGAAAACGTGACTAAGGGCCAGGTGAATGCCTGTAATCCCAGCACTCTGGGAGGCTGAGGTGGGAGGATTACTTGAGCCCAGGAATTCGAGACCAGTTTGGGCAACATAGCGAGACCCCATCTCTATGAAAAATAAAAAATAGGAGGCCGAGGCAGGTGGATCACGAGGTCAGGAGATCGAGACCATCCTCACTAACATGGTGAAACCCCGTTTCTACTAAAAATACAAAAAATTAGCTGGGCATGGTGGCGGGCGCCTGTAGTCCCAGCTACTCGGGAGGCTGAGGCAGGAGAATGGCGTGAACCCGGGAGGCGGAGCTTGCAGTGAGCTGAGATCGCGCCACTGCACTCCAGCCTGGGCGACACAGCGAGACTCTGTCTCAAAAATAAATAAATACATAAATAAATAAATAAAATAAAGTAAAATAAAAAATTATCTGGGTGTGGTGGTGCACCTGTAGTCCCAGCTACTTAGGAGGCTGAGGCAGGAGGATGGCTTGAGCCTGGGCGGTCAAGGCTCCAACGAGCCGTGATCATTCCATTGCACTCCAGCCTAGGTGACAGAGTTAGACTTTGTCTCAAAAAAAAAAAAAAAAAAGGCAGCCTGGCCAACATGGCAAAACCCCATCACTACTAAAAATACAAAAACTATCTGGGCATGGTGGTACATGCCTAGAATCCAGGCTACTCAGGAGGCTGAGGCAGGAGAATCACTTGAACCCGAGAGGGTTGCAGTGAGCTGAGATCACATCACTGCACTCCAGCCTGCGCAACAGAGCGAGACTCTGTCTCAAAACAAAACAAAACAAAATGAAAAAAAAAAAAAAAGAAAAAGCCCACCCTGTAATTTACATATCTGAAATCCAACCCTCCATGTCATTACATTCTTTACAGGTTTCTCTTGGCAACATACCTTGCCTGGATGCCTTTCCAGGACAGCCTGTGTGGCCTGACCTCCCTCCTTCAAACGCCTGCACACCATTCCACAGCACTGGTGTCCCATTATTGTCTGTTCTCTATTGATAAAGATAGCAGGTGCCTTTGGGGTCCCTGTCTCCTCCCCTTGGTGGGACTTTGATTCCAGCTGCATCTACAGAAAAAGAGTCCCAACTCAGCTTGGCGCCTTGCATCTTTGCTTTCTGCCCCAGGACCTTCTCTGATACCCAGGAGCCCTCTGGACCCTTGTACAAACACAGCCAGAAAGGGCTGCAAAGTTAACATCTCTGGAGGAAGTCAGTTATCCACAAACTATCTGATCTTTCAGGGAGACGGTTCTAGCAGGCATGCGGGACACTCTGCTTTCAGAAGCTAAGACAAAGACAAGTCTCTAGGGGGCTAAGACAAGGAAAATTCATGTGGTCTCCAATTTTTCCCTATCACAACAAGGTTATAACTAGTACCACTTATCTCTCTATATTTGAGCTACTATTTATTTATTTTTGAGTTGGGAGTCTTGCTGTGTCACCCAGGCTGGAGTGCAGTGGCATGATCTGGTTCAAGTGATCCTCCTGTCTCAGCCTCCTCAGCAGCTGGGACTACAGGCACGCACCACCAGGCTCAGCTAATTTTTGTACTTTTTGAAGTAGAGTTGGGGTTTTACCACGTTGGCCAGGCTTGTCTCGAACTCCTGACCTCAAGTGATCCGCCCGCCTCAGCCTCCCAAAGTGCTGGGATTACTGGTGTAAGCCATTGTGCCTGGCCTGAGCTACTATTTTTTTCTGTAAATTTCTACAGGTAAAGTTTCAGAGCCAAAAGGATAGACTTCTATATATTGGTAGCTGTTGCTAAACTTGTCCTCTAGAAATGCTGTCATTCCCATGTACAGTGATGGAGCGTGTTTCCTTCTACCTGGGAGCCTGGGTGCTATGAGAAGTGTGTCTATGCAGTGAGTGGGCAACAGCTCAGAGTGAGGATTCAGATTAGGTTAGGAGGGGTCTGGTAGGGGCAGTGATGGTAGCAACGGAAGGTGAATTACACACTGAGGAGGTTGGCCCAAAGAGGAAATATGGCGAAAATAACAGAAGACGAGTTTCTTCCTCTCAGGGAGGTGTCGTAGGGATGAATGCTGTGGTGTCAAATTGGAATTACAGGTACTGATGTCAGTGCATGCTTTTCAACATTTATAGATAGATATAAAAATAAGTATCAGGCTGGGTGCAGTGGCTCACGTCTGTAATCCCAGCATTTTGGGAGGCCAAGGCGGGCAGATAGCCTGAGGTCAGGAGTTTGAGACCAGCCTGGCCAACATGCTGAAACCCTGTCTCTACTAAAAATACAAAAATTAGCCGGGCGTCGGCTGCCCCGTCTGGGAAGTGAGGAGCGCCTCTGCCTGGCTGCTGTGCAATCTTCCAAGTGTGAAGTGACAGCCTTTCTGCAGGTGTACCCAACAGCTCCGAAGAGACAGCGACCATCGAGAACGGGCCATGATGACGATGGCGGTTTTGTCGAAAAGAAAAGGGGGAAATGTGGGGAAAAGAAAGAGAGATCAGATTGTTACTGTGTCTGTGTAGAAAGAAGTAGACATAGGAGACTCCATTTTGTTCTGTACTAAGAAAAATTCTTCTGCCTTGGGATGCTGTTAATCTATAACCTTACCCTCAACCCCGTGCTCTCTGAAACATGTGCTGTGTCAACTCAGGATTAAATGGATTAAGGGCGGTGCAAGATGTGCTTTGTTAAACAGATGCTTGAAGGCAGCATGCTCGTTAAGAGTCATCACCACTCCCTAATCTCAAGTACCCAGGGACACAAACACTGTGGAAGGCCGCAGGGACCTCTGCCTAGGAAAACCAGAGACCTTTGTTCATGTGTTTATCTGTTGACCTTCTCTCCACTATTATCCTATGACCCTGCCACATCCCCCTCTCTGAGAAACACCCAAGAATGATCAATAAATACTAAAAAAACAAACAAACAAACAAAAAAAAACCCAAAAAAACAAAACAAAATTAGCCGGATGTGGTGGTAGGTGCCTGTGATCCCAGCTACTTGGGAGGCTGAGGCAGGAGAATCGCTTGAACCCGGGAGATGACGTTGCAGTGAGCTGAGATCATGCCACTGCACTCCAGCCTGGGTGACAGAGCAAAACTCCATCTCAAAAAAAAAAAAAAGTATCAATATATATGTGTGTATACATACAGTATATATAGTATGTGTGTATATATCTATATATTTATACATACATATATTCCCTAGCTCTGCCCACTGGAGGGTCTGGGAGCAGCAACAACCCAACAGTAATGAGCACACTCAGCACCCAGATCTTGAGCACTGATTTCATTACCACCAGATCTGACCCAGATCTCATGACTATTATTACATATATATATATTTTTTTAAGCAGAGTTTCGCTCTTGTTGCCCAGGCTGGAGTGCAATGGTGTGATCTCAGCTCACTGTAACCTCTGCCTCCTGGGGTTCAAGTGATTCTCCTGCCTCAGCCTCCCAAGTGGCTGGGATTACAGGCAAGCGCCACCATGCCCTGCTAATTTTGTATTTTTAGTAGAGTCGGGGTTTCACCATGTTGGTCAGGCTGATCTTGAACTCCTGACCTCAGGTGATCCACCTACCTCGGCCTCCCAAAGTGCTGGGATTACAGGTGTGAGCCACCATGCCTGTCCTTTATTTATTTATTTATTTATTTATTTTTTGAGACAGGGTCTTGCTCTGTCCCCTACACTTGTGTGCAGTGGTACAAGCATAGTTCACTACAGCCTTGACTTCCTGGGCTTGGGTGATCCTTCCATCTTAGACTCCCAGGTAGCTTGGGCTACAGGCATGCACCACCACACCTGGCTAGTTTTCGTATTTTTGGTAGAGATGGGGTTTCACCAAGTTGCCCATGCTGGTCTTGAACTCCTGGGCTCAAGCAATCTGCCCGCCTCGGCCTCCCAAAGTGCTGGGATTACAGGCGTGATTACAGGCGTGATTACGGGCGTGAGTCACTGTGCCCGGCTGATCTTGGTTTCCATCATTCTCCACTAAAGGAGCCAGAGCTCCTTGGAAAATGGCTTATTCCAGGATAGCCCAGAGAAATAGGAGATGAGCCTAGAACATTGTATTGTGCCAGAAAATACAAAATATTCATAATGACACATCAAAAGGATATACGATCCAACTTGAAGGGGCTCCCACTGGTCAAATCTGGGACAAATCTGAACATCAACACAAATAATGATAATGAATTAGTATCCTTTGAATAGAATAAGAAATCATGGGTCCACATGGATATAAATAAAAGTGATAAGAGGAAGTTTCTCCTTCTAGTCACAGTCAGCTCGGAAATGAAGGGATGATGGGGTTTAGAATCACCATTTGGCAGACCATCATAGTAATAATTTATGCATACAAGAATCATACACAGGCCAAGCACGATGGCTCCCGCATGTAATCCCAGCATTTTGGGAGGCCGAGGTGGGTAGATCCCTTGAGCACAGGAGTTCGAGACCAGTCTGGGCAACATGGTGAAACCTCATCTCTACGAAAAAAATAGAAACATTAGTGGACATGGTGGTGTGTGCCTGTAGTCTCAGCTACGCAGGAGGCTGAGGTGGGAGGATCAGCTGAGCTTGGGAAGTCAGAGCTGCAGTGAGCCGTGATCGCACCACTGCACTCCAGCGCCTGGGTGACAAGCAAGACCCTGTCTTAAAAAAAAAAAAAGTCATAAACAGATGCTAAAGTTCTCCTGGGCATCTTTTTGCAAAATGGTTTTGCCAACCTTATAAGCCTGCTGGGACAAGCTGTCCCCCAACCCTGGGTCTCACAATGCCTTGTGACTCCATTGTGCTCACACTAGCCGTCTGCCACCCTCTCTGAGGCTGGGTGCCTTTGACAAGGGCTTGAATCCCTGAGTGGCAGGGTCATCTGTGGTTTGTTCTGGCTGCTTGGCACCTGGGCTGTCTGCCAGGGGCTGTGGATGACCCACTGGGTGGGGAATCTGCCCCTCCTCCCCTCCAGAAGGCTGCAAGACCCATGCTCACCCCACCCATGCAGCGAGAGTGCAGCAGCAGGACCTGACTTTGTAGCATCCTGTCTCTCACCCCGGGGCAGGGGGTCCAGGGCAAGTGCTTCAAAAGGCGGGGACATGGTCCCAGCCTGGGGCCAGTGTCCACGGGATGCCGGGTCACAGTGCCAACCCTTCTAGCTGCAGCCCCACCGTCTCCCTGCCCCTCCAGCCTTCTTGTTGATTCTGTGAGCTGCCGGATGTTTTTCAGGAAATCCGGCCTAAATCAGCTGGAGCCAGTTTTGATTTTTGAAAACCAAGATCCTTACCTGTTGCAGTAGCTTACACCTGTAATCCCAACACTTTGGGAGACCGAGGTGGGTGGATCACTTAAGGCCGGGAGTTCAAGACCAGCCTAGACAACATAGTGTAACCCCGTCTCTACAAGAAATACAAAAATTAGCCAGGCATGGTGGTGCATGCCTGTAGTTCCAGCTACTTGAGGGGCTGAGGTGGGAGGATCGATTGAGCCAGGCAGGTTGAGGCTGCAGTGAGCCGAGATCGCACCACTGCACCAGCCTGGGTGACAGAGTGAGACCCTGTCTCAAAAAAACAAACAAAAACAAACAAACAAACAAAAAAACAATTCAACAGGAGGATCTTCTGGCACCCTGTCTTTCAGTCTTCACATACCTGGCCTTCTCTTAGCTTTAGGCCAACTGTGCCCATGCTGGTGCCCGCTCCTCCATCACACACCCTCAGTGCACCTGCCTTTGGTCCCCTTTCCCTGTGTCCAGCAGTTGCTGTTGATAGGCCCAGCACTGTGTACTTACCTCCTGATTCAGTCTTTGTTCCTAAGAACACCCCAACCCTAGAAAGACGCATTCCGTATGCATGCACCACTGTCATTTCATCACCACTTTCCGGTTCTTTGATATATTTCCTCCAATTTAATGTTATTCCCTTTGTAATGCTGACCTTCCTCGCACTCTGAATATTTACTGCTTTAGTATCTATTGGCTGTGGCAGCAGCCTGCCTTGGGAACAGGCAATAATGGAGAAGGTTTGGAAAAGAGTTGTTGAACTGACTAAAAGTGGCCTGCTTTTTAAAAAGTGGCACGATGTGCCAGTGATTCTAAACAATGTTGGTGATAAAATATTACTCCTGCCAGGCGGACTGCCTCCTTAACACCTACTCCCTGGTAGGCTACTGCCTATTGGACAGGGGGAACTAATGGTATTCATAGAACACTTCTAAACTCAACCAGAACAGAAGCATTTAGTGGTAAAGAAGCATTATGTCTGCAACTGACTCTCATAGTCCCCCAAAAATATAGGAATCCTTTGTATTATTCTTTCAACTTTCCTGTAGGTATGAAATAATGCTAATATAAAAGGTTAAAAAGGTCAGGGCTGGGCGCGGTGGCTCACACCTGTAATCCCAGCACTTTGGGAGGCCAAGGTGGATGCATCGCCTGAGGTCAGGAGTTCAAAACCAGCCTGACCAA
Source organism: Homo sapiens (assembly GCF_000001405.40). Lineage (NCBI taxonomy): Eukaryota > Metazoa > Chordata > Mammalia > Primates > Hominidae > Homo > Homo sapiens. The sequence goes on along the minus strand of NC_000002.12, from coordinate 231,534,663 downwards.
CATAGTGAAACCATGTCTCTACTAATTAGCCTAGTGTGGTGTCACGCACCTGTAATAGCAGCTACTTGGGAGGTTGAGGCAGGAGAATTGCTTGAACCGGGGAGGTGGAGGTTGCAGTGAGCTGAGATCACACACACCATTGCACTCCAGCCTGGGCAACAAGAGTGAAATTCTGTCTCAGAAAAAAAAAAAAAAGTTAAAAGGGAAAAGAAAAAAAACTACTAAATCAAACACAGCAAACTGCTGCAGACTAACAAGTTCCTGAGTCCTGATGCTGGTCACCTGTTGCAGGGGGAGAAACTTTTGTTCTGAAACCTCCCTCTGATCATGACTATGAGAATTTATAAATGGGAAGACCCCAAGAGGAGCTTCTGTAACACACCCAAGTGTGGTGTGTTAGCTGGGAAGGCTGGTGGACTTGAGGGTGGCCTTTATTGCTTGGAGGAGTAGGTGCCAGGAGCACCCTGTGGGCACACAATAAGATCTGGCCCCAGTCCAGGGTGGCATGAGGGACACACAGGCCCTAGACATGAGAGACACAGGCTTTTTCTGGCCTTCTCACTGTGTGACTTGAACATGTCCTCCCTTTGGCCACAAGCGGAGGTTGGGGCCTGGTACACAGGCTGAGCCCCTGTGAGGAGGTGACCGGCTCCCTGTGCCCAGCACCCTGCCTGAAGCCTGTGAGCTGGCTGTCTCTGGGAGAGCTCAGGAACAGGCCTCACAGCCCTCAGGGGGCAAGGGGCTAGACAGTCCCCAGTGGTCCCCTCTAGGAGCAGGAGAGGCAGGGGCGATGCTCCCCGGAGGTCTCCTCCGCTGCTGGTCCCCACCGGGCTGCAGGGCCCCGACTGCCTGCACTGTGGCTGGGCTCCCTGCAAGCCTGTGTGCTCCTTTCCACTGGGACTCAGCTCTCCTTCCCGGGGTGCTGGGGACCTTGCCCTTCCAAACCCTACTAAGGACAGCTCCCACCCCAGCCCTGCCTCCCAGCAGCTTTCTGGTATCTTCCAGAGAATTCCAGGCTCTTCAACCCTGCACTGAGTGCTTAAACCCACATTATCACTCTTAATCCTCATGGCATCCCTGAAGGACAGGGGCTATGTTTGTGTTTTACAGGCAAAGAAGCTGAGGCCTGAAGCGCAAAGTGGCTTATCTGAGGCCACGCTGGCAGAATGCGGAGTCTCACTCTGGCCTCACAGCCTCCAAAGCCTGTACTCACCATGTTCCCTGCCTGGCTTGACCATCTCTCCCACCAGTTTCTGTGAGCAGACCAGGGCTGGTGGCTCAGGGAGCATGGGTGCATGATCACACAAAAGCCACGTGGCTCCCTGAGGTGCAATCCCAGCCCCCAAGTTCGGAACCCCATCACCTGAGGGGCCCAGACCATCCTCCTCTAGCTCCTGGCCATGGCCAGGCTGGGACCCCACAGAGCAGAGCTGGGTAGGGAGCTCTCTGACCTTGGGAGGTGCCCAGATGGGTACAGCGACTCTCCCTTGCTTCGGATATTTACTGTTCTTGTTCTCCATGTTTGCCCAATGAAGCCTAGTGATGGGGGTCCTGGGTGATCCCCATTGCCCAGGCTGCAGAACAGTGCCTCCCTCCTGTCCAGAGCTACAGTGTCCCCAAGCTCATCTCATCCTCCCTGCCTCCCCTCTGTAGGCAGTAAGTGGGGTGGGGTTGGGGCGTTTCTGGGGGAACCATGGGCTTGCCAGGAGCTGCGGGTCAGCCCAAGGCTGAGAAGGTTCTGGTTTAAGCCTGGCCTGAGTTTAAGCAGCCCCTCTTGGCTCTCAGGGACTCAGCAGGATGAGGAGGGGATACGGAGCTACTCACATGCCTCTGGCCCCATGAGTCCTGCACACGCCTGGGACTTGGGTGGTATCTCAGCAGCTCCTGGAGGTCCCAGTGGCCCTCCCTGAATGCATTTGCTGTTGTGCAGAGTTGGGTCCTTGGCCCCCTCATCTGGGCAGACGCCCACCAGCCAAGCTTAGATGGATGTGTACACCCAGAAAACTGGGGGGTGCCACCTCAGGACGGAGCAGGAGCAGCAGGATGTCATACGTTTCTGATGGGACACTACCGTGGTGGCCTTGAGCTCAGGCCCGGAGGCCAGGGCCCCTAGGGCCCTCTGCACAGTGCGGAAGTGAGGGCCACAGCCATTGTGGCCACTGAGCCTCTCCTTTTTGGGGGCTGCTCTTTAGCCTTTGATGGCTGCTAATGTTATGTGAATGATGCAACCCGCTGTAGGAATTCCTGACTGGCAAGAGTCATTCTGCCTCTGCAAGGCTAGGTGGGTCCTTCCCCATCCCCTCCAGGGCTGTGTGAACCAAAGGGTCCACGGGGACTTTCGGACTGCTCAGAGTCTGTGCAGAGTGGTATGTGTGTGCGCGTGTGTGTGGTGTGGTATGTGCAGAGTGATGTGTGCATGCATGTGTGTGTATGTGTGTGTACATGCATGTGCGTGTGTGTGTGTGTTCCAGTGAAGGGCTGGGGTCCAAATGCTCCTCACTTGCTAAGAGCAGCCTGTGATGCCACAGTGGTCTCTGATGCTGAGTGATGTCATCCCTCCTTGCCCGTCTGTTGTGCTGGCAGCCCTGTTACTGAGGATTTCTCCTGGACTAGCTCATCAGGGGCTGAGTAGTTAATTCCCAGGGCACCACAGAATCCTTTCTCCCAAGGCCCTGAGGACCACGTGCCCCTGCACTTCCCACAACCGTCCCCTGCCTGGGACTCTGTTTACATGTGGAGTTCCTGGGAAGGCCGGCCTGGTGCAGGCTCCTTGAGGGCCTAACTCCCATCCCCAAGCCCAGACAGTGACTTATGGAATTGGGGGGCAGTGGGGAGGAGGAGGGTGCAGGAAAGCGGGGGGAAGGAGGAGCCTCCAGTTGCCACTAAATGGTGACAATCCCACCCCACATTTCTTGAGTGTTGGCCATGTGCCAGCCCCTGTGCTGAATCTTGACGCTCAGTGTCTCATGTCACCTTCACAATAGTGGCGATGGTGGTTAGCCCATTCTACAGGAAGGGGAACTGAGGCACACAGAGCTTCTGAGCTCACGGTGGCCTCTCGGGGTCCTGTGGCTTTGTAACCTCTCCTGGTGCTCCTCAGTGTGATTCTGGGGCATGGGGCTCTCCAGAGGGCGTTTGTCAAACATGAGGATTTCTGGGCCTTGCCCAGGCTAAGGAGACAAAACTCTGGGCAAAGGCCCCGGAACCAGCATTTTACTCTGTGTGATCCGTCATTTCTAGGGTCCCTAGAAGTTTCTGATGAAACAGCTTCCAGCTAAGGAGCTGATTGCAGGACTAGGGAGTGGGAGCAGGTGAGGCACTGGGATTTGCATGTGGGCAGTGTGGGGGAGCAGGAGGCTGTGGCTGGGCATTCTTAACCCTTCCCTAAATTCCCTCCATCCTTGTCTATACCCCCACCCTTGGTACAGTGATGGGGGCAGAAGAACATTTGAACGGATAAGGGGGACAGTATTTGGGGCTGAGGACAATGGTGAGGAGAGGGTGGCCCAGGGAGGCAGGTGAGGAGTGGGGAGGTCCACCCCCAGGCTAGACTTTGGTGTGCTCTTTTTCAGAAGGCAGTGGGGGGGCCCCAAGGAAGGGTTTCGAGGGGGTGATGGTCGTTGGTGGCTGTGGGAGGATGGACTGGAGGGAGAATAGGGGGCTCTTGCCCAGTCCTGCAGGGCCGAGCGCCTGGACTCAGGGACTGGAGGCCCCGAAGGGAGCAGCGGGTGAGAGGGGCTGCGGAGGCTGCAATCATGGGCCTTGGGACAGAAGAAGAGGCCTGGAGCCTGGGAGGATGAACCGCACCGGGGCATGTCGACTTCAAGGGGCTGGTGGGCCGTCCCTGTCCTTGGAGGTGGGTCTGAATGGGGGGCAGGAGGAGCTGGAGGCCGCAGGGACACCGTGACGGCGTTAAGCTAAACTCAGCACGCTGGAGGGCGGGAATCACATGTGAGCCCCAGGTCTCTCGGGCTCCTCCTCTGCGGCTCTCTGAGGCTCAGTTTTCTCATCTGTAAAACGGGTTGTTGTGAGGGTTCCGTCAGATAACGCTGCTTGTGGAGGTGTCGCCTCCACGCTGCTTGTGGAGGTGTCGCCTCCAACGGCCGCGTCCTCCGCCAGTGCGGGAGGGGGCGCCGCCCGGGCTGCGGGGACTGCACTGCCCCCTGGCGGCGTTCCCGGCCGGACAGGCGGGGCGTCGGGGCGCGGGCTGGGGCCGCTGTCAGTCAGTCCACTGGCTCCCGCGCCGCGTCTGTGTCCGTCGCTCGGAGGGTGGAAGCCGGGGTCTCGCGGGCCGCGGGCCGCATGGTAGGTGCGCAGGCGCCGGCGTGGGCTAGGGCGCGGCAGCTGGGCCGGGGCTCGGTGCGGGCAGGGTCGTCCTAGGGCGGGAAGGGTCCGAGGGCTCCGTCGGGGTGCCCCCCGTCCCCGCCACCGGGGAGCCTCGCAACTTCTCGGGTCATTTGTGTCTTCCGGCCAGGGGCGCCGGGGGGCTGCGGGCTTGCGACCCTTCCTCGAGGACCAGGGCGCCTCCCTTGAACCCGGGCTGGCGCCTGCGCGTTCCCAACTGGTTCCCGAGGCTCCCGCGCTGCTGTGCAGCGGGGGTGAGGGCGGGCGGGAGGAAGGGTGTGGGGCTCAATAGAGGAGAGGGAACCCCAGAACTGGCAGTGCCAAGGGCGTCAAATATGGAGACTGAACAGTTCAGGTGACAGAAAACAGAAAAAAGAATCAACTTGTGGATGAAGCATTTGTAGTGTGTAGCCTTGACACTCCCTCACTTGACTCTCATAGTGACTGGGTCCCCAGAGCAAGGGGGTGATCCCCGTGCCCTTCCGTATGCCAGGCAGGCCCTGTGTTAATGTCTTTAATGGATTAAACTCCCTGGATCCTCCTAATAGGGAAACAGCCTCAGAGAGGTTACCTCGCTAAAGGTCACACAGCCTGGAACTGGGGAGGCTGGATTCGAATCCAGGCAGTTGCTTCCTGAGCGCTTGCTCTTGAAGACCCTGCAATACCAGGCATTGTGCCCATTTTACAGATGCCCAAACGAGTGCCTCATCTAGCATCATTGCTTGAAAGAGGAGACACCCAAGATCTGTCATTTACTCAAAGGTTCCAATAGATCATGAAATTTAAAATCAAAACCCCACGTGTTTTTTTTTTTTTAAATGTAGATTTTTACTTTTTCGTTGTTTGCTTTTTGTTTTTTTGAGACAAGGTCTTTCTCTGTTGCCCAGGCTGGAGTCCGGTGGCACAATCTCCGCTCACTGCAACCTCTGTCTCCTGGGTTCAAACAATTCTCCCGCCTCAGCCTCCCAAGTAGCTGGAATTACAGGCGTGTGCTACCACGCCCGGCTACTTTTTGTATTGTTAGTAGAGACGGGGTTTCACCATATTGGCCAGGCTGGTCTTGAACTCCTGATCTCAAGTGATCCGCCTGCCTCGACCAAAGTGTTGGGATTACAGGTGTGAGCCACTGCACCAAGCTTATTTTTACATCTCTGACTTGTGGATGGAAGAGTTTTTTCTTTCTCAGTGGTGCCTAAAATAATGGTCATCATAGCGCTAATGTCACCTTTGGCTTGATGAGTGAGGACAGAGCCAGCATTCCCTGAATGATCTTTCTGGGCATCTCTCCCCTCTGTTCCACAGACTCCTCTCTGCCTCAATTGCTCTGTCCTCCCTGGAGACCTGTACCCAGGGGGTGCAAGGAACCCCATGGCTTGCAATGGCAGTGCGGCCAGGGGGCACTTTGACCCTGAGGACTTGAACCTGACTGACGAGGCACTGAGACTCAAGTACCTGGGGCCCCAGCAGACAGAGCTGTTCATGCCCATCTGTGCCACATACCTGCTGATCTTCGTGGTGGGCGCTGTGGGCAATGGGCTGACCTGTCTGGTCATCCTGCGCCACAAGGCCATGCGCACGCCTACCAACTACTACCTCTTCAGCCTGGCCGTGTCGGACCTGCTGGTGCTGCTGGTGGGCCTGCCCCTGGAGCTCTATGAGATGTGGCACAACTACCCCTTCCTGCTGGGCGTTGGTGGCTGCTATTTCCGCACGCTACTGTTTGAGATGGTCTGCCTGGCCTCAGTGCTCAACGTCACTGCCCTGAGCGTGGAACGCTATGTGGCCGTGGTGCACCCACTCCAGGCCAGGTCCATGGTGACGCGGGCCCATGTGCGCCGAGTGCTTGGGGCCGTCTGGGGTCTTGCCATGCTCTGCTCCCTGCCCAACACCAGCCTGCACGGCATCCGGCAGCTGCACGTGCCCTGCCGGGGCCCAGTGCCAGACTCAGCTGTTTGCATGCTGGTCCGCCCACGGGCCCTCTACAACATGGTAGTGCAGACCACCGCGCTGCTCTTCTTCTGCCTGCCCATGGCCATCATGAGCGTGCTCTACCTGCTCATTGGGCTGCGACTGCGGCGGGAGAGGCTGCTGCTCATGCAGGAGGCCAAGGGCAGGGGCTCTGCAGCAGCCAGGTCCAGATACACCTGCAGGCTCCAGCAGCACGATCGGGGCCGGAGACAAGTGACCAAGATGCTGTGTAAGTGTCACGGCTGGGAAGAGGGGCTGAGCCAGGCACTGGGTATGAGTTTGGGGCTCCTGGGGCCTGGGAGAAGGGGCTGAGTATCTGGGTTTATGGGGGACGAGGAACTCCTCTAGTCTCGTGTGTGTGTGTGTGTGTGTGTGTGTCTGAGTTGCACTCCTGTGTACTCTTTTAGATTACCCTACTAGAATCTTACACCAAAAATACCTGTTAATGGCTAACGGTAAGATTGTGTAATTTGTGGAGTCCAGTGCAACATGAAAATTCAGGGTCCCTTTTTCAAAAATGAATAAGAATGTCAAGACAGCAACAACAGAGCATTAAACCAAGCCCAGGACCCTGCTAAACTTGGGGCCCTGGCTCTGGAACCAAAACACAGAAAGGGCAGGGCATGTGGTTGGGCTCCAGGATGACAGAAAATGGGATCTGGACCCTCCAGGTCTCAGGTCTCTCCTCTTCTTTTTTTTTTTTTTTTTTTTTTTGAGACAGGGTCTTGCTCTGTCACTCAGGCTGTGGTGTGACCACGGCTCACTGCAGCCTCAACCTCCCAGGCTCAAGCGATCCTCCTACCTCACTCAGCCTCCTAAGTAGCTGGGGCTACAGGCAGGTGCCACCATGCCCAGCTAATTTTTTCATTTTTGTAGAGACGGGGTCTCACTATGTTGCCAGAGCGGATCTTGAACTCCTGGTCTCAAGTGATCCTCCCACCTCAGCCTCCCAAAGTGCTGGGATTACAGGCATAAGCCATTGCACCCGGCTCTCTTTGGTTATTAACGTGTCTTGGCCTTGTTCTTCTCGGCAGCAGCCTGTGAGGCATGGCCACCGGCACGCCATCTTCTTTCCTGAGGAACTGCTGTCTTTCCTTAGAGATGAGTGAAAAATCCCAAGAAGGATTCTGATGGGCGTGGCCTAGGTCATGCCCCACCTCCTGAGCCAGAGTGGCAGGATGCCGAGGTGCACAGCCCCCAGTGGAACTACACAGTGAGATCTGGGGGGAGCAAAGTCCCCCAGAGAAGGGGAGGAGGGTGTTGGAGAGGCCAGGTGCTGAATTTCCCCCATGCCATGTCTGCGGTTCCCTGGGAACCGCAGGAGAGACCATTTGTCTAAACAGCCCCATCCCGAGGCGTGTCTGTGAAGGCCGGGCTCAAGGCACAGGGGATCAGGCCAGAGGCCTGCGGATTAGGGCAGGCTAAGGTACTGGGATGAGGCTCTGGATCTCTGTGGCCTGGACCTGGCTCTTTTTCAAAAGCTGTGGCCCTGGGGAAGCAAGACAAACTGATACTAAGCCGATCAAAGATCCGCCCCATCCACCTACCTGCATCCCAGCTCAGCCCCACCTCAGCAGAGCCTGAATCAGGCCAGTGGGGTGAGCCAGGTCAGCAGAGGGCCACTGAGACTTTGGACAGAGCCAGCTAACTGGGGGCCGCCCCATCTCCAGAGTGACTCGCTCCTCTCACCCCTCAGACACCGTCCCAGAGCTCAGTCTCTTGTGCAGCTCCTGAAACGAGGCTGACCCCAGAGCTATGTGCATGCCTCCCAGCTCTGCACGGTGAAGCCTGTGCTCAGGACCAGCTGCCCACTGCCGCCCTGCCTCCTGCCTACTACCCCGTCCCCTCCCTGAAAACATGGGTGGGCAGAGTCTGCAGTAGGTGCTTAGCTGGGGTGGCTCACCCCTGGAAGGTGGGCTTCCTGCTTGCTGGCCTTCTCTCTTCCCTCCCTCCCTCCCTTGTCCACTTTCCGCTGGCCCTCTGTGCACCAGGCCAGGGGCCAGGGAGGTTGTGAGCAACGTCCTTTTTGAAATCTGGGATTATGAGGAAAACCATGCTAGGGTATGATGGGGAAGACACTGCCCAGGAAAGCTAGTGAGTTGCAGCAGCAAACCCAAGAAACAAGGAACAAAAATCACAGCTGACCCTGTGGCAGAGACCCAGGGAAGGGCATAGTTGGGTAAGAACAAGGCAGGAGGGATTTGGGGAGAAAGTGAAGGTTTGCCAAACTCTCCTACCTTTTGTTAGGGAGGGGGTGGGCAAGGGCCTGGCAAGTAAGATGGGGGGCAGGTTAGTGCAGGGCAAGACATTCAGATGGGCCTTGGGGAGCTGGGGGCTGGAGCTGAAAAGGCCGGGGCCAAGGCAGGCAGTGTGTGTGTGTGTGCATGTGTGTGTCTGTGTGTGTGCATGCATGTGTGTGTGTGTGCATGCGTGTGTGTGTCTCACTCTCCCTGGCCCCATGACCTCCGGTCTGCCGCTCTCTGAGCACGTGCCCCATTCTTCTTTTCTGTACTTATGCATCAGCAAGCATGGCCCCCAAGTGGGCATCCAGAGTGGCCCTAGCCCCACAGCTTGTATCACCCCAGAAGCTCAACAGCCACAGCTAAGTGTCACCCAATTTCATATTCCAGGGTGAGAGAATCTGATTGGGCCGGCTGGGCTTAGGTGTCCACACCTGGTCCAGTTGGCTGTGGTCAGAGGCAGGGATATGCCCCATTGCCCACAGTCAGTGACCATGGTGAGGGCAGCCTCTCTGAGAGAGGCATGGCCAGAACAGGCAAATTTCCAGAAACTTCCACCTGGGTGATAGGTGAGGGTGGCCTGTGGGATAGGAGAGGATGTGAAAATGGGTGACCCAAACTGAAGCCCGGGAAGGCAGCTGAGGGGCCTCGGGCGGGCACTCGGCCTCCCTTCTCTGTCCCTGCAGTTGTCCTGGTCGTGGTGTTTGGCATCTGCTGGGCCCCGTTCCACGCCGACCGCGTCATGTGGAGCGTCGTGTCACAGTGGACAGATGGCCTGCACCTGGCCTTCCAGCACGTGCACGTCATCTCCGGCATCTTCTTCTACCTGGGCTCGGCGGCCAACCCCGTGCTCTATAGCCTCATGTCCAGCCGCTTCCGAGAGACCTTCCAGGAGGCCCTGTGCCTCGGGGCCTGCTGCCATCGCCTCAGACCCCGCCACAGCTCCCACAGCCTCAGCAGGATGACCACAGGCAGCACCCTGTGTGATGTGGGCTCCCTGGGCAGCTGGGTCCACCCCCTGGCTGGGAACGATGGCCCAGAGGCGCAGCAAGAGACCGATCCATCCTGAGTGGAGCCTTAAAGTGGCTTCACCTGGAGGGGCCAGAGGGTCACCTGGAGCTGGGGAGACACATCTGCCTTCCTCTGCAGGGATGCCTTCACGTACTGTCCCTAGTTCAGCCTAGAAATTCTGACCAGCACCTCAGTTTCCCTCAGAGGGAAACAGCAGGAGGAGGGATCCCTGACTGCTGAGGACTCACACTGACCAGACGCCACACCTTGTGCTTCTTATCTGTCCACTGCCACTCCCCCAGTTCAAATCCTTACCCTGCAGAAATATCACAGTTAGCTGGGGCTCAGCAGTCCTCCCTCTGGGGACTCCCTGCCACCACTGCCAGTTTCTGAAACGGTCCCACTGGGTCCTCACTGTCCTTCCCAGTTCCTGTTCAGGTTCTGGCAGGGGCCCAGGGATCCAGGGGACCTGGTTCCAATCTCAGCCCTGCTGTCACCACCTTGTCATGCACCATCAAGCATATCAGTCTACCTTTCTTTTTTTCTGAGACAGAGTCTCACTCTGTCGCCCAGGCTAGAGTGCAGTGGCGCGATTTTGGCTCACTGCAACCTCCGCCTCCGGGGTTCAAGCGATTCTCCTGCCTCAGCCTCCCGAGTAGCTGGGACTACAGGTGAGCCCCAGCATGCCCAGCTAATTTTTTTTAATTTTTAGTAGAGACGGGGTTTCACCATGTTGGCCAGGCTGGTCTCAAACTCTTGACCTCAGGTGATCCGCCGACCTCGGCCTCCCAAAGTCCTCGGATTACAGGCATGAGCCACCACACCCGGCCAATCAGTCCACCTTTCTAGGCCTTGGTTCCTTGCCTGAAAAATGAAAGAGGCGCTGGCTTTCCACAGTGTCATGCTTTGGCACTTTAGCTATGGTTTTCTTTCTGTGTGTGTGTAAGCCACTGCTTATAATAAAACCAACAATACCCTCAGACTGAAAGGGCGGAAGTTATTATCTGCATCTTTATCAACCCCAAGCCCCACTTCCTCCCTGACCTCCCCATGCCCTCCCCAGCCTCTCCCAGCACAAGTGGGGCAAAGCCAGCATGCAAGCAGACCCCACCACCACAGCCCACCTCCGTCCTCACATACGTGCAGGCTGGCTCGGGAGTCCAGTGAGCAGAGCATTGGACTTGGCTGGCCAGAGGGTCTCTGAGGGCAAGAGACATGGCCAACCAAGGGCAAGGAGTGACCCTGTGGAGGGTTCTGCCGAACTCAATGCAGTGAGAAGAGGGACAGGGACAAGTAGTCCTTGAAACTGAGCCCCATTCTGAATCCCTGCAGGCCAAGTCATTGCTCAGCCAGGACTCAGTTCATGGAGGAAACTTGTCCTGCTGCAGTCCCTGAGTCTTGTCCTCCTGAGAGGAAGCCCTGGCTTCCAAGGCTGGGAGCTGGAGGATGACCTTCGGTCGGTCTGTCTGGGTTCTCCCTGCAGACAGCTTCCTAGCTCATGCCCATAGCTCATGCTCCCTGCCGAGAAAGTGGAGGACGTGGTACAGGGTTGCAGATGTTTAGTTTTAAAAATTCAATTATAAAAATAATAAATGCTCATGATAGAAAATTTGGAAAGTGCAAATAAGCAAAAATGAAAACAATTTTAAAAATGTAAAACCTCTCTTGCCAGGGAATGGGGGAAGGGCAAGTGAGGAGTTCTTTAATGGGTGAAGAGTTTCAGTTTTGCAAAATGAAAAAGTTCTGGAGATCAGTTGTGCAACAATATGAATATACATAACAATACTGAACTATACACTGAAATGGTTAAGATGGTACATTTTATGTTATGTGTATTTTACCACAATTTTTATAAAAAGAGGATTAAATCTAAAGGAAAGAAAAAATTAAAACCACCCATAACTTTACTCTGAAGCAGTAACAGTGGCATGTTTCCTCCTAGTGATGTGTCATATGGTGGTTTTATTTTATATACACAATACACATAGACAATTTTGTATCTGGCCTTTTGTCCAGTGGATGTTCTATCCAAGCTCACGCTTGCACTCATTTGACTCATGGGATCCACTCTGATGGGCCTTGGCCAGCCCTGGGGGAGTAGGACTTGCATAAACCATCTGGGTGAATTCCCAGATGCTGGCCAGGAAGGCCTGGATGCCCCCTGCCTACTAAGTCCCTGGCTCGGGGGAGGAAGAGCCGTCCTGCCTGTCAGTCCTGCCCAGTGGACAAGTTCTGGGAGAAGCACAGGGGCTCCCGGACAGAGAGCAACAGAGGCTGGGGGTGGGGAGTGGGGACACTGAGGACAATGGGAGAAAATGGGAGAAGTGGGGACCTCGTGGAGGCCAGAGAGTGGATGAGGGAGCTGAGGGGAGGCTGGTTGGCGGAGGTGGTTTCCTCAGTGGGGGGCCCTGAGCCTGCCCTGACTTGAATGCACAGTCAAGCCCTGAGTGGGGACAGCTCCTAAGAAGTGGGCCTTGGGGGAGGGTGGGGGATAGGGGAGGGGAGTGACTGCAGGGACAGGGAGATTCTGCAGAGAAAGGAGCCTGTGAAAAGCTGTGCAGAGCCGTGAGCACCTGAGTGCTGCCCCTGAGCTCCCAGGGAAGTAGCCTTGGGGTGGGAGGGGGAGATGCCGGATCCCAAACTGCAGGCTGGACCCTGAAGTTGTTTCTCAAGACCAGCTCTGGACTCCCAGAGGCCTGCTTCAACCACAGTCAGAGGCACCTCATGCTCGAGGCACCCTGGACAGCATTATGAAGGGCCTCCATGTGCAGGCAGCAAGCAGACGGGCAGTGGGGTTGTTAGAAGGGTGCCCTCTGGGCCGGGCATGGTGGCTCATGCCTGTAATCCCAGCTCTTCGGGAAGCCAAGGCAGGTGGATCACCTGAGCTCAGGAGTTCAAGACCAGTCTAGGCAACATGGTGAAACCCCCGTCTCTACAATACACACACACAAAAAGTAGCCAGGTGTGGTGGCATACACCTGTGGTCCCAGCTACTTGGAAGGCTGAGGTGGGAAAATCACCTGAGCCCAGGAGGTCGAGGCTGCAGTAAGCCAAAATTGTGCTACTGTACTCCAGCCTGGGCAAATTGGAGTGAGGCCCTGTCTCAAAAAAAAAAAAAAAAAAAAAAGAGAAAAAAAAAGAAGGGTGCCCCTTTGTGAGCACCATGTATGTCTCCGCAGCACGTCAGCAACAGGTCCTGTCAGTCACTGGTTCCCATGGAAAACGGGAATAGCAGATCTGAACTCACCCCTTGAGAAACAGGGATGGCAATGGAAAGGGCAGAAGCAAGACCTGGCAAAAACACCGGTCATGCTGGGGCTGCATTCTCCTTGGTCCCCAGTGCTACTCCCAGGTCAGGAGGCCTCCATGCTTCTCAAAGTATCTAGCTCATCTGGGGCTCAAGTCACCTCCCCTTCCGACTGAGGTCACCATATCCCTCCTCCTCCTGTGGAGTTCAGGCCCTTTCTACTTCCCCTCTTCTCCACTCCTGCTGCTTTCCTGGGTGACGTCAGAGTCCATGGGTGACCCCACTGCTGCTCTGGGTGCCAGCTACTGATGGTTCCTGCAGCTCTGGAGACCCCACCCCAGTCTCCTAGCCCCTTGGTCACATCCTCACTCCCTGTGCCTCCAGGTGCTCTCCCATTTCAGAAAGTGTGAGCTCTTGACTGCTACTGCCTCTATCCTGCTCTCTGCTCCTATGACACATTTATTCTTTTATTTTTGTTTGAGATGGGGTCTTGCTTGGTCACCCAGACAGGAGTGCAGTGGCACAAACATGACTCACTGCAGCAGTCAACCTGCTGGCCTCAAGCAATCCTCCCACCTCAGCCTCTCAAGTAGGACCACAGGTACACATCACCATGCCTGGCTAATTGTTTTTCTTGTGTTGTAGAGGCACCGTCTCGCCATGTTGCCCAGGCTGGTTTGAAACTCCTGGGCTCAAGCAATCTGCCCACCGTTGGCCTCTTAAAGTACTGGGATTACAGGCGGGAGCCACTGCATCCGGCCATATTTATTCTTTAACCTCATCTAGACTTCCAGGTTCTAGACGGCTTTCTCCCAATCCATCAGCCTCCTCTGAGCTTCACTTCTTTTCTGATCCCACCATCAGTTCATCTACCCTACTCTGCCAGCGTTCCTGAGGGTGAGTACACTGGAATAATTCTTCCCTTCTCAGAAAAAGGCTTAATTTCCTTGAAAATTGAAAGTCCAAGATTAGTCTCATCAACAAACAAAGCTGCATATGCCTACCCTTCCTTCTGTTAGGCATCTACTCAGCAAAGGTAAAGTGTGTAGCACTACACATCTGTTCTCTTCATTACCAGGTGGCATTTCCAGATCATTCCTGGCATCTGGGAGCCTATCTCATTTTTGTACACTTCTCCAAGTCTTCCCCTTTCCCTATTCTTGTCTTCTAATGGATCCATCAGGTTCTTGTTCCAAATTTCTTTGTAGCGTGCTGGCTTCAGCAGCACATATACCAAATTTCCTTGTAGAGAGGAGTTGCCTTGTGGGGGAGAGGGGGCACACCCTAGCATTTGAACTCCTTTCTTATTGGGGGGAATCTCTCATTGTGTGACTCAGTGGAAGACTAAGCCCAGTCTCCCACTTACAGGGGTGAAAGAGTTCTGGACACTCTCCACTGCTGACATCTATTGGTACATGATGGACCAAGCCAGCTGGGTGACCCAACGTGGGACCTGTATCTGGAGCAAGTGACACTAAGACGCACAACAACAGGGGCAGGCGTGTCCAGGGGCAGCAGCACTGACAGCAGTATCCTGCCCAGTCTGTCTTGGGTTCCGCCCTTTTTCTCAGCCAGTTTTTCCTGCCTTCCTGTTGATATTTGAGCTACTGAGAGCATTTCAATAAGTTCTTTTTCTGCTGAAGTTGGCTGGAGTCATTTGCAACCAAGAACCTTAACTGATCTATCCACTGGCTTGAAGGTTACACATTCTGTTTGTTCTACTAGCAGTTATCTTTACAGTTTCTAAGATTAGCAAATATTATTGATTTCTTTTAAACTGCAAACTATAGTCTGTAATATTCTGTAATTATTCTAATCCCCCTCCTCCTCCTGGCAGGAAAAATGAGGACAGATTTCAGAATTTGATCCTAGAAACATACGTACACTATTTTATTTTATTTTATCTTATCTTCTTATCTTATTTTATAGAGACAGGGTCTCACTATGTTGCCCAGGCTGGTCTTGAATTCCTGGGCTCAAATGATCCTCCTGCCTTGGCCTCCCAAAGTGCTGGGATTACAGGCAAGAGCCACTGCGCCTGACTCATACTTACATTTTTCTAACAGTCTAAACCTCTTCAGCACAAGAAAAGAACCCCAGTGTGCTTCTAACACACTGTGAGTTAGTAGAGTGGAGTGTGGAGGTGGTGAGCAAGGACTCTCTGGTTGGGCTGCCCAGCTGTGACTCCTGGTTCTGCTGCTAATTATCCTTACATGTCAGAATGACCTAAGGCCAAAGTCAGACTGGACTGAGAGGTACTGACATTTCTAAAGAAAGAATGTACAATCTGCCTGCACACAAATGAGACTCAGAGGCAAACACTGACAGTCTGCAACATCGTTCCAAATGGTGTCCAGGTTTCTAAATCTACAAGGTGTAGTCTGAGGATGGTGGTGACTCTCTAAAGTAAATGTTCTTTCTGTGGCCCCTTCAAGGCAATACCCCAACCTAACATTCAAGTTTCTGCACAAGGCAGGGCAGGAAAACTGGGGACTGGGCAGGATCAAAGGCCTGACGCATAGGTGCGGGACAGTGGGGACTCAGGGAAGGCGAACTTGGGTAAGTGCGCCCTGGTCAATAAGAAGAGGCCATGGGCTGGAATTAGACTGGAGAGCCTGGAAGCTGCAGCCACATCCTATGGAACATCCACAAGAGTTTCTGGAATCTTTTAATCTAACATTCAAGCCCCTTCTTCAGCTCTAAGCAACACAGGCATCATTCATCCAACATTTATTGAGCACCAACCATGTGCCAGGCACTTTTCAAGGCTGAGGCGGGGTGAAGGAGAGGGCAGATAAACATACTGGCATATAAGTGCTTTGACAGCTGGAACTCAGGCATCGAAGAGAGGCACCTGCCCCAGCCGAGGGAAGGCTTCCAGGAGGAGGTGATGCGCCCAAGTCCTGGGGAGAAGGGTCTGACTGGCCCCTGAGCTTTGGCCAGGGAAGCAGTTCCACCAAAACTGAATCAGGGGAGGAGGTGGAGAGCCTAAAGGGAATGAGGGATGTCAGGAGGCAGAATGAACACTGGACAGGCACACACAAAAGCAAAGCAACTGAGGTCCACTATCATCACTGCTGGCGCGTGGACTTCCCTGGCCACCCTTCCTGGAACTTGGACTTGGAACCTTCCCTCCAGTCTTTCTCCCTGTTCGTCTCACCTCCTTTAGATGTGTTCAGGCAGGATTTCTTTTATTTGCATTTCAGGAAATTTGAAAAAAGTACAAAAAACCACCAAAAAAAATTACTTCCATTCCCAACACCCAAATTAACTGCTGTTAACATTCTGGCAATTTGATTCCATCATTTTCCTGCATATTACCCCCCTTCAATTTAATGAGTAGGCTGGGCGCGGTGGCTCATGCCTATAATCCCAGCACTTTGGGAGGCTGAGGCAGGCGGATCGCCTGAGGTCAAGAGTTCAAGACCAGCATGGCCGACGTGGCAAAACCCTGTCTCTACTAAAAATACAAAAATTAGCTGTGCGTGGTGGCACGCGCCTGTAATCCCAACTACTCAGGAGGCTGAGACAGGAGAATCACTTGAACCGAGGAGGCAGAGGTTGCAGTAAGCTGAGATCGTGCCACTGCACTCCAGCCTGGGTAACAGAGCAAGATTCCGTCTCAAAAAAAAAAAAAAAATTTAATGAGTAACAGATTATCCCCAATCATTTGCTTTGTAAAACAACACTGCTGGCCAGGCATGGTGGCTCATGCCTGTAATCCCAGCACTTTGGGAGGCCAAGGTGGGCAGATCATCTGAGGTCAGGAGTTCAAGACCAGCCTGGCCAACACGGTGAAACCCCATCTCTACTAAAAATACAAAAAGTTAGCTGGGTGTGGTGGCAGATGCCTGTAATCCCAGCTACTCGGGAGGCTGAAGCAGGAGAATCGCTTGAACCTGGGAGGTGGAGGTTGCAGTGGGCCGAGATCGTGCCATTGCACTCCAGCCTGGGCAACAAGAGGGAAACTCTGTCTCAAAAAACCAAAAAACCAAAAACCAAAACCAAAAACAAAAAAAAAATGGCCTAAAACCATCTAGTGGAAGGTTGATGGTTATCCTGGATGGATCAAGCTGGCAACACTCAAATTGTCTGATCAATTTTAACACCACTGAATGTGGAACAACCAGATCTGAAGTGGTTAAGTGCCCCCTAGAGGGACATTACAGAAGTACACAGCACCAAAAAGAATTCTTGCAAAACAGCTGAACCTGAATCTAACCAAGCCTCTAGTTTACAAAAACACTGATGAAGGAATATGGTAAAGAACCACAAGATTGTCAACCAAGTCCAGATTAGAGACAATTCTACAGGACAACTGACAGTTTCTCCAACAAATAAAAGGCATTTTTAAAGGGGAGGTTCTCGATTATAGGTTTTCAAAAGATTTAACGGCCAGGCGTGGTGGCTCATGCCTGTAATCCCAGCACTTTGGGAGGCTAAGGTGGGAGGATCACTTGGGCCCAGGAGTTTGAGACCAGCCTGGGTAACAGAAGGCAATCTCTTCTCTACAAAAAATGAAAAATAAAGAAACTTGGCGTGGTGTGGTGGTGCACCAGCTACTTGGGAGGCTGAGGTGGGAGGACTGCTTGAGTCCAGGAGGTCGAAGTGAGCCACGATTCAGCCACTGCACAGCCTGGTGACAGAGGGAGACTCCAGCTCAAAATTTTTTTTTAAAAAAGAGACATATCAACTAAATGTAATGTGTAGATATTTTAAAATCCTAATTCAAAACAAACCAACAATTAAAAGACACTTTTTATTTTTGTTTTTTAAAGACAGGGTCTCACTTTGTTACCTAGGTTGGAGCACAGTGGTGGGATCACTGTAGTCTCAACCTCCTGGTGGGCTCAAGTGATCCTCCTGTCTCAGCCTCCTGTGTAGCTGGGACTACTGGCACACACCCAGCTAATTTTTTTTTTTTTTTTTTGGTAGAAATGAGATCTCGCTGTGTTGCCCAGGCTGGTCTCAAACTCCTGGCTTCAAGCAGGAGGATCCCTTGACCCCAGGAGTTCAAGACCAGGCTGGGCAACATGGCAAAAGTCCATCTCTACAGAAACAACAACAACACCCCCCCCAAAAAAAACCCCAAAAATTAACCAATGCATGCCTGTGGTCCCAGCTACTCAGGAGGCTGAGGCGGGAGGATTGCTTGAGCCTGGGAGGTCAAGGCTGCAGTGAGCCATGATGGCACCACTGCACTCCAGCCTGGGTGAGAGCAAGTTCTTGTCTCAAACAACAACAACAACAACAAAAAACTCCCAAAATTTGCAATAAAGATTAACGTATATGTCTCTCCAGCAGTTTGAATGCTCTCTATGTTAGACACATGCAAGTGGATTTGCTAAAGGAAGGAATGAGTATTTTTACCTTTACTAAAACTGCCAAATTTCTCTCCAAGTGTTTGTAACAATTTGCCCTTTTACCAGTTTCTCCACAATCCCCAAACACTCGTAATTTCTGTCACTCTGACAGATAAAGTATCTTATTAAGTTGCATTTCCCTAATGGTTGTATAGTTGAGCATGTCTTCATTCTTTGCCACTCAAATTTCTCCTGAAAATGGCTTTTCATATCCTTCAGCCATTTTTGTTTTTTTCTTGATTTGTATTTCATTCATATTACAATATTAAATTTGTTTTGTATATGTTACAAATATTTCTAATTTGTTCCTTATGTTTTAAACTGGTTTATAGAAACTCCTGCATCCAGCAGTTGTAAATTGTAATGTGGTCAAATCTGTCATCATTTCGTTGGTAGGGGAGAAAATATTTTCCTCTCCCATCTTAAGGGTTATGGCTGACACCCCTATAACAAGGTTAATGAGAGAAAGGCATAACAAATTTAAAGTCTTATGTGACACAGGAACCTTAAGAAACGAAGACCCCATGACCTAAAGAAAACTGTATTTTTATGCTAAGTCTGATGAAAGAAGTAGATAGTTGTGCAGAAACATGATTGGACAAAAGGGGCATCATCTAATGGTCATACATAGGGGTGGGAGGAGACTTCGGCATGGCCCGTTTGCTCAGATTCTTTCTTGCGTCTCTGCATGACACTTCTCCTCCCCAGGTATGGCACAAGACTCCTCTGGAATGAGGGTCTTACAACCTACTTCACATGAGGTAGGCCAGTGAATTCCTTTATGACCCTGCTTTATGGGAGGGAGCAGATTACTTACAGAGACCTTGCTTCTGTGGTTTTCTCAACTGCCAAGGTGCCATATTTTGGCACATTTATGGATTTTGCTTGTGACTTATCCTGTCCTTGTTATTGATTTTAATAATACTTCCTGGCAGGGAGTGGTGATTCAATTTGCTAATACTTTATTTGAACCCTGCATCTGTTCTTAAATGAAATGGGCTTTTGCCTTTTCTTCAGTTGTTCTTGATCAGATATATATAATATTTTCTTAAAATATTTGGGCTAATCTCATAAAGTTAGCTAGGTAACAAGAGTTTGGTGAGGTACCAAATCTAAAACAGGTAGGCAGATTGTTTTTTCTATTCTCATTCTTTCCCAGTTTGGGTCTTTCTGAAGCTAGGATAAGGCCAGGGCTCCTTACTCAAGATCACCCTTCCCTATCCCCTAAAAACACACACAATATCCCCAAAGTGTCACTGTTCAAGTTCCAACATGGGGCTAACTCCGAGGAGCTTGATCCTCCTACTGGGGCTACTGGTGTTAATGGCCATGAGGCCTTGTGAGAGCACATGTTCATGACAGTCCAACTCAAAAAACTACGAGAGTATTAAGTGATGGAGAATTAAACCTTAACTACCGAGCCTCAACTTCTTTAAATGAAAAATGAAACTTTTACCATCTAAGTCACACGTGTGTTTTGAGACGTCCATGATAAAATTTTGAAAAAGCACCCAGTACGCTGGGTGGCACAAACACGCAGCGGGCGAGGGCCCCTACAGCAGCGACAGCCTTAACGGAGAGACCCTCAGCTGTCGTCTCAGTGCCTCCTTCACGGCTGGAAACGGCGAGGACGCTAACATAGCCCTCACTGGGCGGGACGCGACTTAAACGGTTTAACGACCCCGAGCGCTGGGGTCCGTAACGGCGCCGACACACGCGCCCTTACGGACTGGTCGCTTTTAACGAGTGCTATTCACTTTCCGACTGCCCCTCCGCCATGGAGCGTCGCACCGCGTGACCGTCACCAACTCCTCGAACTCTGGGGCACCTCGGCCTTCTCCCGCGCCAACCTGGCGCGAAGACCTGGGACACCGCGCGCACCTGGACCAGCGAACCCAAAACCCCGCCTCCCGCGCTAGACCGCAGCAAAATGTCCGCTCCACGCGCAGGCGCAGCACGTGCGGCCCCCCCTCCACCCCGGCTCAAGACTCACGCCCCCAGGCTCCCGCACCGCCCGCCCCTCCCAGGGTCGCGGCTCAGGATTGGTTCAGGGGTTGCGCGGGCTCTGATTGGGCGAGGCGGAGTCACCAGGGCGCCGTATCTTTACGTGGCCGTCTTCCCCGCGCGCCTTGGATCTGGGGCAATAGCTGAGAGGGCGTCACCAGCGTGTCGGCGCCTGCGGTTTTCTTCGGGCTGTCCCCAGGCGTCGTGCCCGCGTCCGTCACGCGCGGTGGCTTGCAGGGGCGCACCGCGACAGCCTTAAAGGAAAACCTGTTAGGGACAAGGGCTGCTGTGGGCAGCGAGGGTTATAGACTCATGTGTGTTCTGAATTCTGGTGGGGGTAGTGATGGACGCTGACCCAGTTCACAGAATTATCTGACTGGCGAAGTAAAGGTACTTGAATTGCAGGTACTGTTTTTGGCCCTTTGTCCCCTGTATTTTGGCCCAATGTGCTTCCATTTGAGTAGTCTGTAGTGGAACTATATATATATTTTTTAAACAGTTACTTGAAAACACGTGACGGATCAGAATGAGAGGAATAGGAAGGAATTCCTGGGAATTTGTCTTTTTTTTTTTTTTTTTTTTTCTTAAGGAGTTTCCACTTATCGATTGTGGCAAAAGAAGAGGTATGGGAGACCTCACCTACAACATCAAAAATCACCTTTTGTATTTGTTTTTCTGTTCGCTGGTGTGAGTAAAAGATACCAAATGAAAATTAAAAGTTAAGATGAGGCCTAACATAAGTTTATTCCAAATGCCAGTTTACTGTTGGAAATACCAGAGACAAAACGTGCCTGGCTTGGAATGTGTGAAGGCCTTGTCATGTGCCTAATAATAATCTTGTCTATTTTGAGCAGGAAAAAAGGTCAAGGTGAACTGAAGAAAATAAGTCTTTCCCCAAAGGAGGTAGAAGATGGGGAAGATGAGATGTCAGAAGCTAAGGACAATGGCAGTAGAGATGAGGTAATTATATGTACAGAGTTGAGCAGAGTAGAATTTATTATTAATGCCAACAATTAAAATCCAGAGTAAAGCAGTTAAACTGCATTGTTTAATCTCAAAAGTTGGCCGGGCTGGGTGGCCGTCGCCTGTAATCCCAGCACTCTGGGAGGCAGAGGAGGGTGGGTCGCTTAAGCTCAGGAGTTTGAGACCAGCCTGGGCAACATCGTGAAACCCGTCTCTACTAAAAATACAGAAATTAGCCGAACGTGGTGTCTCCCACCTGTAGTCCCAGCCACTCGGGAGGCTGAGGCAGGAGAATTGCTTGAACCCGGGAGGCGGAGGTTGTAGTGAGCGTGCCACTGCACTGCAGCCTGGGAGACAGAGTCGGTCTCAAAGCAAAAAAACAAAAACAAAAACAAAAAACACAAACCTCAAAAGTGCTATTGCAAACACTTTTCAACTAGTATTACAAGTCCACACTAAACTGGATACCAAAACCTGACCAGGTCATTTTGAGAAATCACAGACCACTCTCTCTTTAATGAGCATAGATACAAAAATTCCAGAAATATTAGCAAATTGAATATCAATGTTATGCAAAGAGTAATACATCATAATGTATCGTGACCAAGTGTGGGTTATTTTGGGAATGCCAAGGTGTTCTTTGTTTGTAAAGTGATACTGGTTTTCTGGTAATACTGGTTTAAATCTCTTCATTCTTTAAATTGATTCATTAAAATCCATTCATTTATGGCCCAGGAGGGCGGTGCTTTCCCTCAGCCCTGCCTGGCTGTTTTAAATTAAAAAATAAAAAAGAAAAAAAAAGTCTATTACTTTGTGTACCTGCCAAACATGTTTTCATATTTCTTCTTTTGACATAGTCCTCACTATGTTCTTCTGAGAGTCTCTCCTTTGGAATTTGAAAATAGATAGGTTTAAGTTGAGTCCTGAAAGAATTAAGGTGGGTTAGTGGGTACACAGCTAATGAATATGGAATGTTTCACATGTGCAGCCATTGTACAAGGGCTTTATGCCAGGGGTCCCCAAGCCCTGGGCCACAGACTGGTCTATGGCCTGTTATGAACCAGGCCGCACAGCAGGAGGTGAGTGGTGGGCAAGTGAGGGAAGCTTCATCTGAATTTACAGCTGCCTCCCCATTGCTTGCATTACTGCCTGAGCTCCGCCTCCTGTCAGATCAGCTGCAGCAATAGCGTCTCATAGGAACACAGACCCTATTGTGAACTGCGCATGTGAGGAATCTAGGTTGTACGCTCCTTATGAGAATCTAATGCCTGATGATTTGTCACTGTCTCCCATCACCCCCAGATGGGACTGTCTAGTTGCAGGAAAACAAGCTCAGGGCACCCACTGATTCTACATTATGTTGAGTTGTATTTCATTATATATTACAATGTAATAACAGAAATAAAGTGCACAATCAATGTAATGTACTTGAATCATCCCTCTCCCCTCCCACCGGATGCATGAAAAATTGTCATCCACAAAACCGGTCCCTGGTGCCAAAAAGGTTTGGGACCACTGCTTTATACATTGGTTCATTTCATCCTCACTGTGACCGGGTTAGGTAGGCATCATATAGCTCCATTTTTTAGACAAGAAAGTGTGCTCGCTTCGGCAGCACATATACTAAAATTAGACAAGAAAGCAGATTTAGCCATTAACCAGCTTGCTCATGTTTCCAGAACTAGTAAGTGACAGCCAGGGTTATACATAGGTCTGCTGAATCCAAACCCCCTATACCTTCCCCATTCATTTCTCAGTCTTCTCCTAAGCAGCTTGTTCTGAGAGGCAGATAGCATTTATTTGTTGTCCATTTTGAGCAGCTGGTTGTGTGATAGAAACTTTCTTCAACCCTCTTCAGTCTAATTGTTTTAATTAATCAAATGTAAAAGTGGGTTTTGGGTGCCCTTGTCACACACACTTATTAGGGATGATGGACTTGTTAATTTACTTGACTGTAGTAACCATTTTGCCATAAGTATATTAAAACAGTTATACACTTTATACAATTTTTTAAAAAGTAAAAGTAGGGAAATCATGAAAATTATCCATCCATACCTTTTGATTTTAATTTAAGACATTATGTATTCTTTTGGCAATATTTTGATACAGGACCAAGGCCTTATCTTTGAGTCCACTGCTGGAGTAGCTTATCTTCCCTGCATAAAATACACACATAATGCATCTTCTGCAATTTAAAGTTTGTTTCTTTAAAGCAAAGGAAAACTCTAACATCCTAGTAAGTAAAGCAGTTTGAATACAGATTCCCACAGTTTTACAGCTTTTCCCATTCTTTTATGGTTGCTCATGCACCCTTAACTTGATTGCAGTTTTTTAAGCTTTATCAAGTACCTCCAAAGCACTGAAGTTTGTTTTCATAGACTCAATAACTTTTTGCACTTATTTTATTTTATTTTTTGAGATGGAGTCTCACTTTTGTTGCCCAGGCTTGAGTGCAATGGCTCAGTCTTGGCTCACTGCAACTTCCAGCTCCTGAGTTCAGGTAATTCTTTTGCCTCACCCTCCCAAGTAGCTGGGATTACAGGCATGTGCCACCACGCCCGGCTAATTTTTTATTTTTAGTAGAGATGGGGTTTCATCATGTTGGTCAATCTGGTCTCGAACTCCTCACCTCATGTGATCTGCCCGCCTCGGCCTCCCAAAGTGTTGGGATTATAGGTGTGAGCCACTGCACCCCACCCTTTTTGCGTTGATGGTATTGGTTTATGTGATGTTTAGTTAATTTTGCAGTTGAAACTGCAAATACAGGTTAGCAAACAACACAGCGGGTTTTTATTAAAGATACAGTTCAGCTCACAGGCATAGAGACATCACATTAGTAGGAGTACCACAGAGTGGCCCACTCATGCTTGGGATTTCATAAGCATCAAGTTATTATAGTAAGACCTGTTTGGAATTGAGACAGTCATTTAATCCAGCCAGTTGGTTACGTTGACATAGATAAGAGAGCATGTACTGTATCGGTTGAGTATCCCTTATTCGAAATGCTTGGGACTGGAAATGTTTTAGACTTCAGATTTTTTGGATTTTGGCATACTTGCAGATACATAAAGAGATATCTTGGGGATGGCACCCAAGTCTAAACACAAAATTCATTTATGTTTCATATATACCTTATATACATAGCCTAAAGGTAGTTTTAGTTTTCCCTCTGGTACACTGAATAAACTGTTTTGCACCTGCATTTTGACACTGACCCGTCACACAGAGTCAGAATTGGGGCTCTAATGACATGAATAATTGATGTATATTCTCCTGGGTCAGTAGCGTCCCTACTTGTAGAAATCTGGATGCTTCCCTGTGGATATTCTGGTTTGTTAGTGCTAAGTGAAGTCTGAGAATTTTTCTTTGTTTTTTTTTTTTTTTGAGATAGAGTCTCACTCTGTCACCCAGGCTGGAGTGCAGTGGTGCGATCTCAGCTCACTGCAACCTCCACCTCCTGGGTTCAAGCAATTCTCATGTCTCATCTGCCCAGGTAGCTGGGACTACAGTGTCCACCACCATACCCGGCCAGTTTTTGTATTTTTTTTTTTAGTAGAGACAGGGTTTCACCATGTTGACCAGGCTGGTCTTGAACTCCTGGCCTCAGGTGATCTGCCCACCTTGGCCTCCCAAAGTGTTGGGATTACAGACATGAGCCACCATGCCCAGCATTCTGTTTTTTAATTTTCTTTCTTGAGACAGAATTTCACTCTTGTTGTCCAGGCTGGAGTGCAATGGCATGATCTCGGCTCACCACAACCTCCGCCTCCTGGGTGCAAGCAATTCCCCTGCCTCAGCCTCCTGAGTAGATAGGATTACAGGCATGCGCCACCACGCCCAGCTAATTTTGTATTTTTAGTAGAGACGGGGTTTCTCTATGTTGGTCAGGCTGGTCTCAAACTCTCGACCTCAGGTGATCCACCCACCTCCACCTCCCAAAGTGTTGGGATTATAGGCGTGAGCCACCGGGCCTGGCCTTGTTTTTTTTCTTTAGACAAGCATGTCAGGTGATTCTGGTGCTGGAAGCTTTTTACTACATTTCTCTAGGAGAAATTCATCCTAGAGAGTTGAAATAGTTGTTGACTTACATGCACGACCCGAATCTTGCACTTAGTGACTGTGCAGTGTGATGGTAGCTTCATGAAGAGGCATCTTTTCATTGTTGCTGTTTCTCCTCCAGGTTCTTGTCCCTCATAAGAATTGCAGGAAGAATACCACTGTCCCGGGAAAGAAAGGGGAGGAAAAGTCTCTGGCTCCTGTGTTTGCTGAGAAGTTAATATCACCAAGCAGGAGGGGAGCCAAGCTCAAGGACCGTGAGAGCCACCAGGAGAATGAAGACAGGAACAGTGAGTTGGACCAGGATGAGGAAGATAAAGAATCCTTCTGTAGGGGGTTCCCGATGAGTGGCTGTGAGTTAGAGACAAGCTGCTGTGTGTGCCATTCTACAGCACTTGGGGAGAGGTTCTGTTAAAAATCCATCCCTCTGAAAACTGCCTTGGCAATTCCCGGCTGATTCTTCGGGATGGGCCTCATTGATGGGGAGTCTCAGTGGATGTTTGACTTTTGCTTTCTACCTGACCCTAGTCAGAGATTTTTTCTTTTTCCTTTTTTTTTTTTTTTTTTTTCTGAGACAGAGTCTTGCTCTGTCACCCAGGTTGGAGTGCATTGGTGTGGTCTTGGCTCACTGCAGCCTCTGCCTCCTGAGTAGCTGGGACTACAGGCGCACACCACCACACTGGCTAATTTTTGTATTTTTAGTAGAGATGGGGTTTCGCCATGTTGGCCAGGCCATCTTGAACTCCTGACCTGAAGTGACCTTCCCACCTTGGCCCCCCAAAGTGCTGGGATTACAGGCATGAGCCACCATGCCTAGCCCAGAAATTTTCTCTTTGAATACTATACATTGATGAGTTCTGTCTTTATGCTTATGATCCACGCAGGTAGGTCGTCTCAGATTTAATTTTCAGTGGTTTTTTTCTGTCTTGATGGAGTCTGTGTAACATTTAAAATATTGCTACCAAAGCAGTAATTCTTACTATAGTTATTAAAATGCAAGAACAATATATTTAAAATTATTTCATAATAAAGTTAAAATGAGGCTGGGTGTTGTGGCTCATACCCTGTAATCCCAGCACTTTGGGAGGCTGAAGCAGGAGAATCGCTTGAGGCCAGGAGTTCAAGACCAGCTTGGGCAACAGGGCGAGACCCTATCTCTACAAGAAATTAATAAATTAGCCAGGTATGTGGGCATGGTGGCTCACACCTGTAATCCCAGCACTCTGGGAGGCTGAGGTGGGCGGATCACGAGGTCAGGAGTTCAAGACCAGCCTGGCCAATGTGGCGAAACCCCTCTCTACTAAAAATACAAAAATTAGCTGGGCATGGTGGTGCGTGCCTGTAATCCCAGCTACTTGGGAGGCTGAGGCAGGAGAATCGCTTGAACCCAGGAGGTGGAGGTTGCAGTGAGCCGAGACTGCACCACTGCACTCCAGCCTGGCAACAGAGTGAGACTCCGCCTCAAAAATAAATAAATAAATAAATAATAAATTAGCCAGGTATGGTGGCACACACCTGTAATCCCAGCTACTAGGTAGGCCGAGGTGAGAGGATGGATTGAGCCAGGGAGATCAAGGCCTCAGTGAGTCGTAGTCTCACCACTGCATTCCAGCCTGTGCAACATAAGTGAGACCCTATCTCAAAATAAAATAAAAGTTAAAGTGGCTGTGAATTTTTTTCTTAGATATTTGTATACAGCCAGATATAAAAGAACAATTGTTCTCTGAGAGGAGAATTTGTCATTCTTAACTAGTCTATGTAATAATTGATTAGGTGGCTTCCCTTGCGATTCTAGGGGTGGGGGAAAAGATAAAGCTGGGATGAAAGTTAGAGAAGACCTTCCCATGAGGGCTGAAGATGATGAACAGGATGACGACAGTGGCAGTGGCAAAGGCAGTGAGGAAGAGGAGGAGGGGGAAGGTCGGATGATCTGAATCAGCCCTGTTAAGCAGTATGGCTGGCATCATGGAATGCTAGTTGTAAGTGAAGCCCATCAGAAGGGGCTGTTGTATTTATTTTATTAATTTTAATAACTTTCTTATTAATGTAGAAATGCTTTTAAAAGTACCCTGACCAGACTCAACTCATGAGTCTTGTGACAATTAAGTGTAGCTTAGGAATGATGTTTGTGGATAGCATAAAAGTTTCCAGTTTACTCATTAGTGGCCCAAGCAGTTGATTACAAATGCAATATTCTGGCTTTCACCCACAGAACCTATCAAAGAAACACCTGATAAACAAAAGAAGGAAATGGCCAATCAGAAAGAGTCCCCTGGAGCCAAAAAGCAGAAATTAGAAGGTAACAGGCCGGGCACGGTGGCTTACGCCTGTAATTCCAGCACTTTGGGAGGCCGAGGCGGGCGGATCACGAGGTCAGGAGATCAAGACCATCCTGGCTAACACAGTGAAACCCTGTCTCTACTAAAAGTACAAAAAATTAGCCGGGCGTGGTGGCGGGTGCCTGTAGCCTCAGCTACTCGGGAGGCTGAGGCAGGGGAATGGCGTGAACCCAGGAGGTGGAGCTTGCAGTGAGCCGAGATTGCGCCACTGCACTCCAGCCTGGGCAACAGTGCCAGACTCTGTCTCAAAAAAAAAAAAAGAAAAAGAAAAAGAAAAGAAATTAGAAGGTAGCGTGTTGGCCGTGGTTTAAGGCACAGGAGATGCATGGAGAATGTCACATTGGCAAAAACTTAGTCTCCATTAGCCCAAATGAGCAACAATGGGATTTGCTACAGAAGCTTGGTGTTACAATTTTCAGTGGATTTTCTTTTAGTGCTACTTTTTCTGAACTGAGTTCTTTTTTTTTTTTTTTACCTTTTTGTGTAGCAACTGAACCACGTGTAGCATTCCAACTGTTTGTTGGAAACCTGAATTTCAGCAAAACTGCTGCTGAACTAAAAGTTGGCCTCAGTGAATTTTTTGCTAAAAATGATCTTGAAGTTGTTGGTGTCAAAGTTGGCTTGTCCAGGTAAATACCAATCAACTAAGAAGGTTTTTAAGAGCATATCAGCCCAGCACTTACTATTCCTGGAGAATTTAGATGTTCCAGTAGCTTTGTAGTACTTCATGATGGTTCATAGGCTGCTGTCTTCTCAGGTCCTTTTGTTACCTGCTCTTCACCCTTTGGTGGGATTTTACCTCAGTCACTCGCAGTTTAAAATGAATATGTAAAATCCTTCAGTGGCTCATGTTTAGTAAATCTGTTATATTAAACTTTGCTACCCCATTTTCCCAACCAAAATATTAAAATAATCCCAAGATCTTCCAAGTCTTAGAGACAGGGTCTTGCTATTTTACTCAGGCTGGTCTCAAACTCCTGGGCTCAAGTGATCCTTCCACCTCAGCTTCCCAAAGTGCTGGGATTACAGGTGTGAGCCACTGTGCCCTGCCTATTTCTTAAAAATTAAAAAAAAAAATTTTTTTTTTTGAGACAGTCTCCGTCTGTCGCTCAGGCTAGAGTGCAGTGGTGCGATCTCACTGTGGCCTGCCTGTTTCTTAAAAATTCCAAAAAAAAATTTTTTTGAGACAGTCTCCCTCTGTCGCTAGAGTGCAGTGGCGCGATCTCAGCTTACTGTAGTCTCTACCTTCCAGGTTCAAGCAATTCTCCTGCCTCAGCCTCCCGAGTAGCTAAGATTACAAGCGCCTGCCACCATGCCCAGCTAATTTTTGTATTTTTAGTAGAGACGGGGTTTTGCCATGTTGCGCAGACTGGTCCTGAACTCCTGGTCTCAAGTGATCCGTCAGTCTCAGCCTCCCAGAGTGCTGGGATTACAGGTGTGAACCCCTGCACCGAGCCAAAAATAAATACATAAATAAATAACTTTTTTTGAAACAGGGTCTCACTCCGTTGCCCAGGCTGGAGTGCAGTGGTGTGATCATGGCTCACTGCAACCTCTGCCACCTGGACTCAAACAATCCTCCCACCTCAGCCTCCTGAATAGCTGGGACTACAGGCACACATCACCATGCCTTTTTTGTACATGAGGTTTCGCCATGTTGCCCAGGCTGATCTCAAACTCCTGAGCTCAAGTAATCCTCCCACCTCAGCCTCCCAAAGTGCCGGGATTACAGGTGTGAACCATTGCGCCCAGCCAAAATTTGTAATTTCAAGCCACACTTTCTATAGCTCTTGGTTAAATTTTGTCAGTTGTTAAGCAGAAAACCAATAGAGATGTCAATAGGCAAACTCTGCACTGATTCTCAGTCCTTGCTCTAGAACGAGGTCTCTTGACTTCAGCATTACTGACATTCTGGGCTGGACAATTTTTTTTTGGAGACAGGGCCTCTGGCTCTTTCATCCAGGCTGGAATGCAATGGTGCGATCTCGGCTCACTGCAACCCCTGCCCTCCAGCTCAAGCCATCTTCCCACGTCAGCCTCCTGACTAGCTGGGACCACAGGCATGTACCACTATGCCTGGCTAATTTTTGTGTGTGTGTATTTTCTGTAGAGACAGGAAATACATGTTGACCAGGCTGGTCTCAAACTCCTGAGCTCAAGCAGTCTGCATGCCTTGGCCTCGCAAAGTGCTGGGATTGCAGGCATGAGCCACTGCACCGGGTCTGGGCTGGGCAGTTCTATGTTATGGTGGCTGTCCAGTTCATTGTGGGATGTTTAGCAACCTCCCTGGATTCTACCCATTAGACACTAGATGATTCCCTGTTTGTAACAGCCAAAAATGTCTCTAGAGATTGTCAAGCTTGCCCCCTGGGTAAGAACTAGTTCTCCATAGTTACTTCATAGTACTGACTGCCAGTTTGTGGAGCCTTGCTTTTAAACTGTAAATTAGGCAGCTGCTCGTGACTTAGTGCTAATTTCTATTCCAACAGCTAGCGTGATTAGCTAACCAGAGGCATATGCTTTTCATCTTACCTGTGTGTGCTTTTTCCCTTTTCTTCTACATCTCTGTAGGAGATTTGGTTATGTGAATTTTTTTTTTTTTTTTTGAGACAGTCTTGCTCTGTCGCCCAAGCTGGAGTGCAGTGGTGCGATCTTGGCTCACTGCAAGCTCCGCCTCCCAGGTTCCCGCCATTCTCCTGCCTCAGCCTCCCAAGTAGCTAGGACTACAGGCGCCCACCACCACACCCGGCTAATTTTTTTGTATTTTTTTAGTAGAGACGGGGTTTCACTGTGTTAGCCAGGATGTTCTCGATCTCCTGACCTCGTGATCCACCTACCTCAGCCTCCCAAAGTGCTGGGATTACAGGCGTGAGCCACCGCGCCCGGCTGGTTATGTGAATTTTAAATCTGCTGATCAAGAAAAAGCCTTGGAACTAAGTGATACAAAAGTCCTTGGGTATGAAATTAAAGAAACCAAAGGGAAAGGAAACAAAGGTATGCAAACAAGGTAATTTGTTCAAAGGTATCCATGTGTCTAGAAGATTCTGGGTCAGGCAGGAATATCACATTCTTTCTAATTTGATGCAAGTAGTCCTCAGTTTCCGACAGGCCACCTGCCTCCGTGGCACCTTGCCCTCTCTCCTGTGCTTGAGCTGCATGGCTCACCTTTCTCTGTCATAACATTCTTTCCAGGACTCAGTCTCTGGCTACTTGAAACCCATCCATCCAGTTTTAGCTTAAATATCACTTCCTCAGATCAGAAAACTCTTTCCTTACCCCCACACTAGGGTAAACTTCTCTACTAGACTTCCTCATTGCCCCTTTTACTTGTCCATCCTGGCACTTATCGAAGTTTATAACTACATGACCCTCATTTACCAGTCTTCTCCAACAAGAACACATTCCTGAGAGCAGAGGCCAAGTTCGTGTTTTCACAGCGAGCATGTAGCACAGGCCCTACCCCAGAGTATGTGTTCAAATATTTGTTAAACTAATGAAGATGTATTGTTTCCACTTTGCAACTCTTTGAGGGGTATTTTTTCTTTTTTCTTTTTTTTTTAAAACAGAGTCTCGTTCTGTCGCCCAGGCTGGAGTGCAGTGGTGCGATCTTGGCTCACTGCAACCTCCACCTCCCGTGTTCAAGCCATTCTCCTGCCTCAGCCTCCCGAGTAGCTGGGATTACAGGCACGTGCTACCACACTCGGCTAATTTTTTGTATTTTTAGTAGAGACGGGGTTTCACTGTGTTAGCCAGGATGGTCTTCATCTCCTGACCTCGTGATCTGCCCACCTCGGCCTCCCAAGGTGCTGGGATTATAGGCATGAGCCACTGCGCCCCACCCGAGGGGTATTTTTTCTATCTTAGGGGACTTTTGATGCTTACTAAATCTAAACTCACCAAAAATATTCTTTTGTTTTTATGTAGATCAAAATGCCAAAACACTTTTGATCAAGAACCTGCCTGACAAAGTCACTCCACATGAATTAAAAGAAGTGTTTGAGGATGCTTTTCAAATCAGATTAGTGAGCAAAGATGGGATGAGTAAAAAGTATGTTTTGCACCTCGTACTGAATAAGAATGTATGTCTACTGGATACAAACATAATGGAATTTCCTTACATTCTCTCAAATCTTTTATGCCTGATTTTAGAGAAGGAAAGAGTAGTTATCCAGATTTCTGCCAGTAGGCATAAAAAGCCAAAGGGGACATCATAAAGGGACAGCCAAAACTCCTAGAAAACTGTAGTGGTGCTATAGAGAAATAGAGACTTCATCTGCTACCAAGTACAAGATTGAAGATTGGAATTTATTCATAGATTATGTACATTCTGTCTTCTCTCTCCAGGGCTGACTCCACTAGAATAATGTACTTAGTAACTTGCTTGGACAGGTACCAAAATAGCACATAGAATTGAATTGTTAGGTTTATGTTGTAACCAATTAATGAAACACTGTCCTTAGATATCTAGGCTTTGGTAGAGTAAGAGAGTGAATATGGTGAAATTAGAGAGGGTGGAGTATAATATATTTTGAAGGGATTGTCATTGAGGTGAAAATTGAGTATTGGGTTTACAGATACATTTGAGCTAAATATGTTGGTGTAGGTGAACTCTAAAATAATCTGTAGCAGTATGTTCTGATGAACATAATCTCTAGAAAGAATACTACAGATCTTCAAGCATAAGATAGAACTGTATGTATTGACCTGGAAAGCCATGATAAATATGAGGAAACAAATCTGAAAGAATAAATTCCAAATTGTTAGCAGTGTTTACTAGGAGGAGATTTGGGAGCACTCTGCCTATAGTCTCCAGAAAACCAGCAAACAAGTTCCTGCCAAAAGCTATATAATTTCTCGAAGTTTAATTAGGTTTTAATTAAATATACTTAAATCTTTGTAATCATTTCTCTACCTGAAGAATTACTGTATCACTTCTCAGCCTTTTGGCTAAGATCAAGTGTAGTATCTGTTTTTTCAGTTTAATATCTGATATGTCCTAAATTAAAAATAATAAAAAATAAATAAAGGGGAGATAAGAGAAACCAGAGACTCCATGGCCATGTGAAATAAAGCATAGTACCTATGCCAGAAAAGAGTGTGGTGCAGGCTGGGCATGGTGGCTCATGCCTGTAATCCCAGCACTTTGGGAAGCTGAGGCTGGCGGATCATGAGGTCAGGAGATTGAGACCATCCTGGCCAACATGGTGAAACCCCGTCTGTACTAAAATACAAAAAATTAGCTGGGCGTTGTGGCACGCTCCTGTAGTCCCAGCTACTCGGGAGGCTGAGGTAGGGGAATTGCTTGAACCCGGGAGGCAGAGGTTGCAGTGAGCCAAGATTGGGCCACTGCACTCCAGTCTGGTGACAGAATGGGACTCCATCTCAAAAACAAAACAAAACAAAAACAACAACAGAATGTGGTGCATTATGTTTAAGAATCTGACTCAGACCAGGCACGGTGGCTCATGCCTATAATCCCAGCACTTTGGGAGGCCGAGGCGGGGGGATCACCTGAGCTCAGAAGTTTGAGACCAGCCTGGCCAACGTGGTAAAACTCCGTCTCTATTAAAAATACAGAAGATTAGCCAGTCATGGTGGTACACACCTGTAATCCCAGCTACTCAGGAGGCTGAGACAGGAGAATCATTTCAAGCCAGGAGGTAGAGGTTGCAGCGAGCAGAGATCGTGCCACTTCACTCCAGCCTGGGCAATGAGCAAAACTCTGTCTCAAGAAGAAAGAATCTGACTCGATATGTCCTTATTCATACCTTTCACCAAATTAAATTACAGGTTCATTAGAGATTTCATGTAAAATATGAAACCATAAAGTATTAGAGGAAGACATAGAGAATATTTTTGGGTTTTATTTGTTTTAATAATCTTCAGGAGAGGAAGGCCTTTTGAAGTATGACACAATCCTGGAAGTCCCAAAAGAAAAGTTATATAAATTTGGCTAGGCACAATGACTCACACCTGTAATTCCAGCACTTTGGGAGGCCGAGGCGGGTGGATCACCTGAGGTTAGGAGTTCCACACCAGCCTGGCCAACATGGTGAAACCCTGTCTCTACTAAAAATACAAAAAAATTAGCTGAGCATGATGGTGGGCGCCTGTAATCCCAGCTACTCGGGAGGCTGAGGCAGGAGAATCGCTTGAACCCAGGAGGTGGAGGTTGCAGTGTGCTGAGATCATGCCATTGCACAACAGCCTGGGTGACAAGAGCGAGGGAAACTCTGTCTCAAAGAAAAAAAAAAAAGATATATAAATTTGACTGCAGAAATATATTTTTACATGGAGGAAAAAAAAATCCCCATAAGCAAAGTCAAAAGACAAGTGACACACCAGGGAAAAATATTGGTAACTCATCAAAACTGAAGACTGGTTTTACTGATATAAAAGTGCACCAGAGGCCAGGTGCAGTGGCTCACGCCTGTAATCCCAGCGCTTTGGGAGGCCGAGGCAGGCGGATCACCTGAAGTCGGGAGTTTGAGACCATCCTGGCTAACATGGTGA
Organism: Homo sapiens; assembly: GCF_000001405.40. Lineage (NCBI taxonomy): Eukaryota > Metazoa > Chordata > Mammalia > Primates > Hominidae > Homo > Homo sapiens. Next base: position 231,500,615 of record NC_000002.12, on the reverse strand, counting down.
AACCCCGTCTCTACTAAAAATAGAAAAAATTAGCCAGGCATGGTGGTATGCGCCTGTAATCCCAGCTACTCAGGAGGCTGAGGCAGAAGAATCGCTTGATCCCGGGAGGCAGAGGTTGTAGTGAGCCGAGATCGCGCCACTGCACTCCAGCCTGGGCGACAAAGCAAGACTGCCTCTCAAAAAAAAGTGCACCAGGCCAGGCATGGTGGCTCACGCCTGTAATCCCAGCACTTTGGGAGGCTGAGGCAGGTGGATCACCTGAGGTCAGGAGTTCGAGACCAGCCTGGTCAACATGGTAAAACCCTGTCTCTACTAAAAATACAAAAAATTAGCCAGGCATGGTGGCAGGCACCTGTAGTCCCAGCTACTTGGGAGGCTGAGGCACGAGAATCACTTGAACCCGGGAGGCGGAGGTTAGTGAGCCGAGATTGCACCATTGCACTCCAACCTGAGCAACAAGAGTGAAACTCCATCTTAAAAAATAATAATAAATAAAAATAAAGCATGTCCCCACGATGAAACCTTCTGAAGGCCAGGTGTGGTGGCTCACGCCTGTAATCCAAGCACTTTGGGAGGCCAAGGTGGGCAGATCACCTAAGGTCAGGAGTTCCAGACCAGCCTGGCCAGCATGGTGAAACCTGTCTCTACTAAAAACAGAAAAAATTAGCCAGGCGTGGTGGCGGGCACCTGTAATCCCAGCTACTCGGGAAGCTGAGGCAGGAGAATCGCTTGAACCTGGGAGGCGGAGGTTGCAGTGAGCCGAGATCGCGCCATTGCACTCCAGCCTGGGCAACAGAGCAAGACTCCGTCTCAAAAATAAATAAATAAATAAAATAAAAGTGCACCTAACAAATGAGTAAGAAAAATACCAACAATTTAGGGGAAATACAGGCAGGCTACAGACAGACAGGAACGGAGTTTTAAGCATAGGAAAAGATACTCATCCTCACTCATAGTAAAACAATTTAAAATAAAATCTACACTGAGATACAACTTTTTACCTATCAAGTAGTCACAGATCGAAAGGTTTGTTAGCACAGTGGAGAAGAGAGTAAAGAAACTGGCATGCTCATAGTTTGTTATTGGAAGTGAAATTGGAGAAATCTCTATGGAGATTAGGTACTTAGCCATAGCTACCAAAGTTACGGTTGCAGTTACCATTTTATCTTGCAGTTCCACTCCTAAGAATTTATCCTACAGATAGTCTCAGACAAGTGTGAAATAATGTATTGCAAAGTTGTTTGATGCAAAATTAGAATTAACCTGAATATCAAGCAACAGGTGGTTAAAATTGTCTGGCAGATCCATAAGATATTTTTCTATATAGCTGTAAAAAGGACTGAAATCGCATTTTGTGTACTGAAGGGAAATAATCTCCAGTATACATTATTAAGTGAAAAAAGACAAAGTGTATATTAAGTGAAAAAAGACAGTGTGTACAGTATTCTGCCTTTTATGTAAAAACATAATGGAGAACACACTGTACACAAAAAATAACATGGATCAAAGACCTAAATGTAAGAGCTAAAACATAAAATCCTTAGAAGAAAACACACTTTGTGCACGACGATTAAAGAAAATTGAGAAGTTGGGCTTAATCAAAATAAAAAATGTTTGTGTTTCAAAGGCCATATTTAAAAAGTCAAAAGAAAATCTGTAGACTGGGCCGGGCGTGGTGGCTCACGCCTGTAATCCCAGCACTTTGGGAGGCCGAGGCGGGCGGATCACGAGGTCAGGAGATCGAGACCATCATGGCTAAGATGGTGAAACCCCGTCTCTACTAAAAATACAAAAAAAGTTAGCCGGGCAAGGTGGTGGGCGCCTGTAGTCCCAGCTACTCGGAAGGCTGAGGCAGGAGAATGGCGTGAACCTGGGAGGCGGAGCTTGCAGTGAGCCGAGATAGTGCCACTGCACTCCAGCCTGGGCGATAGAGCGAGACTCCTCAAAAAAAAAAAAAAAAGAAAAAGAAAATCTATAGACTTGCCGGGCACAGTGGCTCACGCCTGTAATCCCAGCACTTTGGGAGGCCAAAGTGGGTGGATCACCCGAGGTCAGGAGTTAGAGACCAGCCTGGCCAACATGGCAAAACCCCGTCTCTACTAAAAATACAAAATTAGCCAGGCGCGGCGGTGAGCGCCTGTAATCCCAGCTACTTGGGAGACTGAGGCAGGAGAATCGCTTGAACCTGGGAGGTGGAGATTGCAGTGAGCCGAGATTGTGCCATTGCACTCCAGCCTGGGCAACAAGTGAAACTCCGTCTCAAAAAAAAAGAAAAAAAAAAATCTATAGACTGGAAGAAAATATTTGCAAATCATATATCTGATAAGGGACTTGTGTCCAGATATATAAAGAACTCATATTACAATTCAACAATAAAAAGGCAACCCAATTAAAAAATGGGCAAAGGATTTGAATGGACGTTTCTCCAAACGAGGCATATGAATGGCTGATAAGCATGCAAAAAGATGCTCAACATTAGTTGTTAGGGAAATGCAAATCAAAACCATGATGTGATACACTTCACATTCATTAGAATGGCTAGAATAAAGAAGGCAAACCGTAACAAATGTTGACAAGGATGTGGAAAAGGTGGAGCCCTCATATGTTGCTGGTGGGAATGTAAAATAATGCAGTTGCTTTGGAGAAGTTTGATAGTTTCTCAAAATGTTAAACATAGAATTGCCATATGGTCTAGAAATTCTCTTAAGTATCTACCTCAAAGAAAAGAAAACATATGTTCACACTCTCCTGCAAATGTTCATGTCAGCATTATTTAATAGTCAAAAAGTAGAAATGACCCAAAATGTCTGTCAGTTGATGGATTGATAAAGTATGGTATGTCATTCTGTATATGACATGTCCAGTATAGCCAAATCTATATAAACAGAAACTAGAGCAGTAGTTGCTTGTGGCTTGGAGTGAGAATGGGTTGGGAGGAATGAGGAGTGACTGCCGATGGGTACTTTCGGGGACAATACAAATGTTCCAAAGTTAGTTTACAATGATGATTGTACAGTTGTGTAAACGTATTAGAAACCGTTGTAAAGTTTAAATGGGTGGATTTTATGATATGTAAATTATATCTCAAGCTTTTTAAGAAAAATTGTGTGTGCATATACATTTGCTTTTATATACACAGAATGTTCCCTCTGTGGTTAGAAATTGGGTGGCCTGGAATAGGAATATAAGGAAGACTACACCATATCCTTTTTTTTTTTCCTTTTTCTACATGTTCTAAACCATATCCTTTTCTACTTTTTGGATTTTGAATCTTGTATATTACTGATTCAGAAGACAAATAACTGTCTGTGGCCCTAAATGCTGACTGTTCTTCTCTCCCTCACCTCATCCCCACAATTGCAGGATTGCATATATTGAATTCAAGTCACAAGCTGAGACAGAGAGAGCCTTGGAAGAAAAGCAGGGAACAGAGATTGATGGGCTTGCCGTAGTTCTCGACCATATTGGAGAGAAAAGCCAGGGCCAAGAAACTAGAGATAGAAAGAACAGCACCTGGAGAGGTGAGGGGTCCCAGAGCTCTGAGGATTGAGATTTACCAGGGTTGTCACAGGTGGATCCCAAGGGATCCTCTGGTATGAGGTTAGGGGCACTCGGCACTTTATTTTTTTATTATTATTTTGAGACAGGGTCTCACTCCCTTCGCCCAGGCAGGAGCGCAGTGGCACAATCATGGCTCGCGGCAGTCTCGATTTCCTGGGCTCAGGTGATCCTCCTACCTCAGCCTCCCGAGTAGCCAGACTACAGATGGGAAGGCCACTCAGCACTTTATTTTTTATTTTATTTTATTTTATTTTTATTTATTTATTTTTTTAGAGGGAGTCTCTCTCTGTCGCCCAGGCTGGAGTGCAGTGGCACAGTCTCGGCTCACTGCAACCTCTGCCTCCCAGGTTCAAGCGATTCTCCTGCCTCAGCTTCCCGAGTAGCTGGGATTACAGGTGCCCGCCACCACACCTGGCCGAGATCACACCACTGCACTCCAGCCTGGGTAACAGAGCCAGACCTCTTGTCTCAAAACAAAAAAAAGGAAACCCATCAGTTTATTTTTTCTTTTTTGGGCACCCTCTAGGATTTTGTTTGAACAAGCTCTTATATCTGTGGTTTCAGAATTAGATATTTAATTCTCTTCAGATATTAATTTTCTTCAAGTAGTGTTTTTGCAGGTTTAAACAAGTGACCCCAAACCAGTGTCCCTAATTTGCCTTATCTGATTGGCAAACATGTTGGCTTATTCTGTAAGAGACCATTGAATTTGTTATGAGTATTTCAAAAAATTTCACATAAACCCCTGGATTTCCAGCTTCTTTTGATACAACAGAAAATCTGCCCAGGTGCAGTGGTTCACACTTGTAATCCCAGCACTTTGGGAGGCTGAGGTGGGTGGATCGCTTGAGCCCTGGAGTTCAAGACCAGCGGGGCAACATGGAGAGACCCCATCTGTAAAAAAAAAAAAAAAAAAAAAAAAATTAGCTGGGCGTGGTGTTGCATACCTGTAGTCCTAGCTAACTCAGGAGACTGAGGTAGGAGGATTGCCTGAGCCTGGGAGGTCGAGGCTACAGTGAGCCATGATGGTGCCACTGCACTCCAGCCGAGGGGACAGAGTGAGACCCTGTCTGTCTCAAAGAAAAAGGAAAGAAAATGCAGCCATGGTGGCACCGTGGCTGCATTCCCACATGGCAGCAGTTGGCTGGCGATGAGAAGTAGCTGCTTCCTTTTAGGTGTGGCCTTTGCTCTTGTTTGCTGGTAACCCCCACAGTTCCTGAGGGTCTCCCCACCAACAGCGGTGGGAACAGCACAACACTTGCACTTTTAAACATAGAGTTAGTACTTTTTTCTTAGAAAATAGCCCTTTTTTTTATAGTAAAGATGACATGGCTGGGCATGGTGGCTCATGCCTGTAATCCCAACACTGGGAGGCTGAGGAGGGCAGATGATGAGGTCAGGAGTTCGAAACCAGCCTGGCCGGCATGGTGAAACCCCGTCTCTAACAAAAATTAGCCGGGTATGATGGCACATACCTGTAATCCCAGCTACTCAGGAGGCTGAGGCAGGAGAATTCCTTGAACTCGGGAGGTGGAGGTTGCAGTGAGCCAAGATCGCACCACTGCACTCCAGCCCGGGCGACAGAGCGAAACTCTGTCTTGGGGAAAAAAAAAAAAAAGGATGACATTTTAATATTTCTTATGCATTTGTCTCTTCCACAAGTGGAAAGACAAAGTATAGAACAAGACATCCACACTTTTCAAGAAAAATGGGAGAGAGCCTATTTTTTTTTGTGGAAGTAAAGAATGTTCCTACATGTTGAATATGCAAAGTCTGTCTGTGTTGAAAGAGCATACCCTAAGACACTATTATGAAACAAACCATAGCAAGAACCACGATGGATATACAGAAAAGATGCGTGACAAAAAACTTAACAAACTGAAAAAAAGACTGAGATTTCAACATGACTTGCTTTTGAATGTGAATAAAATAGGTGATGCTGCTATGGAGTGTAGTTATATATTAAGTGAGAAAATTGCCCGGGCATCAAAACCTTTTACAGATGGGGAGTTTATAAAAGAATGCTTGTTGAATGCAGCAGAAATTATGTGCCCTGAACAGAGACAAGCATTTGCAAATATAAGACTAACTGGTAACATTATTGCTCAGCATGTTGATGATATGGCTGAAAACTTACAGGACAGGTTTCAAGAAAAAGTGAAATCATTTGTGGCTTTCTCTATCGCAGCTCATGGGAACACTGATATAAATAATGCTCCCCAGTTGGCTGTGTTCATTCGTGGTGTTGATGAAACTTTTGATGTGACCGAAGAACTTTTAGATATGGTACCCATAACAGGCACAGCATCAGGAAATGACATATTTTTATGTGTTGAGAAAAGTCTTAAAAAATTTAATGTAGACTGGTCAAAATTAGTAAGTGTTAGCACAGATGGTAATTCTGCAATGGTTGGTGTTAAACAACTTGTTACAAAACTAAATCTAAGGTGGCAGGGCTTTGCAAAGGCACAGAACTTAAGTGTGTGCATGGCCTCATTCTCCAGGAATCACTTTGTGCTAAAAAGTTAAAAATGGATCACGTCATGGACATAGTAATTTACAGCATAACCTGGATACATTCCCATGGCTCAAACCACAGAAAGTTCAACACTTTGTTCAGTGAGTTAGATGCACAATATGGAAGCCTGTTCTGTGACATGGAAGTGAAGTGGCTGAGTCGTGGTATGGTGCTAAAGTAGTTTTTTGAACTGTTGGAAGAAATTGACTTTTTCATGTCCTCTAAAGGAAAATCTGTGCCTCAGCTCACTAGCAAAAATTGGGTCAAAGACTTAGCCTTTTTGATTAACATTACAACACATCTAAATACATTGGATATTTCTCTGCAAAGACATTCACAAGTGGTTACACAAATGTATGATTCAATTCACTAATTCCTAGCAAAATTGTGTCTTTGGGAAACTCATTTGACAAGGAACAATCTGGCCCACTTCCCTACACTGAAATTAGTTTCTGAAAATGAAAGCGATGGCCTGAACTATATTCCAAAAATTAAAGAATTGAAGACTGAATTCCAAAAAAGATTATCTGATTGCAAACTTTATGAAAATGAACTGATATTGTTCAGTTCACCTTTCTTGATGAATATTAATCATGTGAATGCAGAGCTGCAAATGGAAGTTATTGAATTGCAGTGCAACACTATACTGAAAACTAAATATGATGATGTGCGAATCCCAGAATTCTACAAATTCCTAGGTAGTGGTTACCCTAAATATAAAAAACATTGTGCAAAGATTCTGTGCATGTTTGGAAATACCTATGTTTATGAGCAGCTATTTTCTCTTATGAAACTAAGTAAAACTAAATATTGCTCCCAGTTAAAGGAAAGGTGAATTCTCTGCTGCACGTTGCTATGCAAGATTCACAACCTGATGCTGATTGATATCTTGGGCCCTAAGAAAGGAATGTTAGATTTCGGATTTCAAATCTGAGAAGTAATAAATTACGAAACTTGGGATAATTATTTCTATTTTCAAATTATATTTTTTCAATATGAAGTTTAGAGTACAATCTCTGGCATTATATATGTTTGTTAAATCTTATACCATATAAAATAAAGTTGGATTATACTTTTGGTGGTTTTTTACACCTCACCTTTCTGGCCTTTTTTCAAGTTTATAAACCTCTGCCCTAAAAGAAGCCACATTTTTCTTAAAGGCACTTGTGAGCCTGGGATGTGAACAAAGGAGTCAGGTGGATGAACTGAATGTTTGGACACCTTGTGCGACCCTATCCCTAAGCACGACAGACCTGCCACAGTCATCTTGGGGTTCAGGCCAGGGTAACTAACCTCCTTCCCTGTACAGGCTGGGTGTCAGAGCCATTGGACTTTTTTGTGGTGCTTCCATTTGGATTTACACACTTCTTTCGAAGTTCCAACATTGTTGGTCAGCTTACAGTTAGTGTGGCTGGCCCAGAAACATTCTGCCTCTTACAGGCAGGGATGCTTGTTCCTTTGGCATTGGGGCACCCAGGGGAGTGCACAATGGGGTGTCGATGTGTGAAAGAGCAGATGAGCATTTTTCCAGGGAGAAGGCCTGTAGCTGCCAGCAGAGTCTTAGGTCTGTGACTCAAACAGTGTTTTTCCACTGACATAGCGAGATGTCTACTCACTACTGTAGAAGCCATATCTTAAAAAATTAGTCTAGCCAGGCGTGGTGGCTCACACCTGTAATCCCAGCACTTTGGGAGGCCGAGACAGGCAGATCACCTGAGGTCAGGAGTTTGAGACCAGCCTGGCCAACATGGTGAAATCCGGTCTCTACTAAAAATACGAAAATCAGCTGGGCGTGGTGGCAGGCACCTGTAGTCCCAGCTACTCAGGAGGCTGAGGCAGGAGAATCTCTTGAACCCAGGGGGCAGAAGTTGCAGTGAGCTGAGATCACACCATTGCACTCCAGCCTGGGTGACAAGAGCAAAACTCTGTCTCAAAAAAAAATTAATTATAAAAGTAATATATACTTATTGTAGAATATTTGGATATTATAAAGAAATTTGGGCCAGGCACGGTGGCTCACACCTGTAATCCCAGCACTTTGGGAGGCCGAGGCGGGTGGATCATGAGGTCAAGAGATCGTGACCATCCTGGCTAACACAGTGAAACCCCGTCTCTACTAAAAATACAAAAAATTAGCTGGGCGTGGTGGCAGGCGCCTGTACTCCCCGCTACTTGGGAGACTGAGGCAGGAGAATCGCTTGAACCCGGGAGGTGGAGGTTGCAATGAGTGGAGATTGCGCCACTGCACTCCAGCCTGGTGACAGAGCAAGACTCTGTCTCAAAAAAAAAAAAAAAAGAAAAATTTTGGGAAAATACTTGTAATCTCAGCAGAGGTAAGTCCTGTAAATATTTGGGCATGCTTTCCTTCAATTTTCTTTCTTTTTTTTTTTTTTTGAGATGGACTTTTGCTCTTGTTGCCAGGCTAGAGTGCAATGGCACGATCTTGGTTCACCACAACCTCCGCCTCCTGGGTTCAAGCGATTCTCCTGTGTCAGCCTCCCGAGTAGCTGGGAGTACAGGCACCTGCCACCACGCCTGGATAATTTTGTATTTTTAATAGAGACAGGGTTTCTCCATGTTGGCTAGGCTGGTCTCGAACTCCTGACCTCAGGTAATCCGCCTGCCTCGGCCACTCAAAGTGCTGGGATTACAGGCGTGAGCCACCATGCCTGGCCTTTCAGTTTTCATTGTGCGATTTTATGTGGTTGAACACATTATGGATGGACCATAGTGTATCCTGCTCTCTGCCCTCCCTCCCCCACTCAACAGTAAGCCCTAAACAGCTCTCAGTCTTAAGGCTCAGGTTGTGTTTATTTGATTCCTCAGGAGCGCACTGATGGGCTTTGCTAGCTGGTGAGTTCTCTCAGCAACATGTGAGCATGGCTGAGTTGATTTCTCAATGTAGGGTCCCTCTTCCTTTCTGCCAGGCTCATAGAAGGCTGGAAAAAAACCCTGCCTATTCCAGGAAGGAAAGGCAGATCTCACCTCTGGAGATCCTCAGGACAGCCTCAGTGCAGAGGTCTTGGGACTGCTAATGAGTGTGAAGCTGAGCTCCAACAGCCACAGCAGAGCAAAGAGATTAAGACGGAGTGGCTTTAGGGCAGGGTGGTGAGGTCTTGGGGCTCTGGTAGCCTCTGAGAAAGCCAACTTAGACGGCAAACCCAGATTCAGATTCCCTTCTTTAATAAGAGAGACTTGACTATAAATGTGGGTGACAGTGCGGTGGTGAGGACCAAGTGGGCGCTCACAGCAGGCCTCTGGAGGATGAGTGAGATGGCAGGGCAGGGCCAGGCTCTTCTGCAGAGGAAACTTGGGGACCATTTCGGAAAGGATGAGTGACTAAAGGTACAGAGTGACTTTGAGGATGACAGTGCAGCCGATGACAAGGCAGGGCAGTGGGAAGAGGGCCCAGGCATGGAGATCAATGTTGGGGTTAAGGATGGGGAGACTGGCTAGGCAAGGGGCCTCTGAACGTCAGGTCATTATGGTTGAGCCTTTTGGCTCTGGGTGAGCGAGGCACAGGCCCAAGCTCTGCTTTCAGCTGCGTTCCCCTGTAGGAGTGGAAGCAGTCAGTCTCACAGCTGCACTCTTACGCGTCTGACTCCTGGCTCCTCGGAGGCTCATGCCATCTGGCCTTACCCTTCCCCACTCAGCTGTGGTCATCTAGAACCCTATCTGGCTTTTTTGTTGTTGTTTTTTGTTTTTGTTTTTGTTTTTAGACAGGATCTCACTCTTGCCCAGGCTGGAGTTCAATGGTGCAGTCACAGCTCACTGCAGCCTCGACCTTACAGGTTCAAGCTGTCTTCCCACCTCAGCCTCCCAAGGAGCTGGAACCACAAGTATGTGCCTCCATAGCTAGTTTTTTAAAATTTTTGTAGAAATGGGGTCTTGCTATGTTGCCAGGCTGGTCTCGAACTCCTGGGCTCAAGTGATCCTCCTGCCTTGGCCTCACAAAGCGATAGGATTACAGGCATGAGCCACTGCACCTGGCTCCCTATCTGTGGGCAGCAAGCCACACAGGTGCTGAGGCAAGAGACCGAGGGCATGAGCTGTTGCAGTATTACAAAATATATAAAATAAGAATAGTTATACTAGCTATAGATCATAGATATGATTATATATGAATATCATTAATCATTAGTTTGTAGCAATGACTCTTTATTCCAATATTATAATAATCCTTGCTCTGCAATCATAACCTAGGAAAAACCAGGCCTTACAGAGATAGGAGCTGAGGGGACATAGTGAGAAGTGACCAAAAGACAAGAGTGCGAGCCTTCTGTTATGCCCGGACAGGGCCACCAGAGGGCTCCTTGGTCTAGCGGTAACGCCAGTGTCTGGGAAGACGCCGGATGCCAAGTGGACCGTGGTCTAGTGGTAGCATCAGTGTCAAGGAAAAACACCCGCTACTTAGCCGACTGGGAAAGTGTGGGGGGGGGGTGGTCTCCCGTTCCCCGGGGGAGTTTAGAGAAGACTCTACTCCACCTCTTCAGGCCCGCCTACAGTTATCCGGAGGCCTAACCGTCTGTCTCCCTGTGATGCTGTGCTTCAGTGGTCACGCTCCTAGTCCGCCTTCATGTTCCATCCTGTACACCTGACTGCCTTTTAGATAGCAGTAGCAAATTAGTGAAAGTACTAAAAGTCTCTGATATGCAGAAATAATGGTGTAAGCTGTCTCTTTCCTCTCTCTCTCTGCCTTGGCTGCCAGGCAGGGAAGGGCCCCCTGTCCAGTGGACACGTGACCCATATGACCTTACCTATCATTGGAGATGGCTCACACTCCTTACCCTGCCCCTTTGTCTTGTATCCAATAAATGTCAGTGCAGCCTGGCATTCGGGGCCACCACTGGTCTCCGTGTCTTGGTGGTAGTGGTCCCCCGGGCCCACCTGTCTTTTATCTCTTTTTCTAGTGTCTTTATTTCTACAATTTCTCATCTCCGCACATGGGGAGAAAAACCCACCGACCCTGTGGGGCTGGTCCCTACACCTATCTGGTATTTGTTAAAGAGCCTAGACCCCTGGCTCATGGGCTTCTTTCCATCCCTACTTCTGGGACCTCAGCCTCCCAGCTGGTCCTGGATATTCAGGTCCCAGGTGTTTACCTGCCTTAAGAAGTCCATAGGTGGGGCCTAGCGTGGTAGCTCATGCCTATAATCCCAGCACTTTGGGAGGCCAAGGCGGGTGGATTACCTGAGGTCAGGAGTTCGAGACCAGCCTGGCCAACATGCAGAAACCCCATCTTTACTAAAAACACAAAATTAGCCGGGCATGGTGGCGCATGCCTGCAATCCCAGCTACTCGGGAGGCTGAGGTAAGAGAATCACTTGAATCTGGGAGGTGGAGGTTGTGGTGAGCTGAGATCGTGCCATTGCACTCCAGCCTGGGCAACAAGAGCGAAACTCTCTCAAGAAAAAAAAAAGTCTGTAAGCGTTCCTTCACCCGTGAAAATGTGAATGGGACTCCTCACTCTCAGTTGCTTGCACTATTCTTAGGTTCTTTTCCCCTCAATAACATCTCCAGCTCTCTGATTTCTCTTTCTCCCAAGTCTGTCAGTCCCCTTCAAAATCTCCTTTCGGATGCATCCTGTCCCACATGGACCAACTTACCACTCTTGCCAATATCCCTAAATCTCTGGTCTTCCCAGCCCCTCTGTCACCTGCTCCATAGAAATTTCTATCCTGAGTCAATTAATACATGTCCCATGCTCCTCCCCTATTTTGGGGTGCTAGCAGAAATCCTACCTCGGGCTGGTTGGTTTCATTCTAAGCTTGTGGCTCCAGTCTCATCTGGGCCAGCAGTGCTCCCCTACAAGCTTTTATTTCCTTTGTCCTCCTGTTCTTCCCTGGAGTCAGAGCCACCATCTCATTTTTATTAGGTAACTTCATCTCCTGATAAAAGCCATTTGAGAGAAATCTCCCCACCACCTTCCTGCTCCCGCATACTCACCCTACATGCTTGCCTGCTCTGACGTCTCCAGCATCCTACCTCCTGTCCTCAGTGGCCTTCCTCCCAGCCGTGGCAGCTCCCTCTCCCTACGCTCCACTCTCCATCCCCTGCCTTCAAGGGCTCAAGGACTTCCCTCTATCCGCTGTCTGCTTTCTCTCTGTCTTTTTAGAAATTTTGTTTCTACTGGCTTTTGTAACAATATGCCCACATCTCTGGCACACTCCCTTTACATGTCTATTTTAAAAAATGTATAAAATTGACACTACTCAAAATTCAATAGGTACAAGTGGAAGTCTCCCACTCATCCTCTAGCTACCCAGCTCCTTTGTATAGAAGGAGCCAATATTATTGGCTTCTTCTTGTCTTCCACTGTTCAAGACAAGGAATTATGTATTCTTTTCCTACCGATTTTGTTTTGTTTTGTTTTGAGACAGAGTCTTGCTCTGTCACCCAGGTTGGAGTGCAGTGGTGCAATCTCCGCTTGCTGCAACCTCCGCCTCCCGGGTTCAAGCAAGTGTCCTCCCTCAGCCTCCCAAGTAGCTGGGGCTACAGGTGCGTGCCACCACGCCCGGCTAATTTTTTGTATTTTTAGTAGAGACGGGGTTTCACCATGTTAGCCAGGATGGTCTCGATCTCCTGACCTCGTGATCCGCCTGGCCCAGCCTCCCAAAATGCTGGGATTACAGGCGTGAGCCACCACGCCTGGCTTCCTACCGATTTTTGACACATAGCAACAAGCTATAACACATTTTCCTATACCTTGCCTTTTTGTCGTTGAAAGTATTTTGGAGATCATTTCATATCTGTAATGAACAGCTGCTCCCTTTGTTTTTATAGCTGTAGTGCTCCATTGCATGGAGGTACAAGAATGTCCTTAACCAGTTTATTAGGTTAACTCTACCTGCTATAGTGGATGGACCCCAGTTCTTAGCAGTGCAACACAGTTAAGTGTTTGTTTCTCACTCATGCTACATTCAGAGTGGGGTATTCCTGGGCAGGTGGCCTTCTGTGTGGTCATCTGGGGACCCAGGCTTCCTCTGTTTTGTTCCTCTGTCCTGTTCTGGGTCATTGGAAAGATCTTCATTCAGCAAGTAGATAGGAGAGAACAAGGAGGATCCAGTGGGAGCACTTGGTGCAGGCCAGGCCTAGATATGTTTTCACCACTCATGGTCCTGTGCCACACCTCTAGTCCCAAGGAGGCTGGGCAGGTGCTGCAGCTACACATCAGGAAGAAGAGGGAATGGGTTGGCTGAGCAGCTAGCCTGTCTCTACTGCCCTTGGCTCCTGTTGAGGCTGCCATGTTCTCAAGAGAATCCAGAACCAAGCCTCTCCCTAAGCGTGTGCCCCCTTCCAATCCTGCCCTCTCCTTCTGTTCACAGCCAAAGGTCTTGGAATAGTCCCCCAATTCCCTGACTGCTGTTCTTCATCTACAACTCCTCTGTGCACCTGTGACACCTGTTACGTCTCCTCAGCCCCCCATCAAAACTCTTTTCTCAAGGACACCAGGGACATCTGCAGCAAAGGCTTCTAGAAAGATGGTTTTTAGATCTGATCTTAATCTCGGCAACATCTGACACCGCCACCCTTTCCTCGCCCTTGAAGTCTCCTTCTTCTCATTTCCCTCCTCTCTGAAGGCTTCGCAGGCTGTCCCCTCCCTCTACTGTCCACTCCATGCTGATGTTCCTCTGATGACTTTCCCCACAGCTTGTCAGAGGCTTTGCCTTTTGGCTCCACAAGATGTTGAAAGCTCAGCTTGTACTTTCCTTGCCATAGCCCTGGAAATATTCGTTTCTTCCAGAGTCTTGGTGCCTTTTATTGAGAACAGCATTCAAAACCAAGATCTGGCCAGGCACAGTGGCTCATGCCTGTAATCCCAGTACTTTGATAGGCCGAGGCAGGTGTATCACCTGAGGTCAGGAGTTTGAGACCAGCCTGGCCAACATGGCGAAACCCTGTCTCTACTAAAAATACAAAAATTAGCTGGGCGTGGTGGTGGGCACCTGTAATCCCAGCTACTCAGGAGCCTGAGTCAAGAGAATTGTTTGAACCCAGGGGGTGGAGGTTGCAGTGAGCCGAGATTGGGCCACTTCACTCCAGCCTGGGTGAAAGAGCGAAATTCCATCTCAAACAAAACCAAACCAAACCAAACAACAACAACAACAAAAAAAACAAGATCTGGGTGTTGGGTGAGTTCAGTGGTATTGGGTGTTAGTACTTTTAGGCCCTTCCAGTGGATAGAGTTAGGAAATACATGTCCACACATGTGCATCTCTAAAGCTCTTTCTATATCTGTATGTATTTTAAAAACCAGGAGTTCACAGTGATGTCTCCAATGCCAGTCCAACACCATAATGTTCATTCTAGCCTACTCTTCTTATTAATTTTTTAGAGACATGGTCTCACTATGTTGTTCAGGCTGGACTGCAGTGGTGCGATCATAGCTCACTGTGGCCTTGAATTCCTGGGCTCAAGTGATCCTCTGCCTCAGCCTCCCAAGTAGCTGGGACTACAGGTGTGCACCACCACACCTGGCTAAATTTTTTATGTTTTATCTTTTTTGTAGCGATAGGGGTCTTGCTATGTTGCCCTAGCTGGTCTTGGACTCCTGACCTCAAGCAGTTCTTCTGCCACAGCTTCTCAAAGGGCTGGGATTACAGGCATGAGCCACTGCATCCATCCCCTTTCCTTATTTTTAGCCATTTTCCTGATGGTGAGAAATCTGGCTCTTGCTAGCTGCAGTATATATACTTGCTCAGTGCCAGAATCCACATCAAGTAGTTCATGGATTTCTAACTCACACCTCTGTGAAAAAGAAAGATGTGAGTTAGATGTGAGATGTGTGCTCCTCTACCAACGGCAAAATATTGTGCAGTTTTTCTCCCCTTTAGTCATAGAGCATATAGTCAAAACACTGTTTCTAAAGCTACATAGGTCACTGCTCCCCTAGGATGCCCGAGTGCACGTTATTCATTTGTAAAACAGCAAGTTCACTTGTTTCTGTTCGTATTCCATTTTGGGCCATCTCTACCACCCTTCTCCAATTCCTTGTTGATTTAAATTTTTTTTTCTATGAAACACAAATAGTTCTATAAGTCAGAATTATACAAAGATGTACCGTTGACTCTTGAACAATGCAGGAGTTAGAGGTGCCAACCCCCTGTGTAGTTGAAAATCCACATATAACTTTTGATTCCCCAAAAACATAAGTACTGATAGGCTGCTGTTGACTGGGAACCTTACCAATAACAGGAACAGTTGATTAACACATATTTTGTATGTTATATGTATTACATACTGTATCTTACAATACAGAAAATGTTATTAAGAAAGGCCGGGCACAGTGGCTCATGCCTGTAATCCCAACACTTTGCGAGGCTGAGGTGGGCAGATCACCTGAGGTCAGGAGTTCAAGACCAGCCTGGGCAACATGGCGAAACCCTGTTTCTACTAACAATACAAAGAAAAAAAAAATTAGCCAGCCATGGTGGTGGGTGCCTGTAGTCCCAGCTACTCAGGAGTCTGAGGCAGAGAGAATTGCTTGAACCCAGGAGGTGGAAGTTGCAGTGAGCCAAGATCATGCCACTGCACTCCAGCCTGGGCAACAGAGCAGACTCCATCTCAAAAAAAAAAAAAGAAAATCATAAGAAAAAATTTACTATTCATTACGTGTAAGTGAATTATTATAAAGGTTTTCATCCTCATCTTCACATTGAGTAGGCTGAGGAAGAGGAGGAGGAGGGGTTGATCATGCTGCCTCAGGGGTGGTCAAGGCACAGACATGGACCCACAGTTCAAACCTGTGTTGTTCAAGGGTGAGTTGGACTCAGAGAAGTGTTACCTCTCCTGTCCCTTCTCCCCTCTCCCACCTTTCACAAGAGGGAATCCCAAGTAGCTGGGATTACAGGTGCGTGCCACCATGCCCGGATAATTTTTTTTTTTTTTTTTTGTATTTTTAGTAGAGATGAGGTTTCGCCATGTTGGCCAGGCTGGTCTGGAACTCCTGACCTCAGGTGATCCACCCGCCTCGGCCTCCCAAAGTGCTGGGATTACAGGCGTAAGCCACCGCGCCTAGCCATGATTCTGTTATTTCTAAGGGCAGGGGAAATCGTAAACATTTTGATAATCAATTTTAATACAAGGATAGAGGCTATAAAATCTAGGCAGAAAAGCATCCCTCTCTTACGGAAGGTCTTTCATATGGTCTGTATATCAAGAATCCCCACAGATACCCTGCAAAGTCGATCCTATTCTTCCATTTTACAGATGAGGGAAGCCTGAGCCTCAAAGAGGTGAGGTAACTTCCCAGGGTCGCACAGCTGGGAAGTCGCAGAGCAGGCGCAGACCACCTGATTGCTCTTGCCCCACCCCCCACCCCCACGTGCTTTTGAGTCCACACTGCAGCCGCCTCTGCTCCACCACCTTCTGTCACCCACAGCGCCCCCACGCTGGGTCCGCGGGCCCCCACGTCCAGACCGCAGGAAGGGACACTGGGAGGGCGGGAACCTGCGCACCCGCTGAAAAGACACAGCCTGGGAAACCGCACCCCAGAGGCAGCCTCCGCGGCCAGCCCAGGGGCAGAGGGGCTCCGGGTCTCAGCGTCTGCGGGTGGCAGGTGGCGTCAGGTCTGCACGACGGATGCTGGGAGGCCTGCAGACGCCCCGAGGAGCCACGGCTTCCTGAGCACACTCGAGAGGCCCGCGCCCCGGGCAAACTGCATGGACTGTGCTCTGCAGGCGCCGCGGCCTTTCCCCGTTCGCTCTCGAGGCCCCTGCGGCCCCCGTCCTACCCTGCCCCAGCTCCTCCAGCAAAGGTCCCCGAACCCGAGGCTTCTGTGCCGCCTTGACAATGGCAGCCCCCTCCTCTGCCACCGCGGGGAAGTCCCGGAACTCCTAGACTTTGTTCTCTTCTTTTCCCGCCGGGGCTGCTAGGGAAGCACTCTTAGGGCCGGCCTCCAGCCTTGGGTTCCCGCCCGGGCCTCGCCGCGCGCCTTCCGCTCTCCACGGGGCCTGCAGCCCGGGACCTGCTGCCCGCCACCCGCTACCCAGGGCTTCCTGCCGGCCGCCAGCGCCACCTGACCCTCCGACGAGAGCCCAGCACTGCCCAACCCAGGCCTTCTGTAGGGTCCCCTCCTCTCCACGTATGGCCCCATTATCCCCACGTGGTCCCCCTCCTCCCCATGGCTGCCCCATGCCCATGTAGGGTCCCCGTTTTCCTTGCGTGGGTTCTTCGTCCTCCCCATGTGGGGTCCCGGCCCTCTCCAGGCTTCTGGAAGGCCGGTGAGCTGGAGACAAGCATGGTCAGGGAGCCCCGGGAAGGCTGAGCAACGGCAGGAAAGGGACGGGCTCAGCGCATTTCTGGGAAGTAAAGTGGCGGGATCCCGAGGCAGCAGGAGTCCTGGCACCCAGGACCACAGTTTGAGAGGCCTGGCGCAAAATGAAAATGCAGGGCTCCTGCTCAGCAGTAACTCAGACGTCAAGATGGCGACAGCAGAGCTTCCACCCAAGCCCGGAGCCCCGCCAGGTGCAGGCCGCACACCCGCGAACCCGCCCTGCTGCATCTGCGAGTGGGGCGCCCAGGGAGGCGAGGGGCTCTGGGGGCTGCCTGGAGAGGCCTGACCCCTTCCTTTCCCGGAGGCCGCTCCCGAGCTATGCCAAACCCGGGCTGCCGCGGCGCTGCCACCTGCTGGCCACCTCGGGCCCCTGCCGCGTCCCTCGGAGAGAAGGACCTTGTGTGGAGTGGGCAAGCGGCTTGGTGGCCCGGACCTCACCTTCACAGAAGAGAAGCTAGCCGGGGAGGGAGTTCACATCGGCTACAGCACCCCAGTGACGGTGGCAGCACGTTACTGTCGCTCTTGAACTGTCCTGTGCCTTACATCAGTAAGGTAGAGATGATGACCCCCCACTACAGGTAAGGAATTAAGAATTGGAGTTTTCTGGCCGGGTGCGGTGGCTCACGCCAGTAATCCCAGCACTCTGGGAGGCTGAGGAGGGTGGATCACCTGAGGTCAGGAGTTCGAGACCAGCCTGGCTAACATGGTGAAAGCCCGACTCTACTAAAAACAAAACAAAAATTAGCCAGGCGTGATGGCGGGCACCTGTAATCCCAGCTACTCAGGAGGCTGAGGCAGGAGAATTGCTTGAACTCGGGAGGCAGAGGTTGCAGTGAGCCGAGATCTCACTGCACTCCAGCCTGGGTGACAGAGTGAGACTCTGTCTTAAAAAAAAAAAATTGGAGTTTTCTGGCTGCCAGAGGCAACGGAGCGGCCTCCCATGACCCTTCTCTGTTCTCCATTTCTCCCCTGATCATTCTCTGGGTACCCGTCTCCCCCGCCACAAACCCCAGTGCTGACTCCCTGGGCTGGGGTGGGGCAGGTGGCCCAGGATCACACTGACATTACCATAACTACTACCTTGCCTGGGCACAGGGGTGAGGCTGTAATCCAGGGACAGTCTGGGGTACTCCTTTGTGGGAGATGGCTTCTGGGAAAGATGTTTTCTAGCTCCCTCTGGACTCTAAGATGTGTAGAGATGAGATTCATTGCTTGAACCACAGCAAGAGACATTCTGCCACCATGATGAAAGCTGGCCTGAGATGACGCTGACACAGAAGTGGAAAGAAAGACAGGAAGATGGCTGCAGGGTGACACCTGTGAGCTGCTGGATCAAGCCGGGCCTGCAGGGCTGAACTTTGCAGTGAATCCCCTGGACTGTTTAAGTCATGCTGACCAGCCACTTGTGATGAAAGGTGTCATAACTGACACTCTGCCCAAAGCCTCCCAAGTTAGACCCAGGACCGAAGACTTCAGAGGCCACAGTTTATCCCACGGATAATGTGCTGCTTGGAAGATTAATTACTGTCTGAGAAGAACAGCAGGGGAACAGGTGGAGAATAGGGCAGGGACTTGCCTTGGGT
Source organism: Homo sapiens (assembly GCF_000001405.40). Classification (NCBI taxonomy): domain Eukaryota; kingdom Metazoa; phylum Chordata; class Mammalia; order Primates; family Hominidae; genus Homo; species Homo sapiens. The sequence continues at coordinate 231,481,678 of NC_000002.12, read as the reverse complement.
TCAGATGCAGCTCCATACAGAACAGTGACACGGGCAGTTTGTCTTCACCCCTCCCCTACACTGGGGTCCTTTGCCCACTTGCACCTACCTCCCCTAGCTCCAACCTTTCCCCTGCCTCTGTGTCATCCTCTCTCCACCTGAGGGAGGGAACGAGCTGTGTGTTCGTGGCAGCTTCTTCGTGAGACCAGCAGCTCTAAGCTGGGCGTTGAAGAGGTTGGTGAGTGAGCAGGGCGCGGTGGCTCACGCCTGTAATCCCAACACTTTGGGAGGCTGAGGTGGGCGGATCACTTGAGCTCAGGAGCTCACGAGCAGCCTGGCCAACATGGTGAAACTGTCTCTACTAAAAATACAAAAATTAGCCAGGTGTGGTGGCAGGCACCTATAACCCCAGCTACTTGGGAGTCTGAGGCAGAAGAATCACTTGAGCCCAGGAGGTGGAGGTTGCAGTGAGCTAAGATTCTGCCACTGCACTCCAGCCTGGGTGACAGAGGGAGACTCCGTCCCCTCCCCCCACCCATAAAAAAGGCTGGTGAGTGAAACTTGGGCCCCTGCAGGAAAAGCACTGTGGTCCCAGCTGGCTGATGGGTACAGGGACACAGCCCAACCATCAGATGCTGAGCCCCCTGCCCACTTGGAACCCAGCCCAAGAGCTTTTCTTCAGCCCTGGACCCCTGGCGCTGGTGAGCTCTGGTTTCTTCCTGACCTCCACTGGCCACCGGGCTGGAGATCCCCTGTGGGATCCCACCCCAGCCCTGGGGAGGGGCCAGAGGGAAGCTGGAGGCAGAGTGGGCAGCTGCTGAACTCTGAGCTGCCAGAGGTAGTGAACAGGGTTGTCAGACTGTTTCAACTCAAATTCCAACACAGACACAAAAAACCAACAACAATTATAATCCCCAATAAATAAATTTAACATTTCGATCTTTCCCTTTTGTTTTAGAGATAGGGTCTTGCCCTGTTGCCCAGGCTGGAGTGCAGTGGCACAATCACAGCTCACTGCAGCTTTGATCTCCTAGGCTCAAGAGATCTTCCCTGCTCAGCTCCTGAGTAGCTGGGACTATAGGCGTGCACCACCACACCCAGCTAATTTTTTTTAAAAATGTATTTGTAGAGACCAGGTCTTGCTTTGTTGGCCAGGCTGGTCTTGAACTCCTGGGCTCAAGTGATCTGCCCACCTCAGCTCCACAAAGTGATGCTATTACAGGTGTGATCCACTGCACTTGATCCAAAATGTTTAAATTACATAAATCACAAATGCAGGCCTGGCACAATGGCTCACACCTGTAATCCCAAGACTTTGGGAAGCTGAGGCAGGCGGATCACTTGAGGTCAGGAGTTGAAGACCAGCATGATGAAACCACATCTTTACTAAAAACACAAAAGTTAGGCCGGGTGCTATGGCTCATGCCTGTAATCCTAGCACTTTAGGAAGCCGAGGCAGCAGATCACATGAGGTCAGGAGTTCAGGACCAGCCTGGCCAACATAGTGAAACCCCATCTCTACTAAAAATACAAAAATTAGCCAGGTGTGGTGGCACATGCCTGTAGTCCCAGCTACTTGGGAGTCTGAGGTAGGAGAATTGCTTGAACCCAGGAGGTTACAGTGAGACGAGATAGCACTACTGTACTCCAGCCAGAGGGTGACTCTGTCTCCAAAAAAAAAAAAAAACAAACAAAAAAAAAACCAAAGGCAAACCCTAACCCTATTAAGAAGAAAATGAGTCTGTTTCATCTCCCCAGCCTCCTCACTGCCCCATCAATTTCCAGTTACATTTTGTCACACATTATATGGGAAATTTCCCAGTAATCCACATTATAGCCAAGAGTTTCAATTATGTTGCATGACCTCTTGATTTTATTATTATTTTGTGATTTTTTTTTTTTTTTGAGATGGACTCTCTCGCTCTGTCACCCAGGCAGAGTGCAGTGGCGCGATATCTACTCACTGCAGCCTCCCCCTCCCAAAGTGCTGGGATTACAAGCCTGAGCCACCATGCCTGGCCTATTACCTCATCTTTTAAAGCTCACGTCTTACTATCTAACCAAATCTGCTGTTACCATCAGTTTACTTACGCATCTTTTCACGGTGGTGATTGACACAGGAGGTAAAAGGGAATATTGAAGTGGATTTAACAATGTGCAATGGCGGGAGGTGTTTCCTCGGGGGAGCCTGCTGACTCCTGTAACAGGAGGATCTGAAGGGAGCTTTTTCTTTCTAGACTCCCCGTGTCCCCTGGGCAGTGGCCACAGCCACTTCATTTTTCCGAAGCTCACCCTCTAATCCAGCTTCCATGAAGCACCCAGAGGGATCTTCTCAAAATATTATATAAGATCGTGTCACTCTCTGGCCTAAAACTGTTCAGTGGCTTCCACTGGACTTCAGTCCCTCAAACCCCTACCTGCCTCTCCAGCCCCATTTGCCACCTCTTCCTATCCCGTGGATAAGATTGAGTTCCTTAGTCTTCAAGCCCCTCAGTCTCCCTTGAGGCTCCGAAGGTCCCAGTCCTCTCTCTCAGGCTGCCTACAGCGCTTTCCTCTCCCCTACCAGGCTGACAGATCCCACGGCCCTTCCAGGCCCACCTGAAATGGCATTTCCTCTACAAGCCTCTCCCTAATTCTCAAGTTCACTCCAGAAATGCTTGTGGAGCTCCTGCCCTGTGCCAGGCATCGGACTAGGCCCGAACCCTTCGTGGAGAGCATTGTAGATGCTGGTGATGGGGGCGGAGAGGTGGTGGGAGTCAAATACTCACACTCATGTTCTTAGAGGGAGAATTGAGACTTGGCGCTGGCCGTGAGTGTGGCTAGGTGAATCGGAAGATTTAAAAGACAGCCAGTGAGGCTGGAGGGCAGAGAGTCAGGGGGCAGTTGGGAGTGGCTGGAATTACCCTGGTAGTGCAAAGGTGTTGAGACCGGTTAAAATTCTGGAGCTCCTGTGGAGGTAGAATCGACTGGCATTACATGTTTGCCAAGCTACCTTCTCATTCAGCCTCTGCTGTAGGTCTGCAAATAATCCAGTCCTGGTCCAGTGAGAGCTGTATTTCTCCTTGAAGTTAATACATTTTTTATATGAAAATTTTTATTGTAATATAATTCATAACAGTAATAGCCACCCTCTTAAGGGTACAGTTAAGTGGGGCTTTTTGGTATATTCACAAAGTTGCACAACCATCACAACTACCTAGAACGTTTTCATCGCCTCAAAAAGAGACCCCATACCCATTAGCAGCCACTGCCTATTCCCCTCTGCCCCTGGCAACCACTAATCTGCCCTCTGTCTACAGACTTGCTGATTCTGGATATGTCATATAAATGGAATCATAAAATATTTGGTATTTGCATCTGGCTTCTTTCACTTAGCATGTTTTCAAAGTTCATCTACGTTGCAGATCAGTACTTTTTTTTATTGCTAAGTAACATTCCACTGTATGGATATATCACAATTTGTTTATCCATTCATCAGCTGATAGACATTTAGGTTGTTTTGCTTTTTCTTTATTATAAATAATGCTGCAGGGCTGGGTGTGGTGGCTTAACGCCTGTAATCCCAACACTTTGGGAGGCAGAGGTGGGAGGATCGCTGGAGCTCAGGAGTTTTGAGACCAGTGTGGGTAGAATAGTGAGACCTCAATTCTACAAAAAATTAGCGCAGTGTGGTGGCAAGTGCCTGTAGTCCTAGCTACTTAGGAGGCTGAGGTGGGAAGATCGCTTGAGCCCAGAAGGCAGAGATTGCAGTGAGCTGAGATCACGCCACTGCACTCTAGCCTGGGGAACAGAGCAAGACTGTCTCATGAAAAAAAAAAAAAGTTGCTATGAACATTTGTGGACAAGTTTTGTTATGGACATGTGCTTTCATTTCTCTTGGCTATATACCTAGGAGGAGATTTGCTGGATTGTAAGGCTACTCTGTGTTTAACCATTTGAGGAACTGCCACACTGTTTTCCAAAGCAGTTGCACTATTTAACATTGCCATCAGCAGCGTACGAAAGTTCCAATTTCGGCTGGGTGCAGTGGCTCACGCCTGTAATCCCAGCACTTTGGGAGGCCAAGGTGGGTGGATCACGAGGTCAGGAGATCAAGACCATTCTGGCTAACACAGTGAAACCCTGTCTCTATTAAAAATACAAAAAATTAGCCGGGCATGGTGGCACGTGCCTGTAGTGCCAGCTACTCGGGAGGCTGAGGCAGGAGAATCGCTTGAACCCAGGAGGCAGAGGTTGCAGTGAGCCAAGATCGTGCCACTGCACTCCAGCCTGGGTGACAGAGCGAGACTCCATCTCAAAAAAAAAAAAAAAAAAAAAGAAAAAGTTCCAATTTCACTACATCCTCACCAATACCTGCTTTTCACTGACTCTTTTCTTTTTGCAGAGATGGGGTCTCATTATGTTGCCCGAGCTGGTCTCAAACTCTTCAGTTCAAGCGATCCTCCCATCTCAGCCTCCTGAAGTGCTAGGATTACAGATGTGAGCCACTATGCCCAGCCTTAGCTGACTTTTTAATTATAGCCATTATACTGGGTGTGAAGATGTAGCTTTTTTTTTTCTGAGATAGGGGTCTTGCTATGTTGCCCAGGCTAGTCTTGAACTCCTAGCCTCAAGCAATCCTCCTGCCTTAGCCTCCAGAGTAGCTGAGATAGATGTAGTTTATTGTGGTTTTGATTTGTATTTCCCTGATGGCTAATAACGTTGAGCATCTTTTCATGTTCTTATTCACTATTTGTATATATTTGGAAAAATGCCCTTTGCCCATTTTACAATTGGCTTGTTTTTTTGTCATCAGATAGTAGGTCTTTATATTCTGGATATTAACTCTTTATCAGATATATGATTTGCAAGTATTTTCTCCTATTCTGTAGATTATCTTTTCATTTTTTTCTTGGCCATTTATTCTTAAACTTTTATATAAATTTTAGGATCAGCTTGTTGATTTTTAGGATCAGCTTGTTGATTTCCACAAAAATCAATTCCTGAAATTTTGACAGGAATTGTATAGAATCTGTTTATTAATTTGGGGAGTATTGTCATCCTAACAAAATTAAATCTTCTGATCCATGAACATAGGAAGTGTTTCCATTTATTAGGTCTTTATTTCTATGTTGTTTTGCAGTTTTGAATGTTTGTCTTGCACTTCTTTTGTTAACTTTATTTATAAGTATAATGTTTCTTTTTGATGCGGTTGTAAATTGAATTTTTTTTAATTCAATTTTTGATTGTTCATTGCTATTGATAGAAACACCCTTGATTTTTACATATTGATTTTGTATCTTTTGTATCTTGCTGAACTTTTTATTAGCTCTAATAGTTTTTTTTGTGTTTGTGTATCCCGTTGGATTTTCTATACACAAGATCATGTTATCTGCAAATAGAGATAGTTTTATTTCTTTTTTTTTTCTTGCCTAATTGCCCTGGATGGCACCCCCAGTACAATTTGAATAGAAGTGATGAGAGCAGATACCTTTGCATTGTTCCTGATCTTAAAGCTTTCAGTCTTTCACACTGGGTTAGATGTTTTTGTAGATGCCCTTTATCAGATTGAGGAAGTACCCGTCTACTGTTTTGTTCAGTGTTTTGCTTTTTATTAAACATGAAAGGGTGTCAGTTTTTGTGAGCTCTTCCTGCATCTGTTGAGATAATTATATGCCTTTTGTCCTTTATGGTTAACACATTTTTATTTATTTATTTGTTTTGACACGGAGTCTCATTCTGTCACCCAGGCTGGAGTGCAGTGGCACAATCTCAGCTCACTGCAATCTCCGTCTCCCGGGTTCAAGTGAATCTCCTGCCTTAGCCTGCCATGTAGCTGGGACTACAGTTGCAGGCCACCATGCCCGGCTAATTTTTGTATTTTTGATGGAGATGGGGTTTCACCATGTTGACCAGGCTGGTCTCGAACTCCTGGCCTCAAGTGATCCGCCCACCTCGGCCTCCCAAAGTGCTGAGATTACAGGCATGAGCCACCATGCCCAGCCGGTTAACACATTTTTAAAAGCAGTTACCTAGACAGGGTAGAGAAGTAGGAACGAGGAAAATGGAAGACAAGCGCAAGAGAGACTTTTAACTGTCTTTTATTTATTTTATTTTATTTTATTTTGAGATGAGGTCTCTCTATATGCAGTGGCTATTCGCAGGCATGATCTGGCTTGGCTGGAAGTGGTAGCTCACACCTGTAATCCCAACACTTTGGGAGGCCAAGGCAGGCAAATCATGTGAGGTCAGGAGTTCGAGACCAGCCTGACCAATATAGTGAAACCTTGTCTCTACTAAAAATACAAAAATTAGCGAGGTGTGGTGGCGCATGCCTGTAATCCCAGCTACTTGGGAGGCTGAGGCAGGGAATTGCTTGAACCCAGGAGGCGGAGTTTGCAGTGAGCCAAGGTCACGCTAGTACACTCCAGCCTGGGTGACAGAGTGAGACTCTGTCTCAAAAAAAAAAAAAAAAAAAAAAAAAAATGATCTAGCTCACTATAGCCTTGAACTCCTGGTCTCAAGCTAGTCTCCTGCCTCAGCATCCTGAGCAGCTGGGACTATAGGCACACCACAGCACCTGGCACCTTTTATAATTTTTGGTTTCTTGGATGTATTTATTACACAAAAAATTAAATAATAATAATTATTATTATTTTGAGATGGAATCTCGTTCTGTCGCCCAGGCTGGAGTGCAGTGGTGCCATCTCAGCTCACTACAATCTCTGCCTCCCAGGTTGAAGCAGCTCTCCTGCCTCAGCCTCCTGAGTAGCTAGGATTACAGCCACCACACACAGCTAATTTTTCTATTTGTAGTAGAGACGGAGTTTCATCATGTTAGTCAGGCTGGTCTTGAACTCCTGACCTCAAGTGATCTGCCTGCCTTGGCCTCTCAAAGTCCTGGGATTACAGGAGCGAGCCACCACTAAATTATCTTTAAAAATTTTTATATATGGTACTAGATGTATCCATGAAATAAATATTTTGATAAAATTAAATAAAATGTACTATCTTAACCATTTTTAAGTGTATAGTTCAGTATAGTCACATTGTTGTGCAACCTATTTCTAGAACTTTTTCATCTTGCAAAACTGCAACTCTTGGGCTGGACACAGTGGCTTATGCCTGTAATCTCAGCATTTTGGGATGCCAAGGTGAGAGGATTTCTTTTTTTTTTTCTCTGTTGCCAAGGCTGGAGTGCAGTGGCCCCATCTCAGCTCACTGCAACCTCCGTCTCCTGGGCTCAAGCTGTCCTCCCACCTCAGCCTCCCAAGTAGCTGGGACTCCAGGAATGCGCCACCACATCTGGCTAATTTTTGCGTTTTGTTTGTTTGTTTTTCGAGATGGAGTTTTGCTCTTGTTGCCCAGGCTGGAGTGCAATGGCGCGATCTCAGCTCACTGCAACCTCTGCTTCCCAGGTTCAAATGATTCTCCTGCCTCAGCTTCCCGAGTAGCTGGGATTACAGGTGCCCGCCACCATGCCCGGCTAAGTTTTGTATTTTTAGTAGAGACAGGGTTTCACCATGTTAGGCTGGTCTCGAACTGCTGACCTCAGGTGATCCACCTGCCTCAGCCTCCCAAAGTGCTGGGATTACAGGTGTGAGCAACTGCACCCGGCAAAATTTTTGTATTTTTTTGTAGAGAAGGGGTTTTGCTATGTTGCCTAGGCTGGTCTCAAACTCCTGAGCTGAAGTGATCTGTCCGCCTTGGCCTCCCAAAGTGTTGGGATTACAAGCGTGAGTCACTGCGCCCAGCCCAGGAGTATTTCTTGAGTCCCCAGTAGTTCAAGACCAGCCTAGGCAACATACAGAGACCTTGTCTCTACTAAAAAAAAAAAAAAAGAAAAAAAAAAAGAAAAATTAGGTGAGCGTAGTGGTGCAGACCTGTAGTCCCAGCTACATGGGAGGCTGAGAGGGGAGGATCACTTGAGCCTGGGAGATAAAGGCTGCAGTGAGCCAGGACTGCACCATTGCACTCCAGCTTGGGTGACAGAGTGAGACGCTGTCTCAAAAAAAAACAAAAACAGAAAACAAAAAAATACCCCTGAAAATGTGTACCCATTAAACACCTCCCATCTCCCCAGCCCTTGGCAACCACTATTCTACTTTCTGTTTCTTTGAGTTTGACTACTCTAGATATCTTCTATAAGTGAAATCATACAGTATTTTTTTGTATGTGACTGTCTTATTTCACTTAGCACAATGTCTTCAAAGTTCATCCATGTTGTAGCGTGTGTCGGATTGGATTTCCTTTCTTTCTTCTCTCTCTCTCTCTCTTTCTTTCTTTCGGAGTCTCGTTCTGTTGCCCAGGCTGGAGTGCAGTGGCACAATCTCTGTTCACAGCAACCTCCACCTCCTGGGTTCCAGCGATTCTCCTGCCTCAGCCTCCAGAGTAGCTGGGTTTACAGGCGTCCACCACCACCCACGGCTAATTTTTGCATTTTTAGTAGAGATGGGGTTTCACCATGTTGGCCAGGCTGGTCTCAAACTCCTGACCTCAAGTGATCCACCCACATCGGCTTCCCAAAGTGCTGGGATTACAGGAGTGAGCCACTGTGCCTGGCCTTCTATTTTTAATTTTTGAGGAACTGCCTTACTGTTTTCTCTGGCAGCTGCACCATTTTACATTCCCACCATCAATGCATAAGGATTCCAATTTCTCCACATCCTCACCAACAACTGTTATTTTCCTCTTCCTCCTCTTCCTCTTCTTCCTCCTCCTCTTCCTCTTCTTCCTCCTCCTCTTCCTCTTCTTCCTTCTCCTCTTCCTCTTCTTCCTCCTCCTCTTCCTCCTCCTCTTCTTACTCCTCTTCCTCTTCTCTTCGACAGAGTTTCAGTCTTCTTGCCCAGGCTGGAGTGCAATGGTGCGATCTTGGCTTACCTCAACCTCTGCCTCCCAGGTTCAAGTGATTCTTCTGCCTCAGCCTCCTGAGTAGCTGGGATTACAGGTGCATGTCACAACGCCCACCTAATTTTTGTATTTTTGGTAGAGACGGGGTTTCACCATGTTGGTCAGGCTGGTCTCGAACTCCTGACCTCAGGTGATCCACCCACCTCAGCCTCCCAAAGTGCTGGGATTACAGACATGAGCCACTGCGCCTGGCCCCATCTCTCTTGACAAAAAAAAAAAAGCAGCAGCTCACAGTGGAGTGGGGAGACATGCATGAGCATGCTCACCCATGAGTGTTGTGCAGCTGGTGCAGTAGCACAAGGAGGAGGACCTGACCCAGCCTGGGGATTACAGGGAGGACCCCAGGAAGGTGGTTTAGTCCTGAAGGACGATCAGGAGGCCAGAGATGGAGGGGGTCATCTCAGGCAGGGGAAGGAGCACAAGAAGTGGTGGAGGTGGGACAGAGGCCAGCGGGCCCCCTGGAAGAAGATGGATAGTCCAGTTGGCTTGGAGTCTGGGCACAGGACCAGGACTAGGGTGAGATAAGTGAGGCAGTTGTCTTGCACACAGAATTTAAGGTCCCAAAGTCAGTGATCAATATAATATTTTAGTGCAATATTTAAAAATAAAAATGCAAGAAAATCCATGATGAACAAAATATCAAATTTTAAATGACACAATCAGTGACAGTGCTGTGCAAGCCACAGTGCATCCTGAGGCAAAAGAAATGTCAGTGATAGTGATCTGTGTTCATTTAAAAATCTGATTTTAAGCAGGACATGGTGGTTCATGCCTGTAATCCCAGCACTTTGGGAGGCTGAGGTGGGTAGATCACCTGAGGTCAGGAGTTCGAGACCAGCCTGGACAACATGGTGAAACCCTGTCTCTATTAAAAATACAAAAATTAGCCAAGCGTGGTGGCGGGCGCAGTGGCAGGCGCCTGTAATTCCAGCTACTCAGGAAGCTCCCGCTTCAACCTGGGAGGCGGAGGTTGCAGTGAGCTATGATTGTGCCACTGCACTCCAGCCTAGGTGACAAAGCGAGACTCCATCTCAAAAAAAAAAAAAAAAAAATTAGCTGGGCATGGTGGTGGGCGCCTGTAGTCCCAGCTACTTGGGAAGCTGAGGCAGGATAATTGCTTGAGCCGGGGAGACGGAGGTTGCAGTGAGCTGAGATCGTGCCACTGCACTCCAGCCTGGGCGACAGAGTGAGACTCCGTCTCAGGGAAAAACAAAAACAAAATTTAAAAAACACATAAAATAAAATTCTGATTTTGACTGGGCGCGGTGGCTCATGCCTGTAATCCCAGCACTTTGGGAGGCTGAGGAGGGAGGATGACTTGAGCCCAGGAGTTTGAAACCAGCCTGGGCAACATGGCAAGACCCCATCTCTACAAAAAATTAAAAGATTAGCCTGGCATAGTGGAACATGCCTGTAGTCCCAGCTACTTGGGAGGCTGAGGTTGGAGGATCCCTTGAGTTTGGGAGGCAGAGATTGCAGTGAGCCAAAGTGACAACACTGCACTCCAGCCTGGGTAACAGAGTGAGACTCTGCCTCAAAAATAATAAAATAAATAAAATTCTGACTTTTTTGTTCATCATGGATTTTCCCCAGTAATTAAAAAATATTGCATTGAAATATTATTTATCTTGATGATTGAGTTTTTTGGCATCCCTTAAGTGTTGTGCCTGAGGCAAGTGCCTTACCTCACCCTAGACCCCCTCTCTGCAGCAGGAAGGGGTTTTCTTTGAGACAGAGTCTTGCTCTGTCACCCAGGCTGGTGTGCAGTGGTCTCGGCTCACTGCAACCTCCACCTCCCAGGTTCAAGCAATTCTCCTGCCTTGGCCTCCCGAGTAGCTGGGACTACAGGCACACGCCACCAGCCCTGGCTAATTTTTGTATTTTTAGTAGAGACGAGGTTTCACTATATGTTGACCAGGCTGGCCTCGAACTCCTGACCTCGTGATCCACCTGCCTTGGCCTTCCAAAATGCTGGGATTACAGGAGTGAGCCACTGGCCTCAGGAAGGGGTTTTCAATGTGGGTTGAGGCACTTGGATTTTCTCCTGCTGGCAGTCAGAAGTCACTGAAATCCCTTAATTAGAAGAATGTGTTTTTATCTGCTGCTGAGGAAAACTGATGTGGCTGCCACATGGTAGGTTAAGATACAGGGCAAGACAGGTCAGGGTGGCTGACTTGGAATGGCTGGGTTAATCCAGGCAGGAACTTGAGCAGGGGCAGTAAGAGAAGGGCGGTGGAAAGCAGAGTGGACCCACTCCAAAGACACTCGAAGCCCAGGCTGGGGTGACTGGGAGCTGAGGGAGAGGTCAGGGTCTAGACAATGCTATGATCTGAATGCTGGTGTCCCTCCAAATTCATATGTTGAAAGCTAATCCCCAAGGCAAGAGTATGAAGAGGTGGTGCCTGTAGGAGGTGATTAGCTCCGGAGGCTCCACCCTTGAGAATGGGATTAATGTCCTTTTAAAAGGGGCTCACAGGAGCCTGTGGACTCCTTCTGCCTCTGAAGAAGCAGCAAAAAGGGCACCGTCTAGGAGAGAGGTCTTCACAGACACCAAATCTGCCAGTGCTCTGATCTTGGATATCCAGCCTCCAGAACTGTAACACATTTCTTTTTTTTTTTTTTTTTTTTTTTTTAATTTTTTTTCTTTTTTTAAAATTTATTATTATTATACTTTAAGTTTTAGGGTACATGTGCACAATGTGCAGGTAACACATTTCTGTTGTTTATAAAGGACCCCGTCTAAAGTTATAGCAGCTCCAGCAGACTAAGATAACGTACTGGCTCTTGGCTAGGTAAGCTGGGAGCTGTCTCTCCTTTATTGAGGTAGGAAAGACAGCAGTTCAGGGGTGGAGGAAGAGGCTGAATTCACAGTGGGACACTCTACTTGGAGTCTGAAGTTTTATAGGGCACCAAAGGGAGATGTCTGCTAAGCCACTGGGTTAATGAGGAAGAAAGTTGCTCCTGAAGAAACCCTGATTTGGGAACCTTCAGATGGCACTGCCCACGGGAAGGTGGAGCCGCTGTGGAGGAGTGGCCCCAAGTAGGTGGGGTACACACAGATGGTAGCTGAGGCCACCGGATAAGGGTGTCACCAGTGAGAGAAAGTCAAGGGGAGAGAAAGGTGCAAACACTCTTCTTTGAGAAAGGAAGAAGGTAGGCAAAGAGGAAAGAGGCCAGGAGAGAGAAGTGTCAGGGAGGCAGAGGGGAAGCTCCAAGGAGGATGTGGTCAAGAGACAGAAGCTGCAGAAGGGTCAAGAGACATGAGAGAGAAGGTCTGCAAGGGGTCCTTCTGGCTAGCAACAAAGAGCGTGTTGTAGGGCACCTACAGGGGCAGGGTTGTAGGGCACCTACAGGGGCAGGGTTGTAGGGCACCTGCAGGGGCTGGGAGCCTGGGGGACCTGGTGGAGCTGGGAGCAACTGTTGTCAACTCTTCCCAAGAGCTTGTTCCTGAAAAAGGCAATGGAAGGGAAGGAGGTATTGAAATGGCAGGTGGCAGGCCAGGCGTGGTGGCTCACGCCTGTAATCCCAGCACTTTGGGAGGCTGAGGCAGGCGAATCAGGAGATCAGGAGATGGAGACCATCCTGGCTAACACAGTGAAACCCTGTCTCTACTAAAAATACAAAAAATTAGCCAGGCGTGGTGGTGGGTGCCTGGAGTCCCAGCTACTCGGGAGGGAGGCTGAGGCAGGGGAATCGCTTGAACACAGGAGGCGGAGCTTGCAGTGAGCCGAGATTACGCCACTGCACTCCAGCCTGGGCAACAGAGCAAGACTCTGTCTCAAAAACAAACAAATAAAAAATACAAAAAGTAGCTGGGCGTGGTAGCAAACGCCTGTAGTCTTAGCTACTTAAGGGACTGAGGTGGGAGGATCACCTGAGCCTGGGATGTCGAGGCTGCAGTGAGCTGTGTTAACACCACTGGACTCCAGCCTGGCCAACAGAGTGAGTCCAAAAACACACACCCACACCCCCACACACCCACACACCAAAAAACACAAAAAAGTGGCGAGTGACAGCTGAGGAGATCACTGTAGTGGGAACCCCAGGAGGGGGTGAGGAGGGGCTCGCTGGCACAGGGGAAGGGGTGCTATAGAGAAAGACTCTGGTTTCCTTGGGGCTTTGGAGTGGCAGAGAGAGCTCAGGATGTCTGCAAATGTATAGAAATCAGAGGGTGGGAATCCCTCTGGGAGGTTTGTCCTTCCCTATGAAGGAGAAGATAGAGTAACTCTGTTGACAGGGAGGGCAGAGAAGGAGAGGTGAGGGGCCTGAGGGAAGAGGCTTGGCATAGAGGCTGGGGAGAGGGAAATGAGAGCGTTCAGGAGCTCCTGGAAGATGATCTGGGCTAGCAGCTGGGGCTGCTACCAGGGCAGCTGCTGGGAGGGCAGGGCATTTGGAGGCCCCAAATCTGCATCATCACAGATTTCTCTCCAGCAGGGCCCAACCTCCTGGATGGAGAGGCCTGGGAGGTGCAGCAGGGAAGTTGGGGATGACGTTGATCTGGGGCCCACAACACCCTCCTCCAGCAGGCTCAGGGGCCTGCAGTTGTTGGCAACGGGCTGACTCTACCTCTGGGTGAACAGGTGAAGCTTCTCGGGCTGCCTCGGGAAGACAAAGGCTGGGTTCTCTGGCTCCGGCTCCTGGGACCCTGAGACACAGATGCCTCCTCTGGGAAAGGCTCGCTAACACACTAAGCAAGGCCTGGCAAGGGAGGAAGAGCTTAGGGTCCCCCTTTGACATCTGGGGGAAAGTGTTGGGGAAGATCTGGGCAGTATCCAAAGGCCTCAGTGAACCCAAAGACAGAAGGAAGACAGAAGGAGGCTGGACTGGTAAAGGGAACTTCATAGCAGACACCCCAGGCCTTCACACTCAGCAGACCTGGAGCTCTGGAAGCTGAGGCTGTGAACTCCCTCCCGGCCAGCTGGGGTGCCCAGCCCTGCCCTGCTCGGCCTACATGGCAGGGACTCACCCTGCAGGCTTTGTGGGCTGGGTGCTGGCTGGGTCTGGCCAGCCCTACCTGCAACTCAGGGGGAGGAGCAGGGGAGACACAGGATGTCCCCAACCTCCTGACCTTCTGAAGCTTCCCTGGCATCAGCCCGGGCCCTCATCATAGCCTTCAGTGGAAGAGCCTGGAAGGGGGGCAGCTGCTTCCTGCTCAGTCCCCTCGGCTTCTCAGCAATTCTATCCCTCATGTCACCACGTCCCTGCGCTAAGCTCCCTCTTTTTTAAATACTCAATGTGATTTTTCTTGGCTAGTTGGAGCCTAACTGAGACACTTATTTCCTAGAAGCCCAGTCCTGGGAAGTGGAGTTAATCCTTGGAAGCCTGCAGACCCCCTCCAGTGGGCTGTCAGATCCTAGCATGAGTATGAGGCCCACTATGGCCTACTGGGTCTCAGGGGTCAGAAGTGCCCATGGGTGTCCCAAGTGGGTGCCTCACTACACAGGTTTCATGGGGGGCAGCCAGACCACAGCAGCAGACAGAGTTGGGCCGGGTCCATGCAGGCCCAAAGAAGCAGCCAGTGGCCACTCAAGGCAGTGGTATCCCTGCAGCTTCTTGGCTGGTGTCTGAGACTAGTCACACTCCCCACAATAATTAGAGCCATGCTCACACCTCTCACCACCATCTAGTTCTTCCTCTGCTAAAACGTGGAGCACTGTCTCCCAGCCTTGGAGCTCAGGGGCAGCAGATAATCTGAGCCAGCTGGAGCAGGTGGGGTCGCTCTTGGCTGGAACGGCCATGGAAAACCCCAACCAAAGACAGCACTTGGGAGAACATCTATGAAAATGTGAAAGTCCATACCCTTGACCCAGCTGTTCTACAGATATGATTTGTGTAAAATAACGTAAGTGAGAATATTTGCTATAGCAGTTTGTAATGGCCAAACATAGCAAAAAACCCTAACTATCCAGCAATGGTGACTAGATAAATTGTGATCCTTCCACACAAGGAATGCCATGTAGCTATTAAAAAGAATGAGGCAGCTCTACATGTGCTGATGTAGGATGAGTTACAAGATACATATAGTTAACACAAAAGAAGAGCTCAGAACAGTGTATATGATAGCGTTTGTATTAAATATAACAAATATACTTGTCTATTTGCACGTACGGCTGAATCTGGAAGGATATACAAGAGACTGCCACTGCCTTGAGACTGGGAGGCCTAGGGGACAGGAACGGGAGGGAGACCTTTTATTGTGCATCTGTTTGAATCTTTTGAATTTTGCACTATGTGTATACTTTACAATTCAATAAATACTCATGTTTTCAAAAGAAAACAAAAAAGCATTTAGAAACAAACAGGCCAGACGTGGTGGCTCACCTTTGGGAGGCTGAGGAGGGAGGATTGATATAGCTGGGGATGTCAAGGCTGCAGTGAGCCATGATCCTGCCACTGCACTCCAGCCTGGGTGACAGAGTGAGATTCTGTCTCAAAAAAAAGAAACTGGGATGACACAGCAGTGTCTTCACTTATATCCTACGCCTCCACTGCTAGCTATGCGACCCTGGACAAGTTAATTTACCTCTATGTCCCAGTTTCTGTAAAACAGTGGTAACTTTTTGGAAAGGTTATTTTGAAGAGTAAGTTAATTAATATGTAAAGAGCTGGAAGAGCGCCTGGCACTGAATCAGCATTATGAAGTGTTAGATATTGCTATTTTGCTGCCCCAGACCAACTCCAAAGCAACGCCACTTGAGCCATGCCGGCTCTCCCTGCTGCTGCTTCTACCTAAATACTTCATTCATTTAACAAATAATTTTATTTTCTTTCTTTTTTTTTTTTTTGAGATGGGGTTTCGCTCTTGTTCCTCAGGCTGGAGTTCAATGACGCGATCTCGGCTCACTGCAACCTCCGCCTCCTGGGCTCAAGCGATCCTCTCACCTCAGCCTCCCGAGTAGCTGGGACTCCAGGCGAGCGCCACCATGCCCGCTAATTATTTTTTGTGTGGAGACAGGGTCGCATTATATTACCCAGGCCGGTCTCAAGTTCCTGGACTCAAGCGATCCTCCTGCATCAGCCTCCCAAAGTACTGGGATTACAGGCATGAGCCATCGCACCCGGCCTTAACAAATGCTTTTCTTTCTGAGACGGAGTCTCGCTCTGTCGCCCAGGCTGGAGTGCAGTGGGCGATCTCGGCTCACTGCAACCTCCGCCTCCCCGGTTCATGCGCCTCGGCCTCCCAAAATGCTGGGATTGCGGATCTGAGCCACCGCGCCCGGCCTGAGGTGATTTTTAACAAGTACAGCCGTAGCTGCAGATATCCTGGTTCTGTAGGAACAATGAGGTATGGATGGATCCATAGCTGGACCTATGGATGGGATGGATCCCCGGCAGGCCCTGGACGGAGGGAAATGCTCTGGTTTGCTAAGCCCGGCATCGAGTGAGACCCACCCACAAAGCTAACCGTGGAAGTCACTGGCGGCCTCCTTCGCCCTGCCGCCGGGGAACCCTGCCGGTGGCTCTCGACCTGCTCCCGGGCCATCTGGTGACACTGACTTCGCAGCCACCACCTTAATTGGCGCATTCGACCCAAATAATAACCAGGGAACCTGTGGGCGGTCAAAGGCCCGGCTCTGCGGTCGGCCCTCCCAGGCCCCTCTCCCTGCCCTGTGAGGCCAGAAAGTTACTTCTCCGAGGCCGTTCCCCATGTCGAGAAATATCTCCCGCTTGAGGTTCTGTGGGGTAGGGGAGGTTCGTGCATTTCTCACAGAAAACCTCGCACAGACCCGCGACTGCCTTTATTAACAGCTCTCAGGAGACTGCCTGCAGCCGGGGGGTGCCTCCGGCCCCATGCTCGCGGGCAAGCAGGGATAAGCTGTGCCTCCAAAAGGGCCAACGGGAACTCCGCGGTCCCTGAACTTCCGGTGCTGGCGGACTCCTCGCTCCAGGGCCACCAGGAGCCGCGGCGTGAGTGCGTGCCGGGACCGAGCGCGGGGTCTCTGAGGAACTCCAAGGCTGCCCAAGCCTACGGACCCAGCCACATTGGCGAACCGGAGACCGCCCGATTCCACCACCCCCGCGCTCCCCTCACAGCCGGCGCCAAAAACGCCAGTCCCACGACGCAGGCCGGGACCCGCGCGCCCACGGCCCAATCAGCGCGGACCTTGCACAAAGCGAGCCCCGCCCCCACGGCGCCGTTGCCAGCCCCTCCCCCTCCCGTGGCCGCCTCGGCCCGCCTACTCCCCGCCCCGCGCCGTTCACGGTTAGAGGCTCGCGATTGGCTCATGGGGACGGCCGCGAGCTTTGGTTGGTCGGCGCGGAGTCACGAGGGCGCCGTCGTCGCCTTTCCACAGGCGATTACTGGGCAGGCTCAGTCTTTCGCCTCAGTCTCGAGCTCTCGCTGGCCTTCGGGTGTACGTGCTCCGGGATCTTCAGCACCCGCGGCCGCCATCGCCGTCGCTTGGCTTCTTCTGGACTCATCTGCGCCACTTGTCCGCTTCACACTCCGCCGCCATCATGGTGAAGCTCGCGAAGGTAAACGGCCTTGAGCGCGAGCGCAGACGTGTAGGCCTGCTTTCCGAGGGGCGAGCGCGGCGCCGCGGGGAGGAGGGCCTGCGCGCAGTCCCGGGCGCGTTCTAGGGCGCCATGCTGCGGGAAGTCTCGCGCGATTAGTGGGGAGGTCTCGCGGCTTCTGGCTACTTGGTGGCGAGGTGAAGAGCTTCTGCAGGTGCTGGGGGCGGCGAACGCGGCGGGAAAGACAGAGTCACTGAGCGCGGGGAGGGGGCGCTGGGCCTCGGGGTGGAGAGATGAGACCAAACTTTTGCGACGCGTACGAGCTGGGACTCGACTCCTGACGCACGTGCCCGGGAGCGCGGCCTGCCACGTGGGCCGCGCCGCGTGGGTCCTGGAATCTCCAGAGGGACCGGGTGCCTTGGGCCGGGAAATGGCGGTATCGGCCCTAGTCGGAGTCCCGGCTGCGCTCGGATGTCTCCGCCCCGGCCTGGCAAGCCGACACGTGGTGGGCCCCGGAAGGTGGCTCTGCCGCGTGCCTTTTGCGCTGTGTTTCGGGCACGTGGTGGCCTACCAGGTACCCCCACGTGGCCGCGCCGCCTCTTTAAGGGGCGGGGTTGTCTCGCTGGGAAAGGCATAAGCTTCATGAGAAAATCAAGGTAGTCATTTTTTTAAGTGCCTTAATGATCTTCACCGTTAATTTGGATTCAGATGAGGGTGGTAGAATAAAGTACCGGGATTTGTAGTATTAAAACACGGTTGTGCTTAACTAAGGTAACGGGAGGAGAAATCATTTCCTCAGGTTGACTTTTTACCTTAGGGCAGGTTTTCTGTTGGTAAAGCCTGGGAGGAAAAATGTGGGCGGTTGAGAGTAGTCCCTCTTGCATTGCCATCAGGAGTAGTTTCTATGTTAGTTGTGGTGTTTGGCACTATGAGAAATGGATCTGAGGACGGAGATGATGGCGTATGAACACTAATGGCAAAATATGAATGGCCTGAAATGTCGAGGTGGAGGTGTAATGATCTATTTGTGTCCATTTTAGGCAGGTAAAAATCAAGGTGACCCCAAGAAAATGGCTCCTCCTCCAAAGGAGGTAGAAGAAGATAGTGAAGATGAGGAAATGTCAGAAGATGAAGAAGATGATAGCAGTGGAGAAGAGGTAATTTTATCCAACTTAATGCAGAATTATGTTAAAACTACAAAATGGAGAGTTAAGACATGAAATTGGATATCTGTGGCAAAAATAAGATTTTATTCAGGTATGTCTTATTGTAGTGGTTGAGTGTTTCACAAGCTCTTCATTGACATGTCAAGATGTCATTTGGCTAAGTATTTGAATGTGAGTGTAAGACGAGATCTGGGAATTTCTTTTACATGTTCCTCTGCAGGGCTTGGAGTGTGATTTGTTGTGTTAAATCATTACATTTTTCCAGTTTCAACATGTTAGCCTCACCCCCACATGTAGAGCTGGGCATTGTATTCAGAGCTGAGGATAACCTTACCAGATTCCTTTCCTAGCCTCCAATTAAAATTAATTGGTCTCCATTCCATTATATATAAACTTTGTAATACTACTCACTGTGTTTTATAGTTATCTCTGGTGTAGACTGAGGGCTGCCACCTCTCTTTGTGTTACCATTGACCCTCTTTAGCACTCCTGGCCTTTTATTTGCTCACTATAAAGACAGCTGAGCACTGAATTGTGCTCAGGTTTCTCGTTGAGAACTGAATGAAAGTTTTACTCTTCCACACATTGCCTGATAAAACTACGGGATTTTAATGTAGCTAAATGATGACTTTTATCAAACTACCATGCACACTCTTTGATGTGTGATAGTTTTGTAAGGAATATTTATATTTAGCCTATTCATTTTTTGTCTCAGGTCCTAAGAATTGAGCTTCACTGGGCTTGGTACCGCCACCCACTGTAGGAGCCCCAAATGATTTAATAAGTTAATGCTTGGAGCCTCCTATGTGTAAGGTTCTGAATAATTTACACATAGCAATTCATGATCCTTAAACATGTAAGGATGATACTATTACCATTTTCAGATGAGAAAGTTGGGGCTTGGGAAAGTATGAGGTGTAAGAATTCAGAGGGTCTGGTTCAGAGGTATTTTTAAGTGTTCAAAAGAGTTCCTTATGTCTGGGTATTCACCTTATGATAGGGGCTCTGACTTAAGACAACATAACAGAAGCCTGGAGTTTAACATGCTAATGTGTCTAGTGCATGTGGTCTTGAACCAGAGGCATTGCCAGAGTCTAACATCTCATTGGGACCATGGTTATCTTTTTGGGTGTGGGGCTGGACTTACTGGTTTGGTTTTCATTTATTCTCAAGGTCGTCATACCTCAGAAGAAAGGCAAGAAGGCTGCTGCAACCTCAGCAAAGAAGGTGGTCGTTTCCCCAACAAAAAAGGTTGCAGTTGCCACACCAGCCAAGAAAGCAGCTGTCACTCCAGGCAAAAAGGCAGCAGCAACACCTGCCAAGAAGACAGTTACACCAGCCAAAGCAGTTACCACACCTGGCAAGAAGGGAGCCACACCAGGCAAAGCATTGGTAGCAACTCCTGGTAAGAAGGGTGCTGCCATCCCAGCCAAGGGGGCAAAGAATGGCAAGAATGCCAAGAAGGAAGACAGTGATGAAGAGGAGGATGATGACAGTGAGGAGGATGAGGAGGATGACGAGGACGAGGATGAGGATGAAGATGAAATTGAACCAGCAGCGATGAAAGCAGCAGCTGCTGCCCCTGCCTCAGAGGATGAGGACGATGAGGATGACGAAGATGATGAGGATGACGATGACGATGAGGAAGATGGTAAGGAGTTGTCTTGGTAGTTACTGGGCTTCTGATTACAAGGTATCTTGAGATTCTGGGATCAACATATTCCTTCCACGACAACCTGGAGATGAGATTAGAATCCTTGTGGGAATTCTCTGGGTTGTTGTGGTGTGCTAGACTTAATTACCCATGAATGATTTTTGTGCCTCTTGAGAAAATTTCAATAGCACATTCTATTAGTGTTTTTTATAATGTAGGATTTTGTTTCTAAGTGATTTTTTTTTTTTTTAAATTTTTTTGAGATGGAGCTTTTGCTGTTTCCCAGGCTGGAGTGCAATGGCGCGCTATCTCGGCTCACTGCAGCCTCCATCTCCTGGGTTCAAGCAGTTCTGCCTCAGCCTCCCGAGTAGCTGGGATTACAGGTGCCCACCACCACACCCTACTAATTTTTGTATTTTTAGTAGAGACGACATTTCACCATGTTGGCCAGGCTGGTCTCGAACTTTTGACCTCAGGTGATCCACCCACCTTGGTCTCCCAAAGTGCTAGGATTACAGGCGTGAGCCACTGCGCCCGGCCCCAAGTGATCTATTCTTGCCATGACTGTTAACTAAACATGGTGACAGGATTGCATTTTCTTTACATTAGATTTGAAAACCGATGTTGGTTTTGGGAGATTGCTGCAATTTTTAGGTGACTTCTCTTTCAGACTCTGAAGAAGAAGCTATGGAGACTACACCAGCCAAAGGAAAGAAAGCTGCAAAAGTTGTTCCTGTGAAAGCCAAGAACGTGGCTGAGGATGAAGATGAAGAAGAGGATGATGAGGACGAGGATGACGACGACGACGAAGATGATGAAGATGATGATGATGAAGATGATGAGGAGGAGGAAGAAGAGGAGGAGGAAGGTACTTAAATTAGATTCTGACATACGACATGAGTTATGTTTAAAGGAGGCACTTAAGTGTTTGTGGCTACTGATGTGTGATACATTGTTTGACATCTTGTCCAGAGCCTGTCAAAGAAGCACCTGGAAAACGAAAGAAGGAAATGGCCAAACAGAAAGCAGCTCCTGAAGCCAAGAAACAGAAAGTGGAAGGTAACTTGCAGAATTAGGGGATATGGGGGAGATAAACAGCACAAATGATGAATAACAAAGGGACTTAATACTGAAACCTGATGTTACATTGTAGTGTGCTGATGTGCTGTGTATAGAAATTTTGCTTTGGAAACTAACTTTTTACCACACTACAAGTAGACTGAGTTGAGCTTTTTTTGTGCAGGCACAGAACCGACTACGGCTTTCAATCTCTTTGTTGGAAACCTAAACTTTAACAAATCTGCTCCTGAATTAAAAACTGGTATCAGCGATGTTTTTGCTAAAAATGATCTTGCTGTTGTGGATGTCAGAATTGGTATGACTAGGTAAGTGCTTCACTGCACGTTACATACACGTGGGTCTGTTAATGCTTTTCCTTCCCCTGTTAGCACAGTTACTTTAGCCTGCTACTGTTAAACATGAATACTGTAAACATCTTCAAGGATTAGCATTAGTGAACTAAGTTAGAATTAAACTGTAGATCCCCTAAGTTGCAATTTCCATAATCAGTCGTAACTTGGTATAGCACAGAATAATTTTTAGTAAGTTTTTTTGTTGTTTTTGTTATGTATTGAGACGGACGCTGGCTTTTGCTCAGGCTGGAGTACAGTGGCGCAATCTTGGCTCACTGCAACCTCTGCCTCCCGGGTTCAAGCGATTCTCCTGCCTAAGCCTCCCAAGTAGCTGGGATTACGGGTGCACTTCACCATGCCTGGCTAATTTTTGTATTTTTAGTTGAGATGGCATTTCACCATGTTGGTCAGGCTGGTTTTGAACTCCTGACCTCAAGTGATCCACCCACCTCGGCCTCTCGAAGTGCTGGGATTACAGGCGTGAGCCACCCTGCCAGTAAGTTTTAATAATTTGGTGTTAGGTGGGAGAATCGCTTGAACCTGGGAGGCAGAGGTTGCAGTGAGCCAAGTTCGCGCCACTGTACTCCAGCCTGGGCAACAGATTGAGACACCGTCTCAATTTAAAATAATGTTTATTTTCTTGGAAGTACCTGAAACTATTAGACCTGTCTAGTCATCATAGTGAATACTTTTATCCAGACAGGATTCTCCTGTATTAGTGCTTATAGGTGTTCTTTTGTCAGCTGCTACTGTGAATTCTTATAAGCAATTTAGCTCCATGATGAAGACCTCAAACGTGAATGTGCATGTCATATCTTCATGCTGAGACCTTGTTCTGTAGCTGCAGTTTGCAGAGCCTTGACTTTGTTTTGCTAATACTAGGGGTGCTTTTTAAAATGTGATCTTTGTTTGCACCATCACATTTGTCTAGAATACATATTGTGGATTTTGATTTGTGTTTTCACCTGTTGTAATTTTGCCCTCCTCTCCACCTTGAAGGAAATTTGGTTATGTGGATTTTGAATCTGCTGAAGACCTGGAGAAAGCGTTGGAACTCACTGGTTTGAAAGTCTTTGGCAATGAAATTAAACTAGAGAAACCAAAAGGAAAAGACAGTAAGAAAGGTATGTAAGGCTTTATGAGATTATGCAATGAACTCAGGAGCTAGACTGCTAGGGAAAATGCTTTGTAACCCATTTCCCTTGGTTTCCTCTTATTTTTTTAAATCATTTTTTTCCTTTGGTTTCCTCTTAATGTGGGAATTAAATGAGCTACAGTGTTTACAAGAGTACTTGGCACTGCTTGTCAGTGTTATAGTGTAAATTCCTGAGTTAGGCAAGCAAGAGCACTTTTATACAGAACAAGAATTATTAGATGCACCTAAATTAACGTAAAGGGATCTTTCTTCACTGAAACTAGATTAGGTCCCTAATTACTCCCTATATACAGTTGTAATGTTTTGAATTGGTACATTCACTTTTTTTGTTATGCGCGTCTACTCTAGGTTGAACTCCAGTGTACCTAACAGAGAGTTTGACATCAGCTGTGACAACATGGAGGGACCACTTGTGTGTTGACACTGCTATATCTCCATATTTAGCACCGAGCCTTGTACATTATAGGATCTCAAATTATTTGTTGAATAGAGCTATGTGTGTTTTTCCCCTCTTTTTGTTGTTGCCCCCCACCTTTGGTTTTTCAGGCCACAGAGCTCATTTTTGTTTTTTTAATCTAGAGCGAGATGCGAGAACACTTTTGGCTAAAAATCTCCCTTACAAAGTCACTCAGGATGAATTGAAAGAAGTGTTTGAAGATGCTGCGGAGATCAGATTAGTCAGCAAGGATGGGAAAAGTAAAGGGTATGTTCTGTCTATTGAAATGTAAGGGTTTTATTAACATTAATGCACTTTCCTGCTTTATAAAAGAAATATTGGTTTGATTTCCTTAGGCGTGTAATCTTGGACAGTTTAACCTGTAAGTTTGTGCCTCAGTAACCCATCTGTACCATGGGGATAATGTACTCATAGGGTGATTTTAAAAGACAAGCTAATACTTACAAAGAAGCAAGAAATGTGCCTATCTTACAATAAATACTTTGTAAGTAGTAGCAGTTCTTTCAGTGAGGTGAGGTTACTATGAAAAAATTCCAAGTATTTGTAAAACTAGTGGGAAGTAAGAGGGAAGCTCGAGTTTTGATTGAAAAGTGGCATAAAACTAAGGGCATTTATTGTACTCAGATCTGAAGCAAGTTCTGTGTTGCTGAGGTAAAAGCATTTGTGTTAATATGGTTTTAAAAACCATGAGTTCTTCTCCCTCCATTGCAGGATTGCTTATATTGAATTTAAGACAGAAGCTGATGCAGAGAAAACCTTTGAAGAAAAGCAGGGAACAGAGATCGATGGGCGATCTATTTCCCTGTACTATACTGGAGAGAAAGGTCAAAATCAAGACTATAGAGGTGGAAAGAATAGCACTTGGAGTGGTAAGAAATTAGGCTTGTTACAAGGTTTCAGAATTGGTGGAGGGAACTCCTTTGTGTCTTTGTATTTCATAAGTTTATAAATACTTTTTAATCAAAGTTACTCAAATGTAGGTGAAGATCAAGGACATGATACCCCAAGTCATACTCTTATTTGGAATAGTAATTTCCAATCTTGAATGAGAGCTCTAAAATCATTTTGCATTGGAATACAGTAGGCAAATCAAGCTTCCTTTGTAGGCATGTTTTATACTTTAAATGACTTGACCATGTGCGTTTTGAACTCAGATGATTCTAGGAAAACAGACCAGTCATCAGCCTATGTAAGAACAACCAGCAGGACATTGCAACACGTACTAGGTACTTAATATGTTGAGTAACAGAAATGGATTTAGCTTACGTCATGAGTATTTGTATATTAACTCAAGCACTGAAATTCTTAGGAATAAGATATTACTGTTGTGACCGAAGCTGGGAACCACTGTTTCAGAGTCTTAGGAATGTGGCATCTCTATTTGCAGGTGAATCAAAAACTCTGGTTTTAAGCAACCTCTCCTACAGTGCAACAGAAGAAACTCTTCAGGAAGTATTTGAGAAAGCAACTTTTATCAAAGTACCCCAGAACCAAAATGGCAAATCTAAAGGGTAAGATAATACCTTTGTATCATCAGTTATAGGCTATATATGTCTTAGAGGTCTAAAGGAACGTAAGGTCATGTGATCCTGTCAGAAAAGCCAAATAATTTTAGCTACGTAAATGAGTGTAAAATAAAGATCATCATTTAGGTACCAACTTGAGAGAAGGGGCTTGGCAGCATCATGTGACAGTGAAGGAGCATGTGCCTGGTAACTTACTCTAAGCATTAACTGTTCATCCTCAGGTATGCATTTATAGAGTTTGCTTCATTCGAAGACGCTAAAGAAGCTTTAAATTCCTGTAATAAAAGGGAAATTGAGGGCAGAGCAATCAGGCTGGAGTTGCAAGGACCCAGGGGATCACCTAATGCCAGAAGCCGTAAGTTCACCTGGTTAGGGTGCTGTGGTTGGGGGTAGCACTCTCGGTGCTTTGTTTATTTTTTGCACAAATTCTGTGTTTCCTGTTGCTACTGAGTGAACAATAACTGGATATGATGACTGATTACCTGAGAAATAATTGATGAAATCTCAAGAAAATTCCTCTAGATAGTCAAGTTCTGATCCAGCTGTGTCAACTCAGAGTAGCAAGTTTGCCCATGATTTCCTGCCCCATCCACTGGGCCCCACCTGCTTGGGTTGCTTCTCCCACTTTCCATAGAAGATCTGGGGCAGGATATCAACTATGCAATGGCAATTAAAAAATGTAAACCCAGAATAGCCTTTACTTTAATTAAGGACTAGTTGGCTTAGTTGCTTTTAACTGCTTTTTCACTATAACAAGTATTCTTGGCTAGTAGTCATACTAGGCATTGTGCAAATTCAGTGTTACGAACTGTGACTTCACATAAAGTCACATTTTTTTTTCCTTCCCAGAGCCATCCAAAACTCTGTTTGTCAAAGGCCTGTCTGAGGATACCACTGAAGAGACATTAAAGGAGTCATTTGACGGCTCCGTTCGGGCAAGGATAGTTACTGACCGGGAAACTGGGTCCTCCAAAGGGTAAGGGAAGGAAGCGTGAGTGCTGCTTCCACTTGAAGGGGTTTTTGTTCTGTGCAGACCTTGAGTCTAATGTGTCTTCTCATTGAGCTCCTTTCTGTCTATCAGTGGCAGTTTATGGATTCGCACGAGAAGAAGAGAGAATTCACAGAACTAGCATTATTTTACCTTCTGTCTTTACAGAGGTATATTTAGCTGTATTGTGAGACATTCTGGGGTTCAAGCTGTCACACCAGTTAGTTTTCCATAGAGAGCTACTCTGTCACTGGTATCTTTTCCCAAATAAACAAGGCTACTTTCTGTGGGATGGCTCCCCAGCATGTACAGTTAACTTGGGACATGTGTAGTAGGTGCTTTTTATAATGGGCAATTTCATTTGGTGTTCTAGGTTTGGTTTTGTAGACTTCAACAGTGAGGAGGATGCCAAAGCTGCCAAGGAGGCCATGGAAGACGGTGAAATTGATGGAAATAAAGTTACCTTGGACTGGGCCAAACCTAAGGGTGAAGGTGGCTTCGGGGGTCGTGGTGGAGGCAGAGGCGGCTTTGGAGGACGAGGTGGTGGTAGAGGAGGCCGAGGAGGATTTGGTGGCAGAGGCCGGGGAGGCTTTGGAGGTAAGGCACGCAGAGATAATGACACCACATAGCATGTGCTCTTCAGACCCTGTGCCCTGTCACGGTTCCTAATCACTGGGGAGGAGGAGCTTTGTACCCATTCTTTTAACAGTGTCTTGCCTTCCTCCTGTAGGGCGAGGAGGCTTCCGAGGAGGCAGAGGAGGAGGAGGTGACCACAAGCCACAAGGAAAGAAGACGAAGTTTGAATAGCTTCTGTCCCTCTGCTTTCCCTTTTCCATTTGAAAGAAAGGACTCTGGGGTTTTTACTGTTACCTGATCAATGACAGAGCCTTCTGAGGACATTCCAAGACAGTATACAGTCCTGTGGTCTCCTTGGAAATCCGTCTAGTTAACATTTCAAGGGCAATACCGTGTTGGTTTTGACTGGATATTCATATAAACTTTTTAAAGAGTTGAGTGATAGAGCTAACCCTTATCTGTAAGTTTTGAATTTATATTGTTTCATCCCATGTACAAAACCATTTTTTCCTACAAATAGTTTGGGTTTTGTTGTTGTTTCTTTTTTTTGTTTTGTTTTTGTTTTTTTTTTTTTTGCGTTCGTGGGGTTGTAAAAGAAAAGAAAGCAGAATGTTTTATCATGGTTTTTGCTTCAGCGGCTTTAGGACAAATTAAAAGTCAACTCTGGTGCCAGACGTGTTACTTCCTAAAGAGTGTTTCCCCTGGAATGTCACTGGAGAGCATGGCAAAGCCAGCTCTGCCACTTGCTTCACCCATCCCAATGGAAATGGCTTAGTGCGTGTTTCCAGTATCCCAGCCCTAACTAACTTGGTTGAAATGCTGGTGAGGGGACCTGCTCCTGCAGCCCTGGTGCTGACTTGAAGGCTGCTGCAGCTTCTCCTACTTTTAGCAGGTCTGAGGATTATGTCCTGAAGACCACTCTGGAAAGAGGTGCAGGAACAGATTAGTCAGGTTTCCTAGGACAAGGAAGAGCTTCAGGGAAGAGCAGTGGCTAACTCCTGTAATCCCAACACTTGGGGAGGCCGAGGCAGGCAGATCAACTGAGGTCAGGAGTTGAAGACCAGCCTGGCCAACATGGTGAAAGCCCATCTCTACTAAAAATACAAAAATTAGCTGGGCATGGTGGTGTACTCCTGTAGTCCCAGCTACTCAGGAGGCTGAAGCGGGAGAGTCACGTGAACCCGGGAAGCAGAGTGAGCTGAGCACACACTACTATACTCCAGGCTGGGTAACAAAGCGAGACTCCCATCTCCCAAAAAGCAGTTCTGGAATAGAACTCACGCTAGATGGATAGACCAGTGGACACTTTGGAACCTTGGGGCTGGGGAGGAAACTGCCCATCCAGTAAACCCCCAAAAAGCCATTTGTTCTGCACTACGTATATTGCTTATTCTTTCTGGTCTTAAGTACTTGCCTCTCAACCTCCCTTTTTAGTAAAAGACAAGGCCACGTGAGAGGCGGGACTATCAACATTGTGATGAATTTACTTGAAACCCAGTGCCCAAAATCAATGTAGGTAGCCAAGTCCAAAAACCTGTTCTAGTCCAACTAGTGAAATCAAACTGTGATACTTGGATAAGCTTAGAAGGAAACGTGAAGAATACGTAGCTGCTTTGGGTTTACTCTGGTTCAGTTGGGCTGTTGAAATCTTAACATCCTTGGGCTTATCACCTACTGCTTGTCAGCCCTGTTCCATGTCCAGGGGATGGGGGTGGTGACAATCCAGTTCCAAGACCCTCATGCTCTAGAGAGGAAGGTGGCCAGCCAGGGTTGTAACTACGATGAAAAAGCAGTGGGAGGGTCTCCTATGAGGCAAGCCTAAGGACAAAAAGGAAGGCCTTGCAGCCTGTATTCTGGATAAGGAATTAAAAGCTCAGTTAATTGAAGCCCATCAGGCGTGTTGTGGATTAGGTCTGTTAGCTCTTAAATTGCAGCAAAACACATAGTATGAACATAAGTATGAATTTATCTCCAGTGGCTTTCAAGAAAGATCCCGTGAGGCCGGGCACCGTGGGTCATACCTGTAATCCCAACACCTTGGGAAGCCTGGGTGTGGAGATGGCTTGAGACCAGCCTAGACAACAGTGAGACTCCCATCTCTACAAGAAAAATTAGGTGGCCGTGATGGCATAAGCCTGCAGTTCTCAGGAAGCTGAGGTGGGAGGATTGCTTGAGCCCGACACTGCACTCCAGCCTGGGTGACAAACAGCTTGAAAAACCTTGTGACTTGGTGTCTAGGTCTTCTGGAATCTATGAAATGATGCCTCCAGGGCTCTCCTCGGTTCCCTGCAGCCTTCATCCAGGTGAGAATGTGCTGCAGCTGGTTTCTTTGGGAGGCCTGTGGGTTAAAGTAAGCGATAGTCTATATGCCGTGTGGCCATCTACGAATAAGGGCTGGGATTGCTGGTGGCTCTGGTGCAGCACAGTCACTGCTTTTTCCATACTTGGAGAGCCTATGGGAGTGCGATTTTGATAGGGCTTGAATTGCAGGAAGAGCCCATGGCTCCCAAGGTGGGGCTTGCATTTCTATCAAGTAGCTGTTAATAATGGGGCAGTTGCTGGGCAACTGTGTGCTCAGCAGCTGGGCTTTTCCCTCAGCCCCTCTACTAACCTGCTGTGAGGCAAGACAAGGGCAGGACACTAACGTTCCTGTCTCCTGATTCTTTTTCTTTACCATTCCTTAAGAGAAGGAAAGCAGAGACGGTCCAGTCCTGTGATTTCTCAGTGCTTGTTCTAATCATATGTGCTGATTTCCTGTTGAATGAAGATGAAGGCCGGGTGCGGTGGCTCAGGCCTGTAAGCCCAGCACTTTGGGAGGCCAAGGTGGGTGGATCACCTGAGGTTTGGAGTTTGAGACCAGCCTGGCCAACATGGTGAAACCCCATCTCTACTAAAAATACAAAAATTAGCTGGGCATGGTAAGTGGGCGCCTGTAATCCCAGCTACTTGAGAGGCTGAGGCAGGAGAATTGCTTGAACCCAGGAGGCAGAGGCTGCAGTGAGCCGAGATCGCGCCATCGCACTCCAGCCTGGGCGACAACACTGTCTCAAAAAAAAAAAAAAAAAAAAAGATGTAAGGTGGGTTACCCTGCAGGGCCAGAAAGAGACATTGAGGCTTGCGATTAGGGACTGAAGTCAAATTCCCAGTCTTCCCTAGTACCTGTCTCTAGTTTCTGATTTGGAGGTGTTTGGAGCCATTTTAGAAAAGTGATAGTTTTCTTCTGCAAATGGTTGTCGCCACATTTGTCATGTTTCCAGCAGGTGGCAGCATAAGTCCACAAGGATGTGGAAACCTCTGCCGGAGGGAGGCCTGGTGATGAGCTGATGGCAGGCCTTCTAACTCCAAACTCAGCCTCAGATTCCAGACCAGTGGATAGGCCCAGGGAGTCTCCCACCTTGAGTGATGCTGCACAACCCCTGCAAAAGGGGTTTCCAATTGGATCCTACAGCTAAGATTATTTGGAAGCATGTCCTGTGCCCTTTCTCTGAGAGTTACCCCGTTATCTTTGTGTGTCTCACTGTCTCTCATCAGGCTTAAAAAAAATACCAAAGCTTTTCTCACCCCAAAAGACTGTCTCCTGACCTGCCACCTCACACAGTTGTCTCTTCCCTTCATTGCCAAACTTTCAGGATGAGCATACTCTAGCCTTCTCGAAGTGTGGCTTCTGTCCCCCTTCCCCCAGGTGCCAAAGCCAGGAGTCAGCCTTCCCTAGGTTCACCTACTTCCCTGCAGCATCTAACAGACTATCCCTCCTTCCTGCCGAAACTACTCCTCCACCGCTAAGAATTTAGGCAGTAGGGCCAGGCATGGTGGCTCACGCCTGTAATCCCAGCACTTTGGGAGGCCAAGGTGGGTGGATGACCTGAAGTCAGGAGTTCGAGACCAGCCTGACCAACATGGCAAAACCCTGTCTCTACTAAAAATACAAAAATTAGCCAGGTGTGGTGGCAGGCGCCAATAATCTCAGCTACTCCAGAGGCTGAGGCATGAGAATCACTTGAACCTAGGAGGTTGAAGTAAGCCGAGATTGTGCCACTGCACTCCAGCCTGGGCAACAGAGCAAGACTCTGTCTCAAAAAAAAAAAAAAAAAAAAGGGGGCCGGGTGCAGTGGCTCACGCCTGTAATCCCAGCACTTTGGGAGTCCGAGGCGGGCGAATCACGAGGTCAGGAGATGGAGACCATCCTGGCTAACACGGTGAAACCCCATCTCTACTAAAAATACAAAAAATTAGCTGGGCGTGGTGGCGGGCGCCTGTAGTCCCAGCTGCTTGGGAGGCTAAGGCAGGAGAATGGCGTGAACCCAGGAGGCGGAGCTTGCAGTGAGCTGAGATCGCGCCACTGCACTCTAGCCTGGGAGGCAGACAGAGCGAGACTCTATTTCAAAAAAAAAAAAAAAAAAAAAAAAAGGGAATTTAGGCAGTGACCTAGCACTGTGGGAGGCTGAGGTGGGAAGACAGCATGAGCTCAGGAGTTAGAGACCAGTCTGAGCAACATAGCCGGACACGTGTCTCTACCAAAAAAAAAAAAAGAAAAAAAGAACTTAGACACACTAAGGGTTGAAGTGGAGAGGAAGGAAAAGAACAAATCCTCAAGGATTGCAGCCATTTAAAAGCCCAGTTCCATCCAATTCATAGATGGGAACAAATGGCTGTCCCCACTGATCAGGTCACCAACCCAGTAATGGGGGGAGTAAGAGGCCAGGAGGGTTACCCTATTTCTGATCCCCGTACATGGAAACATGAAAAGAAATGCATGCTCCCTCTGACAGGGGGGACTTTGTTTTGTTCACTGTGCTGTTCCGAGCCTAGAAGAGAGGCTAACACATAGTAGGTGCTCAGCAAGTTTCCCAGGGGAAACACCTTCCCCCCAACTTACTGTAAGGTCAGGTAGCAACAGGAAGGGATCATTAGGCCAGGAGTTTTATTTTTAAAGATACTTTTAGGCCGGGCGCGGTGGCTCACACCTGTAATCCCAGGACTTTGGGAGGCCGAGGCGGGTGGATCACGAGGTCAGGAGATCGAGACCATCCTGGCCAACACAGTGAAACCCCGTCTCTACTAAAAATACAAAAAATTAGCTGGGCGTGGTGGCGGGCGCCTGTAGTCCCAGCTGCTCGGGAGGCTGAGGCAGGAGAAATGGCATGAACCCAGGAGGCGGAGGTTGCAGTGAGCCGAGATCACGCCACTGCACTCCAGCCTGGGCAACAGAGCAAGACTCCGTCTCAAAAATAAATAAATAAATAAAGATAAAGATACTTTTATTTTTAAAATTTTTTATTTTTTTACATATAAGGTCTCACTCTGTGGCCCAGGCTGGAGTGCAGTGGCACAATCATGGCTCACTGCAGCCTTGGCCTCCCGAGCTCAAGCAATCCTCCTACCTCAGTCTCTCGAGTAGCTTAGTGGTGGGGATTACATATGTGCACCACCACGCCTGGCTAATTAAAAAAAAAAAAATGTTTTTATAGAGACAGTGTCTCACTGCATTACCCAGGCTGGTCTCAAACTTCTGGGCTCAAGCAGTCCTCCCGTCTTGGCCTCCCCAAGTGTTAGGATTACAGGTGTGAGCCACTGCACCTGGCCAACATATTTTTAAAGTTATTTTTACTTTATTATTTTTTAAAATGAGATGAGGTCTCACTTTGTTGCCCAGGCTAGAGTACAAAGATGTTATCATAGCACAGTACGGCCTTGAACTCCTGGGCTCAAGTGATCCCACTTTAGCCTCCCCAATAGCTGACTACAGGCACATACCACTGCATCCAGTTTAAATTCTTAATGTTTTTGTACCAAGGATTCTTTTGGGAGTCTGGTGAAGCCTTTGAACCCTTTTCAGAATAATATTTTCTAAATCACTTTAAAATATAAAAGGAATACAAGGGAGACCAATTATATTGAAATTAGTTATTAAAATATTTGAGCACAACTTATGTGATAGAATTATAGATATGTTCATTAATGGATTAGGTAAGATTTATTTACATTGAAAACACAGGTAGTTTGGTTCTGGTAGTGATGAAGTGGCTTATAACAGAGTAATCCTTCTGTTGATGACAATTATAAACTCTGGTTAGGCCAGACAGGTGGCTTATACCTGTAATCCTAGCACTTTGGGAGGCCAAGATCTGCGGATTGCTTGAGCCCCCGAGTTTGATACCAGCCTGGGTAACATGGTGAAACTCTGTCTCTACAAAAAATACAAAAATTAGCCAGGCGGGCCTGGCGCAGTGGCTCACACCTGTAATCCCAGCACTTTGGGAGGCCAAGGCGGGCGGATTACCTGAGGTCAGGAGTTCAAGACGAACCTGGTCAACATGGTGAAACCTCACCTCTACTAAAAATACAAAAATTAACCGGGCATGGTGGCGTATGCTTGTAGGCCCAGTTACTCGGGAAGCCGAGGCAGGAGAATCGCTGGAACCTGGGAGGCAGAGGTTGCAGTGAGCCTAGATTGCACCACTGTACTCCAGCCTGGGCAACAGAGCAAGACCTTATATATATAAAAAAAAAAAAAAAAAAAAAAATTAGCCAGGCATGGTGTCACGCTCTTATAGTCCCAGCTACTAGGGAGACTAAAGTGGGAGGATCACCTGAGCCACTGGGGAGGTTGAGGCTGCAGTGAGCTGTGATTGCACCACTACGCTCTAGCCTGGGCAACAGAGGGAGGCCTGTCTCAAAAAAAACAAAACAAAAAAACTCTGGGTAAACTATTTATTTATTTTATTTTTAGTTTTTTATTTTTTAATTTTTATTTTTGAAGATGGAGTCTCTCTCTGTCACCCAGGCTGAAGTGCAGTGGCACAATCTCAGCTCACGGCAACCTCTACCGCCCAGGTTCAAGCAATTCTCCTACCTCAGCCTCCTGAGTAGCTGGGACTACAGGCATGTGCCACCACGCCTGGCTAATTTTTTGTACTTTTAGTAGAGACAAGGTCTTATCATGCTGGCGAGTCTGTCTCAAACTCCTGACCTCAGGTGATTCGCCTGCCTCAGCCTCCCAAAGTGCTGGGATTACAGGCATTAACCATCGCACCAGGCCCTGGGCGAAATATTTAAAGATCAACTTCTAAAGTTGATTTGTCTTCCAATAATACCAGATAGAAAACTGGAGCAACCCAGGGAAGATGGTATCGATCCTGGAAAGAAGGGAAGCACACTGGATGAGACCCATGTTTAACCAGCTTTTCCCCTGAGGGCATCACCCAACTTGCGTGACTCCGGGGGAATAGAGCAGAAAGTGGATGTCTTACTGTGCTGAGGAATCAGGTTGGAGTGTGAGTCGGAAATTTTGGGAAATAATGAAAATGAGGGAGACACAGAGGAGGAAACCATAAAATCTGCATAGAAATTGCCTTCAAATTCCTTTTTTCTTTTAATTTTTTCTTTAATAGAGACAGGGTCTTGCTATGTTGCCCAGGCTGGTCTCAAACGCCTGGGCTCAAGTGATCTCCCGCCTCAGACTCCCAAAGTGCTGGGATTATTGGTGTGAGCCACCACACCTGGCCAGAGCAACCTTTCTTTCTGAGACGGAGTCTTGCTGTCACCCAGGCTGGAGTGCAGTGGCTCACTGCAACCTCCATCTCCTAGGTTCAAGCGATTCTCCTGTCTCAGCCTCCTGAGTAGCTGGGACTACAGGCGCCCGCCACCACACCCAGTTAATTTTTTGTATTTTTAGTACAGACGGGTTTTCACCATGTTAGCCAGGATGGTCTCAATCTCCTGACCTCGTGATCCGCCTGCCTCGGCTTCCCAAAGTGCTAGGATTACAGGCGTGAGCCACTGCGCCCGGCCCAGAGCAACATTTCATAATGAAAAAAAGGTAAATTTACTAGAAAGACATAGCAATCTTAAATGTGCATGCAAACAATAACAGAGTTTTATAACCTGTGAAGCAAAAAATTGATAAAGAGAAATGGACAAATTTTCAATCACAGTTGGAGATTTTAACACCCCTCATTTAGTAACAGATAAAGTAAATAGACAAACATCAATAATGATATAGAAGAATTGAAAACTGTTGGTCATTTAGGTCTAGCTATTGAAAAACACATCTTCTTTTCACGTGCACATAAAACATTCACCAAAATATTCTAGGCTCCAAAACAAATCTCAAGAAATTTCAAAGGATTGGAAAATATACAATCTGATATAACAGAAATAAATTAGAAATGAATAATAAGATACCTAGAATACTCCTAAACATTTGTATATTAATTACATTTCTGAAAAACACTTCTGAATGGATCAAAGTAGAAATCACGGGAGAAATTAGATACTATTTCAA
Organism: Homo sapiens; assembly: GCF_000001405.40. Lineage (NCBI taxonomy): Eukaryota > Metazoa > Chordata > Mammalia > Primates > Hominidae > Homo > Homo sapiens. The sequence continues at coordinate 231,447,137 of NC_000002.12, read as the reverse complement.
AATGAATGACAATAAAAACACATTTTGGGATGCAGCTAAAGCAGTTCTTAGATGGAAATTTATAACTTAAAATACTTTAGAAAAGAAAAAGAGTTTTAAAGTTAACTGTCTGTTTCCAGCTTAAGCATGTAAAAAAGAAAGAAGAAATACATAGGAAAAGGAAATAATAAAAATAACAATTAATGATGTAAAAAAATCAAGACAAAAATCAGTTCACTGAAAGGATAAATAAGATAAAATTGATAGTCCTCTAGCAAGACTGATCAAGAAAAAAAGAAGACAAAACACAAATAGCCATTATCAGGAATGAAAGAAGGGGTATCATCACATTATAGATTGTACTGATTATTATTATTATTATTATTTTTTTAAGAGACAGGGTCTTGCTCTGTTGTCCACTGCCCAGGCTGGAGTGCAGTGGCATGACTGTAGCTCGCTGCAGCCTGGAACTCCAGGGCTCAAGCGATCCTCCTGCCTCAGCCTCTCAAGTGGCTGAAACCACAGGTGCATGCCACCATGCCTGGCTAATTAAAAAAAATTTTTTTTTTTTAATTTTTGTAGGAATGGAGTCTTGTTATGTTGCCCAGGCTGGTCTTGAACTTCTAGCCTCAAGTAATCCTCCCTCCTTATCCTCCCAAAGTACTGGGATTACAGGTGTGAGCCACCATACCCCATCCAGATATTCAATATAATGAAGGAATATTGTGAATAGCTTTACTTCACAAAATTTAACAACTTAGATAAAATGAGCAAATTCTTTGAAAACATAAGTTTCCAAAACGTACACAAGAAGAAATGGAAAATATGAATAATCCTACATGTACTGATGAAATTGAATTAATCATTTAAACTTTCCACAGAGAAAACTCCAGGCCCAGATGGCTTTATGAGTAAATTCTAAAAAATGTTGAAAGAAGAAATAATACCAATCTTACACAAACTATATTTCAGAAAGGAGAAGAAAAGAAAACTTTTTCCAATTTGTTTTATGAGTGCTGATACCAAAATATGACAAGGACATTACAAAAAAAGACCAATATTCCTCATGAAACATAAACATAAAAATTTAAAAAATATATTAGCAAGCTGGGGCCAGGCACGGTGGCTCACGCCTGTAATCCCAGTAGTTTGGGAGGCCAAGGTGGGCAGATCATGAAGCTAGGAGTTCAAGATCAGCCTGACCAATATGGTGAAACCACATCTCTACTAAATATACAAAAATTAGCAGGGTATGGTGGTACACACCTGCAATCCCAGCTACTCAGGAGGCTGAGGCAAGAGAATCGCTTGAACCCGGGAGGCAGAGGTTGCAGTGAGCCAAGATCGTGCCACTGAACTCCAGCCTGGGCCACAGAGCGAGACTCCATCTCAAAAAGTAAATACAATAAAATATTAGCAGGCTGGGCATGGTGGCAATAAATAAAATAAAATAAAATAAAATAAAATATTAGCAGGCTGGGCATGGTGGCAATAAATAAAATAAAATAAAATATTAGCAGGCTGGGCATGGTGGCTCATGCCCGTAATCCTAGCACTTTAGGAGGCCGAAGCAGGAGGATTGCTTAAGTCTAGCAGTTTGAGACCAGCCTTGGCAAAATAGCAAGACCCCCGTCTTTACAAAAAAATTTTAAAAAATTAGCCAGATGTGGTCGGGTGCAGTGGCTCATGTCTGTAATCCCAGCACTTTGGGAGGCTGAGGTGAGCGGATCACCTGAGGTCAGGAGTTCGAGGCCAGCCTGGCCAACATGGTGAAACCCCATCTCTACTTAAAATACAAAAATTAGCCGGGTGTGGTGGCAGGTGACTGTAATACCAACTACTTGGGAGGTTGAGGCAGGAAAATCACTTGAACCCAGGAGGTGGAGGTTGCAGTGAGCCGAGATTGCACCATTGCACTCCAGCCTGGGGGACAAGAGTGAGATGTCTCAAAAAAAAAAAAAAAAAGAAAAAAGAAAAAAAATTAGCCAGATGTGGTGATGCACCTGTAGTCCCGGCTACTCTGGAGGCTGAGGTGGGAGGATTGTTTGAGCCTAGCAGGTTGAGGCTGCACTAAGCGATGATCATGCCACTGCACTGCAGCCTGGGCAACAGAGCAAAACCCCATCTCTAAAAAAAAAAATTACTGGCTGGGTACAATGGCTCATGCCTGTAATCCCAGCACTTTGGGAGGCTGAGGTGGGCAGGTCGCCTAAGGTCAGTTTGAGACCAGCCTGGCCAACATGGTGAAACTCCATCTCTACTAAAAATACAAAAATTAGCCGGGTGTGGTGGCAGGCGCCTGTTAATCCCAGCTACTCAGGAGGCTGAGGCAAGAGAATTGCTTGAACCTGGGAGGCGGAGGTTGCAGTGAGCAGAGACTGTGCCATTGCACTCCAGCCTGGGCGACAAGAGCAAGACTTTGTCTCAAAAACAAAAAAAAATTAAACTGAATCAAGACATATATAAAAATGATGATCATCATGATCAAGTAGGGTATAGTCTCAATTCAAGTTTAGTTAACATTTGAAAAATCAATGTATTATGTAATTGCAGTTTTTGCCATTATTTCATTGGCAAAACAGCAATTACTTTTCCACCAACCTAATAATTCACCATATTATAGAATTAAAGGACAAAAATAATACAATTGTCCAAATAAAAGTAGAGAAAGCATTTGTCAAACTTCAACAATTAACAGTTGTGATAAACAAAACTCAACAAAATTTTAACAGACTGATAAAGAACACCTATGAAAAACCTAAGGCTAATATCACACTTACTAGTAAAATATTGAACAGTCTCCCACTAAGATCATGAACAAGGCAAGGGTGTCTGTTTTCACTATTTCCAAGTAACACTGTTGGAAGTCCAGTACAACAAGGCAAGGAAAAGAAATAAAAAGTGTAAAGATTGGGAAGAAAGAACTAAAACAGTCATTATTCATAGATAATATGATTACATATTTAGAAAAATCATTGAGAATCTACAAAAAACTGTCATAATAAGCAAAAGTACCAAGGTTTCAAGGACATAAAATCAATATGTAAAAATTGGTTTCACATATATACCAAACAGCAAATGACTGGAAAATAGAAAATTTTTAAATTATTGTAATTTCACTAAGAAAAACAAAATACTGAGGAATAGATTTAATACAAGGTGAGCAGGGCATTGTCGAGGGAAATTGACTAAATAACTGGAGAGATACACCATGTTTGTAAATTAAAAGACTTAATATTGTTAACGTGTCAGTTCTCTCCAAGCTTATTTACAGATTCAACCCAATCAACATAATCTCAGAAAAGCTTTGAATAGAAATTGACAAGATGGGCCGGGCACGGTGGCTCACACCTGTAATCCCAGCACTTTTGGAGGCCGAGGTGGGCGGATCACAAGGTCTGGAGTTCGAGACCAGCCTGGCCAACATGGTGAAACCCCATCTTTACTAAAAATACAAAAATTAGCCAGGCATGGTGGTGGGTGCCTGTAGTCCCAGCTATTCGGGAGCTGAGTCAGGAGAATTGCTTGAACCCAGGAGGGGGAGGTTGCAGTGAGCCGAGATCCTGCCACTGCACTCCAGTCTGGGCGACAGAGTGAGACTCCGTCTCAAAAAAACAAAAACAAAAACAAAAAGAACTTGACAAGATGATTTGAAAACTTATATAGAAATGCAAAACACTAGAATAGCCAAAACAATCTTTTTTTTTTTTTTTTTTTTGAGACAGGGCCTCGCTTGGTTGCCCAGGCTGGAGTGCAGTGGCATGATCTTGGCTCACTGCAACGTCGACCTCTTTAGACTCAAGTGATCCTCCTGCCTCAGCCTCCCAAGTTGCTGGGAATACAGGCACACACCACACCTGGCTGATTTTTGTATTTTTTTGTAGAGACAGGGTTTTGCCAAGTTGCCCCAGCTGGTCTCAAACTCCCGGGCTCAAGTGATCTGCTCGCCTCGGCCTCCCAAAATGCTGAGATTACAGGTGTGAGCCACTGTGCCTGGCTCAAAACAATCTTAAAAAGTAAAAGAAACAAAGTTGGAGGACTTATACTAAATGATTTTAAGGTTTAATATAAAGCTACAGTAATAAAAAATAGCGTGGTATTGTTATAGGGAAAATATATACATCAGTGACACAGACTAGAAAGTCAATAAACCATTCCTCATATATATAGTTAATTTATTTTTAATAAAGGTACGCAGGTATTCAATGGGAAAAGAGTCTTTTCATCAAATAGTGTTTTGAAAACTGGATATTCATATGGGCTGAGTGCAGTGGCTCCAACCTATAATCCTGGCACTTTGTTAGGCTTGAGCCCAGGGGTTTGAGACCAGCCTGTGCAACATAGGGAGACTCCATTTCTACAAAAAATAAAATTAGTGGGGCATAGTGGCGTGCACCTAAAGTCCTAGCTACTCGGGAAGCTGGGCAGGAGGACTGCTTGAGCCCAAGAAGTCGAGGCTGCAGTGAGCTAGGATCACACCACTGCACTCCAGCCTGGGCGACAGAGACCAAAAAAAAAAAAAAAAGGTATTCTTGGCCAGCCTCAGTGGCTCACACCTGTAATCCCAGCACTTTAGAAGGCCCAGGCAGGTGGATCAGTTGAGGTCAGGAGTTCGAGACCAGCCTAGCCAGTATGGTGAAACCCCATGTCTACCAAAAATACAAAAATTAGCTGGGCATGGTGGGGCATGCCTGTAATCCAAGCTACTCAGGAGGTTGAGGCAGGAGAATCGCTTGAACCTGGGAGGCAGAGGTTGCAGTGAGCAGAGATCGAGACATTGCACTCCAGCCTGGGTGACAGTGAGACTCTATCTCAAAAAAAAGAAAAGAAAAAAGAAAAAAAAAAGAGCTTTGTCTTTCACTTCATATTATATACAAGAATTAATTTGAGACAGGTTATAGATATAAATACAAAGCCTAAAATCATAAAGCTTTTAGAAGCAAAGAAGAATATCTTTATGATTAAGGGTAGGGAAAGATGTCTTAGAGAGGATACAAAAGGCATTAACCATAAATGAGACAAAAAAGATAAACTGGACTCATCAGAACTAAAATGTCTGCTCATTAGAAGACACTGTTGAGAAAATGAAGAGACAAGCCACAGGTTGGGAGAAAATCTTTACAATGCAATGCAATACTTTTTTTTCTTTTGAGACAGAGTCTTTTTCAGGATAGAGTGCAGTGGCATGATCTCACTACAACCTCCGCCTCCTGGGTTCAAGCGATTCTCCTGCCTCAGCCTCCCCAATAGCTGGGATTACAGGCGTGTGCCACCACGCCCGGCTAGTTTTTTTTGTATTTTTGGTAGAGACGGGGTTTTACTGTGTCTCAAACACAGTTTGAGGCCAGGCTGGTCTCAAACTCCTGAACTCAAGTGATCTGCCTGCCTCAGCCTCCCAAAGTGCTGGGATTACAGGCATGAGCCACCTCGGCTGGCCCAATACCTATTTTTGACAAAGCATTTGTATCATAATATATAAAGAATTACTAATCCATAATAAAAAGACAATTGATAACAAAATGGACTAAAGGCTTGAACAGATACTTTATAAAAGAAGATATCTGGACAGCAAAAAAAAGCACAGAAGGCCAGGTACAGTGGCCCACACCTGTAATCCCAGCACTTGGGGAGGAGGCCGAGGCAGGAGGATTGCTTGAGCCCAGGAGTTCAAGACCAGCTTGGACAACAGAGCAAGACCTCATCTCTTTTTAAAAAATTAATTAATCAATTAAAAAAGAGGCCAGGTATGGTGGCTCACACCTGTAATCCCAGCACTTTGGGAGGCTGAGGCAGATGGAACACGAGGTCAGGAGTTTGAGACCAGCCTGGCCAACACAGTGAAACCCCGTCTCTACTAAAAATACAAAAATTAGACCGGTCACGGTGGCTCATGCCTGTAATCCCAGCACTTTGGGAAGCCGAGGCAGGCAGATCACCTGAGGTCGGGAGTTGGAGATCAGCCTGACCAACACGGTAAAACCCCATCTCTACTAAAAATACAAAATAGGCCGGGTATGGTGGTGCATGCCTGTAATCCCAGCTACTTGGGAGGCTGAGGCAGGAAAATTGCTTGAACCTGGGAGGTGGAGGTTGCGGTGAGCTGAGATCGTGCCATTGCACTCCAGCCTGGGCCACAAGAGTGAAACTCCATCTCAATAAATAAAATAAAATAAAAATACCAGCTGGGTGTGGTGGCTCATGTCTGTAATCCCAGCACTTTGGGAGGCCAGGCGGGCAGATCACCTAAGGTTAGGAGTTTGAGACCAGCCTGGCCAACATGGTGAAATCCCATCTCTACTAAAAATACAAAAATTAGCCGGGCATGGTGGTGCATGCCTGTAATCTCAGCTACTTGGGAGGCTGAGGCAGGAGAATTGCTTGAACCTGGAAGGTGGAGGTTGTGGTGAGCTGAGATCACGCCACTTCACTCCAGTCTGGGCAACAGAGCGAGACTCAGTCAAAAAAAAAGAAAAAAGAAATAAAGGAAAGAAAGAAAAGAAAAAAGAAAAGAGCACATGAAAAGGCATTCAATGACCAGGAGTGGTGGCTCACGCCTGTAATTCCAGCACTTTGGGAGGCTGAGGTGGGCAGACTGCCTGAGGTCAGGAGTCTGAGACTAGCCTGGCTAACATGGCGAAACCCTGTCTGTACTAAAAATACAAAAAAATTAGCCTGGCGTGGTGGCGTGTGCCTGTAATCCCAGCTACTTGGGAGGCTGAGGCAGGGGAATTGCTTGAACCAGGGAGGTGGAGGTTGCAAGCAGCCAAGATGGCGCCACTGCACTCCAGCCTCGGTGACAGAGCGAGACTTCGTCTCAAAGAAGAAAAAAAGAAAAGGCATTCAACATCATTAGTCACCAGAGAAATACAAATTAAAGCCACAATGAGATACCAACATGCACCCACCAAATAGTTCAAATTAACAACACTGACAATGCCGAATGTTGACAAGGGTGTAAACAACGAGAACTCTCATATATTGCTGTTAGAATATGAAATGGCACTGTTAGTGGTGGTAGTTACCTGTATGAGTCTGCGGCGACCTCCGTTCTTGCCTTCTCAGAAGAAAGAATTCGACTGAGGGCCGTAAGGCATAAGGAGAGAGATCAAGGCAAGTTTTAGAACAGGAGTGAGTTACTAAAAAGCTTTAGAGCAGTAAGGAAAGGAAGGAAAGTACACTTGGAAGAGGGCCAAGCGGGCGACTCAAGAGACCCTAGTGCACAGCTCGACGTCTCGACTTGGGGTTTTGCACATTGGCCTACTTCCGGAGTCTTGTTCTCCCCATTCCTTGGATCTTATTGGAAAGCTGCTGGTCACCAATTTCAGGTGTTTTCCATCTATTAAGAGACGGCCTTTCCCTGCACTGGCTGTGATCAATTATTACTTTAGAGAGACAGTTAACAACCACCTGACCATCACCTGATGGTTGCCCGACACTCCTAGTGTGTGTGGGGAGCCTTCTCCTGGCCTGCTCATACCTGACTAGCTACCTACTGTAGCGGCTCAGCCATTTTGGAAAAGTGTTTGACCATTTGTTATAAAGTTAAACACACACCAACTCTGACAGTTTATAAGAGTATAAACTTAAATGTATACCTACTCTTATGACTCAATTCCACTCCTAAATATTTTCTCAAGAGAAGTGAAAACATATGTCCACAAAAAGACTTGTGTAACAATGTTTGTAGCAGCTTTATTCATAATAGCCCAAAACTGGAAAGAACTCAAATGTCCATCAGGAGGAGAATGGATAAACAAGCTGTAGTATATTAAGGCAATGGAACATCACTTAGCACATTTTTGTTTTTTTGAGACAGGGTCTCCCTCTGTTGCCAAGGCTGGAGTGCAGTGGTGTGATATCAGCTGACTGCAGCATCTACCTCCTGGGCTCAAGCAATCCTCCCACCTCAGCCTCCCAAGTAGCTGGGAACACAGGTGCACGCCACCACATCCAGCTAATTTTTAAGTTTTTTTAGAGACGGAGTCTCCCTATGTTGCCCAGGCTGGTTTCAAACTCCTGGTGCTCAAGTGATCCTCCTGCTTTGGCCTTCCAAAGTGCTGGAATTAAAGGCACGAGCCCCTGCACCCAGCCTACTTAACAATTTTTAAAAACCTACTTATTCATTCAACAACGTGGATGACTCAAAAATCTTATGTAGAGTGACAAAATCTAGAACTAACAAGAACACTAATCACTGGTCATAGAAATCAGAAAAGTGGTTGTCAGAGTAAACAGAAAACCTACAGAATGGGAGAAAATATTTGCAAACCATGCAGTCGACAAAGGTCTAATATCCGGAATCTATAAGGAACTTAAAGAATTCAACAAACAAAAAACAAATAACTCCATTAAAAAGTGGACAAATACACGAACAGACACTTCTCAAAATAAGACAAGAGTGGCTGGGTGCAGTGGCTCATGCCTGTAATCCCAGCACTTTGGGAGGCTGAGGCGGGTGGATCACCTGAGGTTGGGAGTTCGAGACCAGCCTGAGCAACATGGAGAAACCCGTCTCTACTAAAAATACAAAAATTAGCCAGGTGTGGTGGTGCATGCCTGTAATCCCAGCTACTTGGGAGGCTGAGGCAGGAGAATCGCTTGAATCCGGGAGGCAGAGGTTTCGGTGAGCCAAGGTCATGCCATTGTACTCCAGGCTAAGCAACAAGAACATAACTCCGTCTCAAAAAATAAAAAAACAAACAAACAAACAAACAAATAAATAAGACAAGAGTGGCCAAAAAACATGAAGAAATGCTCAACATCACTAGTCATCAGAGAAATGCAAATCAAAACCACAATCAGGGTCTGGGCCAGGTGCAGTGGGTCACACCTGTAATCCCAGCACTTTGGGAGGCCGAGATGGGTGGATCACTTGAGGTCAGGAGTTTGAGACCAGCCTGGCCAACATAGCAAAACGCCATCTCTACTAAAAATACAAAATTAGCCAGGTATGGTGGCTCATGCCTGTAATCCCAGCTACATGGGAGGCTGAGGTGTGAGAATCACTTGAACCTGGGAGGCAGAGGTTGCAGTGAGCTGAGATGGGACCACTGCACTCCAGCCTGGACAACAAAGCGGGACTCTCAAAACAAAAACAAAAACAAACCACAATGAGATAACATCTCACACCAGTCAAAATGGCTATTCCTAAAAAGTCAAAAAACAACAGATGCTGTCAAGGCTGCGGAGAAAAGAAAACACTTATATGCTGTTGGTGGGAATGTAAACTAGTCCAGCCACTGTGGAAAGCAGTTTGGAGATTTCTTTTTTTTTTTTTTGAGACGGAGTTTCACTCTTGTTGCCCAGGCTGGAGTGCAGTGGCTCGATCTCGGCTCATTGCAGCCTCTGCCTCCCGGGTTCAGGCAATTCTCCTGCCTCAGCCTCCCGAGTAGCTGGGATTACAGGTGCACACCACCACGTCCAGCTAATTTTTAGTAGAGATGGGGTTTTGCAATATTGCCCAGGCTGGTCTCGAACTCCTGACCTCAGGTGATCCACATGCCTCAGCCTCCCAAAGCGTTGGGTTTACAGGCATAAGCCACTGCGCCCGGCTGGTTTGGAGATTTCTAAAAGTACTTAAAGCAGAACTACCATTCGATCCAGCAATCCATTCCTGGGTATATATATTATTAAAAGAAATATATGTAAATATACATAAAATATATTTTTCTTTTTCTGACCTTCACCAGGAGGCAGAGCTCGGAGTCCCGATTTTCTCCTGTAGCTGTGGCCTGGACATGGCGGCTCCTGGCCCTGTGACTCCAGAGGTCCCCTTTGAACCATGGAAGCCCCCAGTCATTTAGGGGTTTAGCTCCACTGTTTACAGCAATCCAGAGAGTTTCAAGGAAAAATTCCTTCACAAGACCCGCGAGAACCACATGGTACCCAGGTTGCCTAGGCATGGCGACCGCCCTCACCTACGGCCTCTACTGCTTCCACCAGGGCCACAGTCAGCGCTCTCAGCTCATGACACGCACCCGGATCGCTGTCCAGGGCTTCACAGTCGCAGCCATCTTGCTGGGTCTAGTCACAACTGCTATGAAGTCTCAATCCTGAGCCCATGGTCTGGCCTTGAAAGCTCTGCAGAGATCATTCCAAAACCCAGGAGCAACCACTGGCCCTGCCGTGGGACTTAGTCCTTCCTCCCCTTTCAGAGGCCCCAGTGTCGTTGGGGGTGGAAGTGATCCTTTGTGTACCCGCAACTAAAATACTTTTTCAAAAATCCCAGATTCTGTTGTTTGAATGTTACATACCTCTATTTGTGCCACATCTCTTCCACTCCCCTGCTTAATAAACTCTAATCCACTTATAAAATATATATAAAGTTATTATTTTTGAGACAGAGTCACTCTGTCACCCAGGCTGGAGTGCAGTGGTGTGATCTCAGCTCACTGCAACCTCCACCTCCTGGGTTCAAGCTATTTTCATGCCTCAGCCTCCCAAGTATCTGGGATTACAGGCGGCCCCCACCATGCCCAGCTGATTTTTGTATTTTTAGTAGATATGGGGTTTCGCCATGTCGGCCAGGCTGGTCTCGAACTGCTGATCTCAAGTGATCCACCTGCCTTGGCCTCCCAAAGCACTGGGATGACAGGAATAAGCCACTTTGTCTGGCCTATATAAATATATATAATATATTAAATTATTATTATTATTTGAAATGGAGTCTCACTCTGTCACCCAGGCTGTAGTGCAATGGCGCGATCTTGGCTCACTGCAACCTCTGCCTTCCAGGTTCAAGCGATTCTCATGCTTCAGCCTCCCGAGTACCTGGGATTACAGGCCACCAAGTCTGGCTCACTTTTTTTGTATTTTTAGTAGAGACAGGGTTTCACCATGTTGGCCAGGCTGGTCTTGAACTCTTGGCCTCAAGTGATCTGCCCGCCTCGGCCTCTCAAAGTGCTGGGATAACAGGCGTGAGCCATTGTGCCCGGCCATGTTAAATTATATGTATGTGTGTGTGTGTGTGTGTGTGTGTTTATATATATATATATATATATATTTTTTTTTTTTTTTTTTTTTCCTGAGATGGAGTTTTGCTCTTGTTGCCCAGGCTGGAGTGCAATGGTGCCATCTCGGCTCACCGCAACCTCCACCTCCCGAATTCTAGCGATTCTCCTACCTCAGCCTCCCGAGTAGGTTGATTAGGCTGGTCTCGAACTCCTGACCTCAGGCGATCTGCCTGCCTCGGCCTCCCAAAATGTTAGGATTACAGGTGTGAGCCACTGTAAATTATATATTAAGTATATAATATATTATACATATTAAAATAAAATAAATCATTCTACCAAAAAGACACATACACTTGTATGTTTTTCACACCGCTATTTACAATAGCAAAGACATGGAATCAACCTCAGTGTCCATTAATGGTGGACTGGATAAAGAAAATGTGGTACATATACACCATGCAATACTATACAGCCATAAAAAAAAAATGAATGAAATCATGTCCTTTACAGCAACATGGATGCAGCTGGAGGCATTATTCTAAGCAAAGTAACTAAGGAACAGAAAACCAAATACCACATGTTCTTACTTGTAAGTGGGAACTAAACATTGGGTACTCAGGGACATAAAGACAGCAACAATAGACACTGGGGACTACTAGATGGGGAAGGAAGGAGGAAAAGGGTTGAAAAACCAACTATTGGCCGGGCACAGTGGCTCATGCTTGTAATCCCAGAACTTTGGGAGGCTGAGGCAGGCAGATCACAAGGTCAGGAGTTCCAGACCAGCCTGGCCAACATGGTGAAACCTTGTCTCTACTAAAAATACAAAAACTAGCCAGGTGCGGTGGCAGGCGCCTGTAATCCCAGCTACTTGGGAGGCTGAGGCAGGAGAATTGCTTGAACTCGGGAGGCGGAGGTTGCAGTGAGTCGAGATTGCACCACTGCACTACAGCCTGGATGACAGAGCAAGACTCTGTCTTGGGAAAAAAAAAAAAGAAAAACCAACTATTGGGTACTATGCTCACTACCTGGGTGATGGCATCAATTGTACCCCAAACCTCAGCATCACACAACATATCCATGTAACAAACCTGCACGTGTACCCCCAAATATAAAATAAAAGTTGAATTTTTAAAAAATTTATATTTATTTATTTTGAGATGGCGTCTCACCCTGTTGCCCAGGCTGGAGTGCAATGGGGCAATCTCGGCTCACTGCAACCTCCGCCTCTCAGGTTCAAGTGATTCTCCTGACTCAGCCTCCCGAGTAGCTGGGATTACAGGTGGGCGCCACCACACCCGGCTAATTTTTTGTATCTTTAGTAGAGACAGGGTTTCGCCATGTTGGTCAGGCTGGTCTCGAACTTCTGACCTCATGATCTGCACACCTTGGTCTCCCAAAGTGCTGGGATTACAGGCGTCAGCCAGGGTGCCCGGCCACTAAATTTTTTTTTTTTTTTTTTTTTTTTTTTTTGAGATGGAGTCTGCTCTGTTGCCCAGGCTGGAGTGCAGTGGTGCAATCTCGGCTCACTGCGACCCCGCCTCCTGGGTTCAAGCGATTCTCCTGCTCAGCCTCCTCAGTAGCTGGGGTTACAGGCGCCCATGACCACGCCTGGCTAATTTTTGTATTTTTGGTAGAGACAGGGTTTCACCATGTTGGCCAGGCTGGTCTGGAGCTCCTGACCTCAGGTGATCTGCCTGCCTCAGCCTCCCAAAGTGCTGGGTTTACAGGCATGAGCCGCCACACCCGGCCTAAAAGTTGAAATTATTAATAAAGAGTCATGGCGCAGGCAGAGGAAGATGTTAGAGATTACAATTTGACTGAGGAACAGAAGGCGATCAAGGCCAAGTATCCGCCAGTCAATAGGAAGTACGAGTATTTGGATCATACGGCGGATGTGCAGTTACACGCATGGGGAGATACTCTGGAGGAAGCATTCGAGCAATGTGCAATGGCCATGTTTGGTTACATGACAGATACTGGGACAGTGGAGCCCCTCCCAACAGTAGAAGTAGAAACCCAAGGAAATGACTTACAGACTCTTCTGTTTCACTTTTTGGATGAATGGCTTTATAAGTTCAGTGCTGATGAATTCTTCATACCCCGGAAAGTGAAAGTACTTAGTATTGATCAAAGAAATTTCAAATTATGATCAATTGGGTGGGGAGAAGAGTTTTCATTGTCCAAGCATCCTCAGGGAACAGAAGTCAAGGCAATAACATATTCAGCAATGCAGGTCTATAATGAAGAGAAGCTGGAAGTTTTTGTGATCATTGGCATTTAAGACACCAAAAAAGAAAAGACTCCTATGAAGAACTGTTTTTTTTTCCTCTTCCTTTTGAGAAGACAGTATGAATTAAATTCTACAGCATCTTTTGATATATGGAAATTTGTAGAACAGAAATGTTTTAAGTGTGACTTTCAGAAAGGGAAAATCAGGGCACAGCCTTGCTCTGTGTTCCCCAAATATTCAGACTTTAAAGAATTCTTCAACCCCCAAGGGAGAGTTATGGTCCTTTGATTCTCTGCTGTGGCAGTAGGTGCCTCATGCCCTTCCAGTGCAATGCAAGCCCTCCAGCCTCGCCCCAGAGAGGAGCACTGTTGTCAACAGCAGCCTGAGGCTGAATCCAGGTTGAAAAAAGAATAACCCCAAGTTGGTTAAGACATATATTTTCTTTCTTTCTTTCTTTTTTTTTTTTCTTTTTTTTTGAGACAGAGTCTCGCTCTGTAGCCCAGGCTGAAGCGCAGTGGCGTGAGCTCGGCTTACTGCAAGCTCCGCCTCCCGGGTTCACACCATTCTCCTGCCTCAGCCTCCTGAGTAGCTGGGACTATAGGCACCCACCACCACGCCCTGCTAATTTTTGTATTTTTAGTAGAGACGGGGTTTCACCGTGTTAGCTAGGATGGTCTCGATCTCCTGACCTTGTGATCTGCCCACCTTGGCCTCCCAAAGTACTGGGATTACAGGCATGAGCCACCACGCCCGGCCACAAGACATGTATTTTCTATATGTACATCAAGGGAGGTTGTGTTTTAGGTTGCTGTAGGACAGAGCTATCCTGTATTCCAGTTGGTTTTTGTAGAGAAACAATTAGACTTCTCTACATGGAGCCCTGATTTTTCTCTCATGCTTTCACTTTTTTAAAAGCACCAATGATATTTCCTGTTTTCTCATAAGAAAAAGTCAATATTATGCCTTACAAAGAGACCTTTCCTTCTAATATAGAATTTTATTTGAAAGTGAGTATGTGTGTATAACTAGAGAATAAAAGAATTTTTGAAAAATTAAAAAAAGAAATTATTAATAAATAATAATGAGAAAAAAATTTTGAAAGTGATAAAAGAGAAAAGTGGGTGTCTCCAGGGGTAGGGTAGAGATTGAATGGAAAGGCACCCAGGGAATTTTCTGGGGTGTTGAAAATATTCTATGTCTTGAAAGGGGTGGTGATTACACAAGATGTACACAATTGTCAAAACTAATCAAACTGTATGCTTAGGATTTGTGCATTTTTTTGGATGTAAATTATACATTAATTTAAAAAATATAGGCTGGGCATGGTGGCTCATGCCTGTAATCCCAACACTTTGGGGGGCCGAAGTGGGCATATCATTTGAGCTTAGGAGTTCAAGACCAGCCTGGGCAACATGGCAAAACCCCATTTCTATAAAAAATACAAAAAATGGCCCAATGTGGTGGTGCATGCCTATAATCCCAGCTATTAGGGAGGCTGAGGTGGGAGGATTGCTTGAGCCCAGGAAGCAGAGGCTGCAGTGAGCTGAGATCAGGCTACTGCACTCCAGCCTAGGCGACAAGACAACTTGACCTTACTGTTTTAGGCTGGCCCTCATGTCTGTGTGCGGCGGCTGCCACCACTCTAATCCTTTTATAAAGGACCTCAAAATCACAAACTCTGCTCAACTCACTCTCTACAGTTCTCATAACTTTCAAAATCTATTTTCTTCCGCACACCTGACACATCTACTTTCTGCTCCCCGGCTCCTTCAGCTATACTCACTCTTCGTTGAGTCTCCCACAATTACCACTGTTCCTGGCCCGGACTTCAATCCAGCCTCCCACAATATTCCTGATACCACACCTGACCCCCATGACCGTATCTCTCTGATCCACCTGACATTCACTTCATTTCCCCATATTTCCTTCTTTCCTGTTCCTCACCCTGATCACACTTTGGTTCATTGATGGCTGTTCCACCAGGCCTAATCGCCACTCACCAGCAAAGGCAGGCTGTGCTATAGTGTCTTCCACATCTATCATTGAGGACACCGTGCTGCCCACCTCCACTACCTCTCAGCAAGCTGAACTCATTGCCTTAAATGGGACCCTCAGTCTTGCAAAGGGACTGTGTGTCAATATTTATACTGACTCTAAATATGCCTTCCATATCCTGCTCCACCATGCTGTTATATGGGCAGAAAGAGGTTTCCTCACTACGCAAGGGTCCTCCATTATTAATGCCTCTTTAATACTCTTCTTAAGGCCGCTTTACTTCCAAAAGAAGCTGGAGTCATTCCCTGCAAAGGCCATCAAAGGACCTCAGACCCCACTGCTCAAGGTAACAATTATGCTGATAAGACAGCTAAATAAGCAGCCAGTATTCCTATTTCTGTCCCTCACAGCCAGTTTTTCTCCTTCTCATCAGTCACTCCTACTTACTCTCCCACTGAAGTTTCCACCTATCAATCCCTCCCCACTCAAGACAAATGGTTCTTAGACCAAGGAAAATATGCCCTTCCAGCCTCACAGGATTAGGTCTCTTCTTCCTTACTCTACTCTTTACAACAAGGCTTTATGCAGTCACCCCCTCCTTCCTGGCGTCACCCCCTCCTTCTTGGACTGCACCTCACAAACTTTTTCATCCCTGCTATTTTCCTCTTCACCATTCTCACCTACTCATAAATGCCCTGCTCTTGTTTACACTGACAGTTTACACCTTTTCTCCAAACCATCACAGCTGATATCTCCTGGTGCTATCCCCAAACCACCACTCTTGACTCCCTTTTGGAGTGGATGGAAGATCTTTGCTGGCAGGGCACACTCCAATACTTTCACCCTGATGAAATCCTATTCTTTACTTTTATACTCACTTTTAACCTCAATTCCCATTCTTATGCTGCCCTCTACCCTTAAATTTTCTTTAAGGTGTCCACACAGTCCTGGTCACGCTTGAAGCAGTCCTGAGAAACATCGCCCCTACGCCAATAATCCCCGGAAGAAACTTACATTTTCTTTATCTTTTCTTATAACTGTATATTTTATAAATAAAAAGACCGGAATGTCAAGCCTCTGAGCCAAAGCTCAGTGTCACGCGTGTCCATGTGAAAAGAGTCCACCAACAGGCTTTGTGTGAGCAACAAGGCTGTTTATTTCACCTGGGTGCAGGCGGGCTGAGTCCAAAAAAGGAGTCAGCAAAGGGTGGTGGGATTATCATTAGTTCTTATAGGTTTGGGATAGGTGGTGGAGTTAGGAGCAATTTTTTGTGGGCAGGAGGTGGATCTCACAAAGTACATTCTCAAGGGCAGGGAAAATATCACAAAGTACCTTCTTAAAGGTGGGGGAGGATATTACAAAGTACATGATCGCAAGGGCGGGGAGGGTGTATTGTCATAAGGTCAATTGATCAGTTAGGGTGGGGCAGGAACAGATCACAATGGTGGAATGTCATCTTCTGTGGTTCTTCAGTTGCTTCAGGCCATCTGGATGTATACGTGCAGGTCACAGGGGATATGATGGCTTAGCTTGGGCTCAGAGGCCTGACAGTCAGCCATTATAACCCCTGTGACCTGCACATATAAGTCCAGATGGCCTGCAGGAGCCAAGAAGTCTAGAGCAGACGAAAAATCACAAAGAAGTGAAACAGCCAGTTCCTGCCTTAACTAATTAATCCACCTTATGACATTCTACCATTATGACTTTTTCCTGCCCTGCCCCAGCTGATCAATTGACCCTGGGACATTCTTCTTCTGGACAATGAGTCCCATGATCTCTACACCATGCACCTTGGGACCCCCTCCTCTGCTAACAATAGATAACCACCTTTAACTGTAACTTTCCACTGCCTACCCAAACCCTATAAAGCTGCCCCTTTCTTATCTCCCTTCGCTGACTGCTTTTTCAGAGTCAGTCTGCCTGCACCCAGGTGATTAAAAAGCTTTATTCCTCGCACAAAGTCTGCTTGCTGGTCTCTTCACACAGATGTGCTTGACAAAAATCAAGTGCTCCAACTCTCTCTCTCTTTTTTTTAAAGAGATAGGGTCTTGCTATGTTGCCCAGGTAGGTCTCGAACTCCTGGCCTCGAGCTGTCCTCCCACTTTGGCACTCCAAAATGTTGTGATTACAGGTGTGAGCCCCTTACACCTGGCCCCAGCTATTTTTGAATTGAGCTTTCCTTACACAAAAAAACCCTTGCATCTTTAAATGCATTTTCAGAAGGGATCCTTTTCATTTTGCTGGTTTCCTTCTTCCATTCACAAGAATTTTTCAGCACAAAAAACATGGTGGCTTTTGTGGACTGTCATGTTCATTGCCAAAACTGAAACTGGATAATACGTATTTATCATATGTCTCTTTCTTCAATACTACAACTGTAATGTGGTATGATAGTGTTGTAGGAGTTAAGAAATTATTTTAGGCAGATAAGAGAGGAAAAGGGGTCCCTGGGAAGTTTTCGTTTTTAAAGCAGCTCTTAGAGCCAGGCCGGCAACCTTTGATATGCAAATGAAGGCCATTAGAAACTGGGTCCACCCAAACATGGCGATTCCTGCGAACTTCTTGCCCTTGCCCCACATGTTCCTGGCAACATGGCCACCCCTACATATCCCCATGTGTGTAGAACATCATGGCACCCTGCGTTTGCATATTAAAAGGCTAGGGTGGGAGGGCCAGCTTTTTCACGGGCTGCATGAATGACATGCCTGGTCAAACCAATCCCCTGAGCCCTATGCAAATCAAACACTGCTTCCTCCAGCCTCTACATATACCTGGCTGGTATCCACCACACTTGGGGTTCCCTCTTTGGACTTTGGAGCCCCCCTCCTTCTGTCTCTGTATGGGGGAGCTTCTTTCTGTCTTCTCCCTTTCTTCTTGCCTACTAAACTCTCCGCTCCTTAAAACTACTCCATATGTGTCCATGTCATTCTTTTTTTTTTTTTTTTTTGAGATGGAGTCTCACTCTGT